>NC_000020.11:30088348-30425128 GCF_000001405.40 Homo sapiens | reverse complement strand
GGCCTGGATAGTAAAGTATTTTATTGGCGTTTGAATGAACCAAGAAAATGCATATAAATACACATGCGTAACTATAAGGGCAAAAGTAGTACTTTTGAAATCACAACATTAGATTAAACAATGTGAATTTTTTATTGTTTTTAAAAAATCAAGTCTTTCTCATCTTACTAGAAACTATTTACCAGAGTAAATAAGCTTCTTACTGAGGTCAAAAGACTTTCTGGAAAAACTTCTCCTTGATGAAATTGCACTTAAAACATCACTTCCATCGTGAAGTATTTAAGATGTTCTTTGTCCTTTCCCTGTTATGTGGAATCGTCAATTCAAATTTTAAAAGTGACTTTGAGATGTTTTTCATCTATTATTTTAAAAATGTTGAAGGCGTTTTTAATTCTACCTTCAACAGAGATCGACATACCTCTGATTATGATGTAAAACTGAACACGTTACTCTGACAGGCTTTCTTTTCTGCAGCGCAGCTACCATCATTATTAATAAGGATTGAATGCTTTTACTCCATGCACAATCTGTATTCCCTGCTTTATAAAGAATAGAAATCTAATTCTCACTATGAAGACAGATAAAAGTAATCCCTTCAACCTATAGACGAATCATTTACCAAAGCACTCAGACTTTAAATAGCATTTATCAAATATGTCTATATTTCTACGCAGATTCATAGAAAGAACATGTAGTTTAAATCATTGCACATTTTATGCTTTTAATGAGTTGTAATCATCATTAGTATTTTTGTCACATTTCCCCAAAGGTAGGCTAATTACTATTATTATTTTCATCTAGAAATATAAAATGAATTTTCTATTTTTGAAGACATTGCAACATAATCCTTGGAATATAATATCTGTGTATAATATCTGTGGAAAGCATGAAAGTAATATTCAAACAGTATGCATTTTTTTCCAGAATGAAAATTTCCTCTACAATAACATTCATCCTTTTTTCCTGATGGACACATAAAAGTCAACATTTCTAACATTGCTGGACATTATTTACATTAAGCTTGCCTCACCTTCAGGTGTTGCAGAAACTGGAAAAGAGGTCACAAGGTACACAATACACACACACACACACACACAAAACTTGTATTATTATACTTACCTAAGTGTCTAAAGAGGTGAATAAATATATTAGATTGCTCCAGAACAAGGATTTTTATGGGGCCTATTGGAAAGTATGGCTGCAGTTTGAGTGAGATGCCTGTAAGAGATTCAATGTGGCCACTAATAGAGTGTCCAATTTTAAAAATACTGACAGAAGGCTCATGAGATAGAAATTTTCACCTAGATCTATTGGGAAATATGCTACTAGATTCTGTAGTAAAAAGACTGGTGCGGTAATTGCAAAACACATCTGATATCTAAACCTTTGTTTGTTTTTTACCTGAAATCTTTATGGGGGTGATTGTGTATGTCAATTTGAATCTTCCCATCAAAAAGATAAATAAATACATAAATAAATAGCCAGCCTGCCTGGATAAATTAGTTCACCTTTTCTATATTTTGAGGGCAGTGCTTCTCCTTTGACAGCCACAAGATTCACCCGGAGATCCCTTAAAATGCAAAACCATAGACCACACATTGACTAGCTTGGATAAGGGGCCAGAGCATTGAAATGAGTGTGTAGGTGACTGTGCTAAGATTCTCCTGCTCATTTGGGCACTGGCTCACCATATAAACAAAGTTTAGGACCTCTAGTCCTTGCTGGAAAAGAAATACACATACACATACATAGGATGTGACTGTGCATATGGAATATCTGTTGTGTTCTGGACATTGTGCTAGACAACAGAGATAAGAAGTCAAATAATCCCTTGTCTCTATCTGAAAAGAGCTTCCTACACACTGGCTTCTGAGGTCTTTGAAACTAGATTCACTTTCAGATTTGATTATTATATTTATGATTTGATATTTTCATTGAACCCCATGATATGATAAAGTTTGCTAGAACCTGCTGGAATAATTGACTTTGCTCTCAGCATTATGAAGCCCCTGGGGCACATAAGTAGTTCATTTATGTTTCTATTTAACCACACAGGAACAACTTAAGCTACTTTTCTAGCCACTTTCGTTTAGAGCTGTTATTGTTTGTTTTTGAGACGGGTCTCACTCTGTCACCTAGGCTGGAATGCAGTGGCATGATCAGAACTCACTGTAGCCTCTACCTTCTGGGCTCAAGCCATCCTCTCACCTCAGCCTCCTGAAAAGCTGGGACCACAGGCTCATACCACCATACCCAGCTAATTAAAAATATATATATTTTTTGTAGAGACAGTTTTTCCATGTTTTCTAGACTTGTCTCCAACTCTTGAACTTAAGCAATCTGCCTGCCTCAGCCTCCTAAAGTGTAGAGCTGTGTTTTCAGTTTTTTTGAGCGGTTTTACAATCCAGTTTTGAATTGGTAAGTTTGGATTCATTCTGACATTTACAGATTTAACATCCTACTTCACAAGATGCTCATAGCCTTAATCCATTACAGCTGCTGCCTCATCCATCTCTGCTCATAGCCTTGATCCATTACAGTAGCCACCTCGTCCATCTCTACTCATAGCCTAAACTAATAGAAGCCAGAGGGAAGAAATGGAAGCCAATGTGAGTCCAGAACACACATTTTATAAGAGTATAGGAAATTTAAAAATAGCAAAGTATATCATGAAGTTTGTAATAGATGTGCATGGCTAAAATTTATTCTTAATCAATATATTCTATAAATTGGGAGAAAATATTAAACACATAAAAAGTAAGGAACTTGGGCTGGGTGCGGTGGCTCATGCCTGTAATCCCAGCACTTTGGGAGGCCGAGGCTTGTGGATCACAAGATCAGGAGATCAAGACCATCTGGCTAACATGGTGAAACCCCGTCTCTATTAAAAATACAAAAAAAAATTAGCCAGGTGTGGTGGTGGGTGCCTGTAGTCCCAGCTACTCGGAAGGCTGAGGCAGGAGAATGGCATGAACCCGGGAGGTGGAGCTTGCAGGGAACCGAGATCGCGCCACTGCACTCCAACCTGGGGACAGAGCGAGACTCCATCGCAAAAAGAAAAGGAAGAAAAGTAAGGAACTTTCATCATTAATATATAACTATTATGACAAGAATGTGGTTTATGTTTTTATCTTTGCAAGATTTAGGAACATTTAGTGGAAAGAGGAAGAATTTATAATCATGGGGAGCGTGTATGTATGATACTGGAGGGAGCCTTCTGACAAAGGGGAAATGGCATTACGAGATATGCTATGGTCATAGCTATGTGGGAGCGCAGCTAGCTATGGTCTCCCCCGTAAAACCCACTGGGCAGTGTTAAGTTACCAACATTGAGATAGAGCTCACCCACCCAGGGCAGAAGAGAAAATATACACTGCAGTCAGAAGCCACTGTGTAGGAAGCTCCTTTCAGAAAGAGGCAAGGGATATTTGACTTTTTATCTCTAGTGTCTAGTACAATGTCGAGAACACAACAGACATTCCATATGCACAGTCACATCCTATGTATCTGTATTTCTTTTCCAGCAGGGACTGGAGGTCCTAAGCTTTGTTAATATGGTGAGCCAGTGCCCACACGAACAGTAGGATCTTAACACTGTCACCTGGACATCCATTTAAATGCTCTTGTCTTAGCTAGTCAAAGTGTGGTCTACGAGTTTGCATTTTAATAAGATTCCAGGGTGAATCTTGTACATGTTACAGGGAAGCACTGTCCTACATCATATGTGACAGGCTCTCATAGTCACCATCATCACGGGAATCTTGTGCATGTTACAGGGAAGCACTGTCCTACATCGTATCAGACAGGCACTCATAGTCACAATCATCAGGGGAATGTTGCACATGTTACAGGGAAGCACTGTCTTACATCATATGTGACAGGGCTCTCATAATCACTATCATCACGGGAATCTTGTGCATGTTCGAGGAAAGAACTGTCCTGCATCGTATCTGACAGGGTCTCATAGTCACCATCATCACGGGAATCTTGCACACGTTACAGGGAAGCACTGTCCTACATCATGTGACAGGCTCTCATAGTCACGATCACTATGGGAAGATGCATTTAGAGCATTTAACTATATGGGCTCTGAAATCAGATGACTTAGGTTTAGACATACTTCTACTTCTTACTAAGCAGAGAACTCTGGGGTGAAAAGTTTACGAGACCCAGTTTTATCATGTCCAAATTGGAGGCATGGGGAAATTATAGCATTTTGCATAGAATATTGTTTTAAGTATAAAATGAAATAGTACATAGTAAGCTTCTGCCATACACTTGACTGCTCAATAAATATTAGTTAATAGTAACTCATTTAATCCTAAGGTCTATAAATTTGTACAAAATAATTTTGTATGACTACCCAAATTTTCATAATTAGTCTAGATTTAAAATCAAGGAATGTTCTTACGTGTAGTTGGCAATCAATATGACATGCCAAAATTATATGTAAGTATTTTATTGTTGGTGGGGATATAAGAAATTTACCATCAAAAGAGAGACGATAATCTATGTTTGCAGATTCCAGAAAGCTGTCTCTCACATAAGAATTTGCAATTTCTGGGGGAAAAGAAAAAGTTGATTGTGCAAATAAAGATTACCATGGAGTCTTCTCTATGGCAACATCAAAAATGAAAGCTGATTCTCATCTTCCTAACAATCTGCAAAGACGAGTGAAACACAACCTACTGAGCAACAAGTTAAAGAAGGAGAGAATTTGAGTGGCACAGAAGGAAATCATGTCACCGCTAGCGAAATCAATATGACCAGTGCTCCTCTGCCCTCCTCCGAGGCTAAGGATGGGTTAAATATCAGTGGCTGACCTCAGGTAATGGAATGAGAAAAAAGCTATAAAAATGCAAGCATTACATAATTAAGAGGGTGGGAAGGGATTTTTTTAAAAAGGCAATTCCTACATGGGTTCCTTCCTGTTCACCCCATTGGCGAAGAAGCTAGTCTTGCCCTAGAATTCTGGGAATGGCTGCAGACAAAACTAACACTGAGCAGACGAAATTCCCAGTAATTTACTCGTCACACATACTCAGCCCAGCGGGGGATGACACTGTATTTATGCAGGTCTACCCAGGGTAGCACTCTGGAACTGAGGGTGTGGGAGGCAGGCTTGGTAGAAATCAGAGGGTGGGGTAACCCCTGGTCCCTTCAGTGATGTGCTTGACTAATTCAGAGTTTTGCAGTCTGGTGGGGGCATGAAAGTCATTAGGCTGAGGACATGGTGGGGTGCTGCATGAAATTTTAGGTGTCACAATACAATTGACCCCTGATTCTTTAATATCAGACATTTATTTTCATGATGACTAATATTTTGAGAGGCTGAAAGCTGCTGAGACATTATAATAAGTGCTTAGGGACATGAGAGATTAGGAAGGCCACAGTTATGAGTAATGTAATGTGGAAGCCAATGCAAAGCTACGACCCCCATTTATTTAGCAGGAGGCAGGGAAAGTGATCTGGGGTCTCTGGCAGCACAAGCATGTTCGTAAATATTTGGGTGATGTCATGCATTCCCCATGCTTTGGTTTAGATATCTGGGGTCTCTGGCCACACAAGTGTTTTCATAAATATTTGGGTGATATCATGCAACCCCATGCATTGATTTTCATGTCTCCAGTGAGTTGTTGGGCAAGTCTGATATTACTGATCCACACGCAGCAGGCAGCTTCCTGTACGGAGCTACCTCCACCCCTTGGACAGTCCAGGACTGAATGGTTGTCAAAAATGTGAACTCCTTGATGTCCAGTAAAGGCAACTGAGGGAACTGTGTAGCGTTGGTGTAAAAAGTGCACTTTCCTAAGAAGCATGAACTTAGAGTAATCAAAGCCTGTGGCAACAGTGGAACCCAGCAGGGCATCCACTCGCTGCTTTGTAACTTAAATAGGAATTCTTTGAGGAGCTCAGTCTCTCTCTCAACTAAAGCAGCTGCCTGCAGCCTATAGGGGCAGTGGAAGCCCTACTGGACACTTTCACAAGCCTAGCACTGTGTTTTCCGATGAATGTTGCCTTGGTCACCATCAGTAGTGTCTGGAACTCTGCAGGAGATAAGGAGTGTCCCTGTGAGATCTGTACTGTGTCCTTGGTTAAAAAAAAAGGCATCTGTTACCTTGATTGTATTCTGAGTATCCATGAGGCAAGAAGTTTCTTTAATTCAATGGGGAGGGAAGGTGGACAATTCTTGACAATTGCCAAAAATTTGTAAAAATGTACAAATGGGGCTAATTGTTGGCCCAGCATCAGTGCTGAGATGACCACCTCAAGTTTGGCCAGTTGTGCTGAGGCTTGGGTGTCATCCTTTATCAGGGACATCCTAGCTAAGGGAGGGAAGGCAGCAGCATCCCACTGCGCTCCATCATGTCAGATGATGGCATCCATTCAGAAGGTGGATGAACTTCACTGCTGGTCACTCAGTCGATCCCAAGGGTCCTCGGAGACGGGTGACTTCCAGCAACACAGCCTGAGAATGAAGGAGGGCAGTGTTTCCTGCAGATGAGAATGGCAGGGGGTCCAGGTTTGACTCCATCCTGAGGCAAGGAGGTCTCTGCAGCTGTGCCAAGGCTGTGGGGTGCTGCTTCCCAAGGCCTGATGGCCAGATGGGCATGAAGGCTCATGGACATGGATGCAGAGCCCTCTGTTTCCAGAGGGTCCAGGATATGGTCAGCAATCACTGCCCTGATGCTGTACAGAGCAGGGTCAAAAGGGGCAGGTTTGTTTTTACATCAGAAGCCCATGGACTACTTATGGCCACCATATGCAACCCAGATAATTCAGGATGCATGGGAAGAGGTCTCTAAAGCATCCACAGTGTGTTCTCTGAGGGAATTCATAGAAGTACCTGTTAATTTAAATTTGGACAGATTCCAGACTTGTTGGAGGAGGCTTCATTCGAGGTGGGTCAGTTTGCCAATGACAGCATCAGTGAGATTAAGTAAGATTTGTAAACAAGAAATATGTTGTCACCTGAACCCCAAGTAAAGAATTAAAGGGCTGGGCACAGTGGCTCACAACTGTAACCCCAGAACTTTGGGAGGCTGAAGCAAGAGGATCCCTTCAGCCCAGGAGTTTGAGACCAGCCTGGGTAACATAGCGAGACCTTTTCTCTACAAAAAATTAAACAAAATTAGCTGAGTGTCGTGGCACACACTTGCAGTCCGAGCTACTTGGAAGGCCGAGATGGGAGAATTGCTTGAGCTCAGGAGGTCGAGGCTGCAGTGAGCTGAAATTGTGCCACTTCATACCAGCCTGGGTGACAGAGCAAGACTGTGCCTCCAAAAAACAAAACACAAATTGAAGAATGTTGGGTTTGTATTAACATTGTGGATGCTGAGAGGATGAATAACTGTTTTTTGAAAGTGTCAGGAATAGAGCAGCCCCAAGTTTACCAAGGAATTTTCAGGAATTGAAGCAAAGTGGCAGGGCCTTGCACTACTGTGTTGAGGAGAGGTCCACTCCCTTTGTGTAAGCCTCCTTGTATCTGTGTGTCCTTAGTATGTAAAATGAATTTTCTCTGAGAATGATGTCATCAGTATAATGTCACACCTGTGCTCCTGTAGAAACGTGGTTGCAGTGAGATCTTGTCTGTGAAGATTGCATGCAATGACGAGGCTGCCGAGGCACTCCATGGGTCGCCTGGTCCCTTCAGAGATGAAGGCAGGCTATGACTGAGACTCTGTTAAAATAGGCACAAAAAGAACATGGTAGCCAAATCTGTAACAACAAAATATTTATCAGTTGCATGAATATATATAGGTTTATTGTAAGGAATTGGCTCATGTGGTTATGGAGGCTAAGAAGTCCCAGGACCTGCAGTCAGCAAGCTGGAGAACCAGGACTGCCAATGGTGGAGTTCCAGTCCAAGCCTAAATTCCTGAGAACCAGGAAAGCTGATGGCATAAGTTACAGTCCACGTCTGACTTCAAAAGCGAGAGAAGATCTACGTCTCAGCTCTGAAATCATCAAAGAGGGTGAATTATCTCTTCCTCTACCCTTGTGTTTTATTTGGGTTTTAATGGATTGGATGAGGCCCACTCACACTGGAGAGGGCAACTACTTTACTAAGTCTACATATTCAAATGTTTGTCTCATCAAGGAACACCCTCACAGACACATACAGAGTGTTTAACCAAATATCTAGACAACCCAACTTGGCAAATAAAATTAACCATCATAAGGTGAAAGATGTATACGATCTGAAGAGAAACCAGGGATGCAGGATGGTTAAACATCTGTAAGTCAATAAATGTGATACACCACATAAACAGAATTAAAAACAAAAATCACATGATCATCTCAATACATGCAGAAAAAGGATTTGACAAAATCCAGCATCCCTTTTTGCCTAAAACCCTCAGCAAAATCGACATAGAAAAAGCATATGACAAAATCCAGAATCCCTTTATGATTAAAACCCTCAGCAAAATTAACATCGAAGGGACATACCTTAAGGTAATAAAAGCCATGTATGACAAACACACAGCCAACATTATATGGAATGGGGAAAAGTTGAAAGCATTCCCCCTGAGAACTGGAACAAGACAATGATGCCCACTTTCACCACTTCTATTCAACACAGTACTAGAAATCCTCACCAGAGCAATCAGATAAGAGAAATAAAGGGCATCCAAATAGGTAAAGAGGAAGTCGAACTGTCACTCTTTGCTGATGACATGATCGTATACCTAGAAAACCCTAAAGACTCATCCCAAAAGCTACTAGGACTGGTAAATGAATTCAGCAAAGTTTCAGGATACAAAATTAATGTACACAAGTCAGTGGCTGTGCTATACAGTAATAGTTAACAAGCTGAGAATTAAATAAAAAACTCACCCCCTTTTACAATAGCTGCAATAAAAATCTTAGGAATATTATAATTCCTATAGTTACAATAGTATATTCCCATAATTGTCAATTGCATGCAATCTTTGCAGACAAAATCTTAATTATATCCGGAATACTTAACCAAAGAGACAAAAGACCTCTACAAGGAAAACTACAAAACACTGCTGATAGAAATCATAGGTACAAACAAATGGAAACATATCCCATGCTCACGGATGGGTAAAATCAATATTGTGAAAATACCATACTGCCAAAAGCAATCTACAAACTCAATGCAATCCCCATTAAAGTGCTAACATCAGTCTTCACAGAACTACAAAAATTCACATGGAACTAAAAAAGACATAGAAGGGACATACCTTAAGGTAATAAAAGCCTAGAACCAAAAAAGAGTTTGTATAGCCAAAGCAAGACTAAGCAAAAAGAACAAATCTAGAAGCCGACTTCAAACTATACTAGAAGGCCATAGTCACCAAAACAGCATGGCACTGGTATAAAAATAGCCATATAGATCAATGGAACATAATAGAGAACACAGAAATAAAGCCAAATACTTACAGTCATCTAATCTTCAACAAAACAAACAAAAACATAAAGCAGAGAAAGAATACCCTATTCAACAAATGGTGCTGAGATAAATGGCAAGCCACACATAGAAGAATGAAAGTGGATGCTCATTTCTCACCCTATTCAAAAATCAACTCAAGATGGATCAAGGACTTAAATCTAATACCTGAAACCATAAAAATTCTAGAAGACGACATTGGAAAAACCCTTCTAGACATTGGCTTAGGCAAAGACTTCATGACCAATAACCCAAAAAGCAAATGCAACTAAAACAAAGATAAATAGATGAGACTTAATTAAACTAAAAGGCTCCTGAGCAGTAAGAGAAATAATCAGCAGAGTAAACAGATAACCTACAGAGTGGGAGAAAATCTTCGCAATCTGTACTTCTGATTAAAGGACTAATACCCAGAATCTGCAAGGAACTCAAACAAACCAGCAAGAAAAACATCCCATCAAAAAGTGGGCTAAGGACATGAACAGACAATTCTCAAAAGAAGATAAGCAACTGGCCAACAAACACATGAAAAAATGTTCAACATAACTAATTATCTGGGAAATGCAAATCAAAACCACAATACAATATGATACCCCTTCACTCCTGCAAGAATGGTCATAATCAAAAAATCAAAAATTAATAGATGTTGGCATGGATGTGGTAAAAAGGGAACACTTTTACACTTTTTGGAGGGAATGTAAGCTAGTACAACAGCTATGGAAAACAGTGAGGAAATTTCCAAAGAACTAAAAGCAGATCTATCATTTGATCCAGTAATTCCACTCCTGGGTATCTACTCAGAGGAAAATGTCATTATATGAAAAAGATACTTGCACACGCATGTTTATAGCAGCACAATATGCAATTGGAAGAATTTGAAACCAGCCTAAATGCACATCAATCAGTAAGTGGATAAAGAAAATGTGGTATAAATATTTACCACATGGAATACTACTCATTCTTAAGATGGAATGAAATAATGCATTCACAGCAACCCAGATGAAACTGGACACCATTATTCCAAGTGAAGCAACTTAGGAATGGAAAACCAAACATTGTATGTTCTCATTCATAAGTGAGAGCTAAGCTGTGAGGATGCACAGGTGTAAGAATGATACAATGGTCTTCGGGGACTCGGGGAAAGGCTGGGAGTGGTGGGGTGGGTGCAGTGAGGGATAAAACAGTACATATTGGGTACAATGTACAGTGCTTGGGTGATGGGTGCACCACAAATCTCAGAAATCGCCACTAAAGAACTTATTCCTGTAAGCAAACACCACCTGTTTCCCAAAAACCTATTGAAATTAAAAAAAAAAAAATCATATTCCCCAAAAACCTATTGAAATAAAAAAAATTAACCAAAATATTAGGTATTGGGTACAAGGGCCTTAATGAATGGGAGCACTGCAGTCACATTACAGCAATCCACTGTGAAACACCATTTATTCTTTGCAGGTTTAAGAACAGGCCAAATTCTACTGCTAAACGTTGAAGCAATGAAGATTATCACCCCTTCCCTAATTCATTTGGTTTTATATAATAAGTTTTATTTATTTGAAGTCGTGTTGTAATTTATGTTGAACCATATTTGCTAATTTATCAAGATGGGGAGGCTAGGCACGGTGACTCACACCTGTAATCCCAGCACTTTGGGAGGCCGAGGCAGGAGGATTGCTTGAGGCCAGAAGTTAGAGACCAGCCTAGGCAACATAGCAAGACTCCACTTCTATAAATTTTTTTAATTGGCTGTGTTGGTGCATGCCTGTAAACCCAGCTACTTGGAAGGTTAAAATGGGAGGATTGCTTGAGCCCAGGAGTTCAAGGCAGCAGTGAACTACGATTGTGCCACCACACTTCATTCAGCCTGGGTAATGAAGGAAGACCCCATCTCTAAAAAATGAAAAATTAAAAATAAATCAAATTAAAAAAAAAACAGGAGAGGGAGTTCTGTAAGGTTACATTTGGTGAAGTCAATGTGTAAGTGTAAATGATTTAATATCAATTTGTTACTCATTAGGTCAGAGCATCCAGGTCCCCTATGGACAAAGACTTCTATGACTACGGGAAATTTAGTCAAGGTAACAAATGTGAGGCATAAGTATGTGCCCTCTATTCTATATGCAGTTACTCTGCTAGGATTAGGGGATGCAATGTTTAAATTTAGTGAAATCTCAGGTATAACAAAGTTTGAGCTTCAGTATCGATTTAGTTTGTGAAGGTATGACAATTGGTAGATTTCAGCAGATGTTAAAATTGATTCAGAATATATGCTGGAGAGTTACAAATACCAATCAGCACCCTTTTATCTTTGGACTGTATAAATTGTTGTAGAAAATAGTACATTTCCAATTAGGTCAGATGATAGACTTCCGTATTAAATTTTGTTTTTGTGCATATCCAAGTTCCTTCCCTTCCTTCCTTCCTTCCATCTTTCCTTCCTTCCCTCTTTCCTTCCCTCTTTCCTTCCTTCCCTCCTTCCTGCCTTCCTTCCTTCCATCTTTCCATCCTTCCCTCTTTCCTTCCTTCCCTTCTTCCTTCCCTCCTTCCTGCCTTCCCTCCTTCCCTTTCCTTCCTTTTCTTCCTTCCCTCTCTCCTTCCTTCCCTCTCTCCTTCCTTCCTTCCCTCCCTCCCTCCTTCCCTCTCTGCCTTCCTTCCTTCCTGCCCTCCTTCCCTCTCTCCTTCCTTCTTTCATTCCTTCCTTCTCTCTCTCCTTCCTTCCGTCCCTCCCTCCCTCCCTACTTCCTTCCTTCCTTCCGTCCCTACCTCCCTCCCTCCCTACTTCCTTCCTTCCCTCTCTCCTTCCTTCCCTTTCTTCCCTCTCTCCTTCCTTCCTTCTCTCCTTCCTTCCCTCCTTCCTTCCTTCCCTCTCTCCTTCCTTCCCTCCTTTCTTCCCTCTCTCCTTCCTTCCTTCTCTCCTTCCTTCCCTCCTTCCTTCCTTCCTTCCCTCTCCCTCATTTTTTTGCCACTGGATATGGGGAAGGTTGTTCTCTTTCCCACTCATATTTATAATTTCTTTCTTTGAAACAGCCCCAAATCAGTATCTTCAGAGTTGAAGTCCTCCTTATGAGCAGATTGTGTGGTTTAAGAACCCTAGACTTAAGTCAAGTTTGGATTTCTCCCTTCTCTGTGACTCAGGGGTACTGCAGGTGTCTTTTCCTATAACCCTGGGAATTAGATCTTTGTTGCAGCAGAACCATAAGTCACAGAGCGATGCAGCACAACCAGCCCACAATTCAGGGTTCGGTGGACTGAAATCATCTTCTGCTACGGCTCCATCTGGTTTTCCAGGACTTCCCTCCCCCATTTTTATTCCTTTTAGGGTGTTGAAACTTTAGTGGTATATACATTGCCTCATAATCAGTCAAAACTCCCCTTATCCCACATCATGGATTAAAGAGAACATTGCCAGGAGCCCTTCACTCTTCTAGAAGGACTTTATTTGATAGGTCCTTTTTCCATGGTTTAGAATAAAGGAGGTAATAACTAGAAATATCTCCCTCATAATAGGCTCTACAGCAAATTCTACTTTAAAGACTGTTGTTCGTGTCTTTAACTGTGGCTGCCCTTAATGTTTTTGTCATCCACAGACAATTTTTGTCTCATTTTGGTCCTCTTTAAATGATGGTTTTATAATCAGCTATAAAATTTAACAGATGCCCTTAAATGCAGGATTCTGATTAATAACGCTGGATATTGTGACATTAGAATAGAGGGAAAACTTTCAAATAGAAGAGTGAATGGTGTTTGGGCTACTTTGGACTGTATTTTTATAAATATGTTATTAGTATGTGTTCCAAAATTATTGGAAATTTCTATAGAAATGTAATCCCCAGTGTCAGAGATGGGGCCTGCTGGGAGGTGGCTGGTCCATGGGAGCAGTTTCCAGTGGTTCCCAGTGTTGGAGATGGGGCCTGCTGGAAGGTGGCTGGTCCATGGGAGCAGCCTCCAGTGGTTCCCACTGTCGGAGATGTGGCCTGCTGGGAGGTGGCTGGTCCATGGGAGCAGTTTCTAATGGATAAGCATAATCCCCCTAGCGCTGCTCTTGTGATAGAGTTCTCATGAGATCTTGTTGTTTAAAGTGTATAGGACCTTCCCCCTCTCTCTCTTCCTCCTGCTCTTGCTTTCCCTTCCACCATGATTGTTAAGTTTCCTGAGGCCTCCCCAGAAGCCGAGCAGATGTCAGCATCATGCTTGCTGTACAGGCTGTGGAACTGTGAGCCAATTTTCAGTACTCTTGTGTTTTCTTTTTATTTTTTAAATTTTATTTTAAGTTCCAGGATACATGTGCAGGACATGCAGGTTTGTTACATAGGTAAACGTGAACTACGATGATTTGCTGTACCTATCAACCCACTGCCTAGGTGCCTAGGTACTAAGCCTGACATGTGTTAGCTATTTATCCTGATGCTCTCCCTCCCCGTCCCCACTGACAGGCCCCAGTGTGTATTGTTCTTCTCCCTGTGTCCAGGAGTTCTCATTATTCAGCTCCCACTTATGAGTGAGAACATGTGGTGTTTGGTCTTCTGTTCCTGTATTAGTTTGCTGAAGAGGATGGTTTCCAGATTCATGCATGTCCCTGCAAAAGACATGATCTCATTCCTTTTTATGGCTGCATAGTATTCCATGGTGTGTATGCACCACATTTTCTTTATCCAGTCTATCATTGATGGGCATTTGGATTGATTCCATGTTTTTGCTAATGGGAATAGTGCTGCTATAAACATACGCGTGCATGCATCTTTATAATAGAATGATTTATAGTCCTTTGGTTATATACCCAGTAATGGGATCTCTGGGTCAAATGGTATTTCTGGTTCTAGATCCTTGCAGAATCGCCAAACTGTCTTCCACAATGATTGAACTAATTAACATTCCTACCAACAGTGTAAAAGTGTTTATTTCTCCACAGTCTTGCCAGCATCTGTTGTTTCTTGACTTTTTTTTTTTTATTATACTTTAAGTTTTAGGGTACATGTGCACAACGTGCAGGTTTGTTACATATATATACATGTGCCATGCTGGTGTCCTGCACCCTTTAACTCGTCATTTAGCATTAGGTATATCTCCTAATGCAATCCCTCCCCACTCCGCCCACACCACAACAGTCCCCAGTGTGTGATGTTCCCCTTCCTGTGTCCATGTCTTCTCATTGTTCAAATCCCACCTATGAGTGACAACATGCGGTGTTCAGTTATTTGTCCTTGCAATAGTTTACTGAGAATGATGGTTTCCAGTTTCATCCATGTCCCTACAAAGCACATGAACTCTTCATTTTTTATCCTGCATAGTAATCCATGGTGTATATGTGCCACATTTTCTTAACGCAGTCTATCATTGTTGGACATTTGGGTTGGTTCCAAGTCTTTGCTATTGTGAATAGTGCCACAATAAACATACATGTGTCTTTATAGCAGCATGATTTATATTCCTTTGGGTATATACCCAGTAATGGGATGGCTGGGTCAAATGGTATTTCTAGTTCTAGATACCTGAGGAATCGCCACACTGACTTCCACAATGGTTGATCTAGTTTACAGTCCCACCAACAGTGTAAAAGTGTTCCTATTTCTCCACATCCTCTCCAGCACCTGTTGTTTCCTGACATTTAATGATCGCCATTTTAACCGGTGTGAGATGATATCTCATTGTGGTTTTAATTTGCATTTCTCTGATGGCCAGTGATGGTGAGCATTTTTTCATGTGTTTTTTGGCTGCATAAATGTCTTCTTTTGAGAAGTGTCTGTTCATATCCTGTGCCCACTTTTTGATGGGGTTGTTTTTTTCTTGTAAATTTGTTTGAGTTCATTGTAGATTCTGGATATTAGCCCTTTGTCAGATGAGCAGGTTGTGAAAATTTTCTCCCATTCTGCAGGTTGCCTGTTCACTCTGATGGTAGTTTCTTTTGCTGTGCAGAAGCTCTTTAGTTTAATTAGATCCCATTTGTCAATTTTGGTTTTTGTTGCCATTGCTTTTGGTGTTTTAGACATGAAGTCCTTGCCCATGCCTATGAACTGAATGGTATTGCCTAGGTTTTCTTCTAGGGTTTTTATGGTTTTAAGTCTAACATATAAGTCTTTAATCCATCTTGAATTAATTTTTGTACAAGGTGTAAGGAAGGGATCCAGTTTCAGCTTTCTACATATGGCTAGCCAGTTTTCCCAGCACCATTTATTAAATAGGGAATCCTTTCCCCATTGCTTGTTTTTGTCAGATTTGTCAAAGATCAGATAGTTGTAGATATGCAGCATTATTTCTGAGGGCTGTGTTCTGTTCCATTGATCTATATCTCTGTTTTGGTACCAGTACCATGCTGTTTTGGTTACTGTAGCCTTGTAGTATAGTTTGAAGTCAGGTAGCATGATGCCTCCGACTTTGTTCTTTTGGCTTAGGATTGACTTGGCGATGTGGGCTCTTTTTTGGTTCCATATGAACATTAAAGTAGATTTTTCCATTTCTGTGAAGAAAGTCATTGGTATCTTGATGGGGATGGCATTGAATCTATAAATTACCTTGGGCAGAATGGCCACTTTCACGATATTGATTCTTCCTACCCATGAGCATGGAATGTTCTTCCATTTGTTTGTATCCTCTTTTATTTCATTGAGCAATGGTTTGTAGTTCTCTTTGAAGAGGTCCTTCACATCCCTTGTAAGTTGGATTCCTAGGTATTTTATTCTCTTTGAAGCAATTTTGAAAGGGAGTTCCCTCATGATTTGGCTCTCTGTTTGCCTGTTATTGGTGTATAAGAATGCGTGTGATTTTTGTACATTGATTTTGTATCCTGAGACTTTGCTGAAGTTGCTTAGCAGCTTAAGGAGATTTTGGGCTGAGACAGTGGGGTTTTCTAGCTATACAATCATGTCATCTGCAAACAGGGACAATTTGACTTCCTCTTTTCCTAATTGAATACCCTTTATTCCCTTCTCCTACGTGATTGCCCTGGCCAGAACTTCCAACACTATGTTGAATGGGAGTGGTGAGAGAGGGCATCCCTGTCTTGTGCCAGTTTTCAGAGGGAATGCTTCCAGTTTTTTTCCATTCAGTATGATATTGGCTGTGGGTTTGTAATAGATAGCTCTCATTATTATGAGATATGTCCCATCAATACCTAATTTATTGAGAGTTTTTAGCATGAAGTGTTGTTGAATTTTGTCAAAGGCCTTTTCTGCATCTGCTGAGATAATCATGTGGTTTTTGTCTTTGGCTCTGTTTATATGCTGGATTACATTTATTGATTTGCGTATGTTGAACCAGCCTTGCATCTCAGGGATGAAGCCCACTTGATCGTGGTGGATAAACTTTTTGATGTGCTGCTGGATTCGGTTTGCCAGTATTTTATTGAGGATTGTTGCATCAATGTTCATCAAGGATATTGGTCTAAAATTCTCTTTTTTGGTTGTGTCTCTGCCAGGCTTTGGTATCAGGATGATGCTGGCCTCTTAAAATGAGTTAGGGAGAATTCCCTCTTTTTCTATTGATTGGAATAGTTTCAGAAGGAATGGTACCATCTCCTCCTTGTACCTCTGGTAGAATTCAGCTGTGAATCCATCTGGTCCTGGACTTTTTTTGGATGGTAAGCTATTGATTTTTGCCTCAATTTCAGAGCCTGTTATTGGTCTATTCAGAGATTCAAGTTCTTTCTGGTTTAGTCTTGGGAGGATGTATGTGTCAGGGAATTTATCCATTTCTTCTAGATTTTCTAGTTTATTTGCGTAGAAGTTTTTTAGTATTCTCTGATGGTAGTTTGTATTTCTGTGGGATTGGTGGTAATAATCCCTTTATCATTTTTTATTGCACCTATTTGATTCTTCTCTCTTTTCTTCTTTATTAGTCTTGCTAGTGGTCTATCGATTTTGTTGATCTTTTCAAAAAAACAGCTTCTGCATTCATTAATTTTTTGAAGGGTTTTTTGTGTTCTATTTCCTTCAGTTCTTCTCTGATTTTAGTTATTTCTTGCCTTCTGCTAGCTTTTGAATGTGTTTGCTCTTGCTTTTCTAGTTCTTTTAATTGTGATGTTAGGGTGTCAATTTTGGATCTTTCTTGCTTTCTCTTGTGGGCATTTAGTGCTATAAATTTCCTTCTACACACTGCTTTGAATATGTCCCAGAGATTCTGTTATGTTATGTATTTATTTTTTTTTTAGGCAGAGTCTTGCTCTGTCTCCCAGGCTGGAGTACAGTGGCTCAATCTCAGTTCACTGCAACCTCCACCTCCCAGGTTCAAGCGATTCTACTGCCTCAGCCTCCTGATTAGCTGGGATTAAAGGCGCCTGCCACCACACCCAGCTAATTTTTGTATTTTTAGTAGAGATGAGGTTTCACCATGTTGGCCAGGCTTGTCTGAAACTCCTGACCTCAAGTGATCCACCCGCCTCAGCCTCCCAAAGTGCTGGGATTACAGGTGTGAGCCACCGTGCCCTGCCTGTTTCTTGTATTTGATGATGAAAATATGTTATTGACAGGCACCCGGCCTGTTTCTTGTATTTTATTATGAAAATCTGTTACTGACAGTAAGAGGATGGGGGCTCAGGTTAACAACAGGGTGTTAGAAAAGCAGCAGTGAAATTTTGGTTCTCAAAATATTTGATGTCTTATTCCTTTTTTTGAACATGGGTTTTGCTATAAAAGGCCAGCCATTTTGAAACTTGATTTTATTGTCATGTTCTCATTTTGAAATTTATCTTATTGTATGAATTGGCAACCGTATGTGGGAAAATTCAGTTTTGCATATTTTCAGATTATTTTCATTTTTACATCAGAGATTTTGAGCAGATGCTATACAAAAGTATTCATTTATTTATTCAACAAAATTTAGTGCTGCTTATGTTGCAAGCACTTAGGGAACTTCATGCTGTACGTGCCTCAGATACCTTTGTGAATGTAATGACAACATCAAAGGCTTTGCCCTTATGCACCTTATAAACCTTTAATTTCAAGGCAGGTTGATGAGTGAGCATCTGCTATAACATACTTTCTTTTTTCTTTTTTTTTTTTTTTTCAGAGACAAAGGACTTTATTACTCACAGCACAGCACACAGCATGAGCATCTTGTTTGTACTCAGTCCAGATGAATACTACACATGCAGTGGGTTTGTGTCATAATCAAAGAACTTTGTGCTTAGCAAATCTCAGTCTTTTTATTTATTTATTTATTTATTTATTTATTTATTTATTTTGGAGGGGACAGGGTCTTTTTTTTTTATTGATTATTCTTGGGTGTTTCTCATAGAGGGGGATTTGGCAGGGTCATAGGACAATAGCGGAGGGAAGGTCAGCAGATAAACAAGTGAACAAAGAAACAAGGAGCATGCTGCCTTCAAGCATCTGTTTAACAAAGCACATCTTGCACCGCCCTTAATCCATTTAACCCTGAGTGGACACAGCACATGTTTCAGAGAGCACAGGTTTGGGGGTAAGGTCACAGATCAACAGGATCCCAAGGCAGAAGAATTTTTCTTAGTACAGAACAAAATGAAAAGTCTCCCATGTCTACTTCTTTCCACACAGACACGGCAACCATCCGATTTCTCAATCTTTTCCCCACCTTTCCCCCCTTTCTATTCCACAAAACCGCCATTGTCATCATGGCCCGTTCTCAATGAGCTGTTGGGTACACCTCCCAGACTTGGTGGTGGCCAGGCAGAGGGGCTCCTCACTTCCCAGTAGGGGCGGCCGGGCAGAGGCGCCCCTCACCTCCCAGACCGGGCGGCTGGCCGGGCGGGGGGCTGACCCCCCCACCTCCCTCCCGGACAGGGCGGCTGGCCGGGCGGGGGGCTGACCCCTCCACCTCCCTCCCGGACGGGGAGGCTGGCCGGGTGGGGGGCTGACCCCCCACCTCCCTCCTGGACGGGGCGGCTGGCCGGACGGGGGGCTGACCCCCCCACCTCCCTCCCAGGCAGGGCGGCTGGCCGGGCAGAGGGGCTCCTCACTTCCCAGTAGGGGTGGCCAGGGAGAGGCGCCCCTCACCTCCCGGACGAGGCAGCTAGCCGGGCAGGGGGCTGACACCCCCACCTCCCTCCCGGACGGTGCGGCTGGCCGGGTGGGGGGCTGACCCCCCCACCTCCCTCGCGGACAGGGCGGCTGGCCGGGCAGAGGGGCTCCTCACTTCCCACTAGGGGCGGCCGGGCAGAGGCGCCCCTCACCTCCCGGACGGGGCGGCTGGCCGGGCGGGGGGCTGACCCCCCCACCTCCCGGACGGGGTGGCTGGCCGGGCAGAGGGGCTCCTCACTTCCCAGTAGGGGCGGCTGGGCAGAGGCGCCCCTCACCTCCCGGACGGGGCGGCTGGCTGGGCGGGGGGCTGACCCCCCCACCTCCCTCCTGGAGGGGGCGGCTGGCCTGGCGGGGGGTTAACCACCCCACCTCCCTCCCGGATGGGGTGGCTGGCCAGGTGGGGGGCTGATCACCCCACCTCCCTCCCGGACAAGGCGGCTGGCTGGGTGGGGGGCTGACCCCCCCACCTCCCTCCTGGACGGGGCGGCTAGCCGGGCAGAGGGGCTCCTCACTTCCCAGTAGGGGCAGCTGGGCAGAGGCGCCTCTCACCTCCCAGACGGGGCAGCTGGCCAGGTGGGGGACTGACCCCCCCACCTCCCTCCCAGATGGGGCGGCTGGCCTGGCGGGGGCTGACCCCCACCTCCCTCCCGGATGGGGTGGCTGCCGGGCAGAGACGCTCCTCACTTCCCAGATGGGGTGGCTGCCAGGCGGAGGGGCTCCTCACTTCTCAGATGGGGTGGCTGCCGGGCGGAGGGGCTCCTCACTTCTCAGACAGGGCGGTTGCCAGGCGGAGGGTCTCCTCACTTCTCAGACAGGGCAGCTGGGCAGAGACGCTCCTCACCTCCCAGACGGGCTCGCAGCCGGGCAGAGGCGCTCCTCACATCCCAGACGGGGCGGCGGGGCAAAGGCGCTCCCCACATCTCAGATGATGGGCGGCCGGGCAGAGACGCTCCTCACTTCCTAGATGGGATGGCGGCTGGGCAGAGACGCTCCTCACTTTCCAGACTGGGCAGCCAGGCAGAGGGACTCCTCACGTCCCAGGCGATGGGCGGCCAGGCAGAGACGCTCCTCACTTCCCAGACGGGGTGGCGGCCGGGCAGAGGCTGCACTCTCAGCACTTTGGGAGGCCAAGGCAGGTGGCTGGGAGGTGGAGGTTGTAGCGAGCCAAGATCACGCCACTGCACTCCAGCCTGGGCACCATTGAGCACTGAGTGAACCAGACACCGTCTGCAATCCCGGCACCTCCGGAGGCCGAGGCTGGCAGATCACTCGCGGTTAGGAGCTGGAGACCAGCCCGGCCAACACAGCAAAACCCCGTCTCCACCAAAAAAATACGAAGACCAGTCAGGCGTGGTGGCGTGTGCCTGCAATGGCAGGCACTCGGCAGGCTGAGGCAGGAGAATCAGGCAGGGAGGTTGCAGTGAGCCGAGATGGCAGCAGTACAGTCCAGCTTCGGCCTGGCATCAGAGGGAGACCGTGGAAAGAGAGGGAGAGGGAGACCGTGGCGAGAGGGAGAGGGAGAGGGAGAGGGAGGCCATGGCGAGGGGAGAAGGAGAGGGAGAGGGAGAGGGAGAGGGAGCAACATACTTTGTCATTTAATTCACCATTATTTGGGTATACCTTATATTAAAGTGATTATTAAAAACTGGAAAATATTTAACACATCTTCATCTTGCCTCTTTCCTTAACATATGTAGATCAAGGGAGTCACTGAGAATCAATTTTAGAGATAGTTATAAAAATCTTAACTTTGCAACTATAACTTTGTCCTCAATGTAATAACTGGAAAAAATAATTTACGTTTCAAAGGCTTTAATCTTTATATTTTTTTGAAAAGGAGCCTTCACCGAGATTCTTTAAAAATTCTTGCTCTGTCCTACAGTAGAGACTGATAGACTCATGGATATGGTCCTCTAATGGATCTGTACCACCTCAGTTCTCTGATTGTCGCCCTGCTGTGGTGAAAATTAAAGCTTATTTTCATCTCATGTCTAGGATGTAGTATGTTCTTGTTGGGAAAAAATGATGTTTCTTGAGAAATAAGTGCCTTCAGTATCACTGTGTGTCACTTCATAAATATGACTAATATCTACTTTTACCAATTGCTGCAATTTGATCCTTAAACAGCCATCTTTAAATTATACTTTTTCTTTGGTTAAAGTAATTATAATAGACATTAATTATTTTTACATAATTTTCTTATGTCGACAGCCATTCTTAGAACTAAAACTTTCAGATGTTTATATTACAAGTACAATTATTATTTATTATTATTAATGTCAGTAGCCAAATTTAATCAACTCTTCCTTTTACTTCCTTTTTTGAATCAAAATGTTACAATTATACAAGCAAGAGCAACAGCTCTATATCTGGATCACTGCAGTGCCTAGAAGATACAACAGCACAATTTACAAATCCAAATTTCCAGGAAGTCTCTGCACATACCTCTAGTACAAAAGATGTTTCAGAGACTAGAGGGTCAGAAGGCAAAGAGAGGCAATATTCAACTCCCAGTTCAGGTCAAAAGGGAAGAAAGCCTGGTGTTGAAAGAAATCCAAGAATGACTGTGTCTGCAACTCGCTCCTTTCTGTAAAGTATTTATGGTGTTTTACTTAAAATATTTGCTCTTATGATGGTCAATAATATTAATAGTTATGCTTTGTAAAAGAATTTATTCTTTATTTATAATTAATGGATCATTCTAAGTTATTATATGTTTAGTTGCTATAGTAAGATGATGTGAAAGATTCGTTGTCTGTTAAATATTTCTGGGATCTTTGCTTTATTTTTATATTATGATCTGTGCTTCCAAAGTTGAGCTGTAATTTTATTGTTTATACAAACGTAGAATAAAGCTTAAGTTTGGGGAGAAAAATAAAAGCTAGAGTTTTCCTTTCAGCTATAGAACAGTCATTTATTTCTATAAATGTTCTTTATGTAGCTTTCCTAGCTCCACAATATAAAAGATAAATATGGGGATCTACACAGGTCTCAGTAAATAATAGTTCTTGATTAATAATGCATTTATTATAAAGCTTGCAGTTTAAAGTAGAATTTTGCTCAGCCTACATATCTTTTATGGTCAGGCTGCTATAATTATGTAATACCTAGTTAAATTTCAATTTCAGATAAACAAGGAATAATATTTTAGTATAAGCATGTCCCAAATATTGCATAGGATATACTTACACTAAAAAAAGTATTTGTTTATCTGAAATTTCAAATTAACTGGGCATGCTATATTTTCTGTGACAACCTGTTTTATAGAGAACAGAGTAAGTTAGCTAAATTTTAGAATACTTAACCCTAACCTGGTGTTCTAGGTCTTTCCTTTTTCTAATTATTATTTGGAATCAGGGTCGTGCTCCATCACCCAGGCTGGAGTGCAGTGGCATAATCACAGTGCCCTGCAGCCTTGAGCTTCCGGGCTCAAGTGATTCTGGCACCTCTGCCTTTGCCTCCCAAGTAGCTAGTACCACAGGTACGTGGGCCCAGCTAAATTTTTTCTTTTCTCATAGACACAGGGTCTCAGGCTGGCCTGGAACTCCTGGGCTCAAGCAATCCTCCCACCTCTGCCTTCACTTCCCAAATAGCTGAGACCACAGGCACAAGCCACCACCATATCCAGCTTATTTTTTATCGGTTGGTGCAAGGGTAATTGCGGGTTTTGCCATTGAAAGTAATGGCAAAACCCGCAATTACTTTTTGCACCACGCTAATAATTTTTTGTGGAGACAGGGTCTTGCCCTGTTGTCTAGGCTGGTTTCCAACTCCTGGGCTCGAGTGACCCTCCTGCCTTGGCCTCTAAAAGTTCTGGGATTACAGAGGGGAGCCACTGCACCAAGCTACTTTGTATAATTTTTAACATAAACATAAATATTTTGAGAAATAGAAATGTTAAAACCATTGGAGGAAAATATATTGCAAAGTATACAATAGAAAAAAAATCAAACAAAATACAACAAATACAACAAAAAATTATCAAAATTTTCAGAGGAACAAAACAAAATCTAGTTTTACAATCTTCAGAATTCAATCCCATTATATCAAAAAAATACAGAAACATATTCAAAGAAAAAGGCAATCAATAGAGACTGACTTCGAGATGACCCAGATGTTGGAATTAGTGCGGATTTTTAAAGTAGTTATTGTAATTCTTACTAAAATCAAAACCCCAAAAACCCTTAAAATAAATGGATAGGAAATCACAGCAGAGAAGAAGAAACTACAATAATAACAAAGGCTCAAGTGGAAATTCTAGAAGTGAGAAAGTTTTCAAAATTAAAATAATCAGTTGTGTTCAGGAGCAGCTTGGAGGTGGTAAAGAGTCAATGGATCTTAAAATACAATTGAAATGATTCAATCTGAAAAATGTGAGCAGTCATAGGTTGGGGTGAGGGAGCTTTTCCTTTGGTTAGTGCTTTTAGGTAATCTTGGTTTTGATAAGATTACTAGACTGATCCATCGGGGGAATGCTAAGCCACAGTTTATCTTGGTTTCAGTAGTGCTTTAAACCAAAGTCATGATATCCTTGTATACAAGATGGAAGAAGAGTGGACCAAATGACAATATTTAGAGGCAGTCATTCTTAACCTCCGTTGCTCTCCCAGTGGTCTAGCTGGGGTTTGTATAAAGTGGAATGGGAGGAAAAGGGAAGGAGCGCCCACCTACCCTCTCCCCTTGTCCACTTGTCCTCCTTCACTAGTGGATAAATTCCACGGGAACAGGCAAGTTATTTTAAATCTGTACCTTCTGTTGTCAAGATCTGTAATCAGTTCTGCTCGCTGGACTGGGGACAGGAACCAAGGGAACATGAGGGTGAACGGGTTGATATGGAGTCGAGGAACACACTGGGCCTACATGCAGAATGTTTGTGCCAGAAAAGCCAGTCAGCAGGCAGATGGTCTCAGATACCAAGCTAGTGTTGGGAAGCAAGACTCAGTCTCTTGAAGGCGGTGTTCCTCATTCTGTGGTTTGTATCGCTTGCTTCAGAATGACCTGGAGTACTTGTTAAAATGCAAATTTTGAGCCCAATCCTAGACTTCCTAGCCTGTATCTCTACGGATGGGTCTCAGTAGTCGATATTGGAAACGTGCAGGGTCCCTAGGAGATGCTTATGCATATAGATTTGAACTGTTGTGTTTAAGGGTTAGGCAGCTGGCAAAAGCAAGGAATAGACCAAGCCCTTGGGTGGGAAGGCTCCATAACCTTGGCACTGTTAGCATTCTGGGTGGAACAGGATTCTGCCACATGCTTCGCAGCATCCCTAGCCTCTACTCTCTAACACCACATTCCAGTTGGGAAAACCAAAAATGTCCCCTGGGAGGCAAAATAGTCACCAGTTGGGAACTGGAACCACTGCATTGTGGGATCAGAGTGGTTACTTTTTTCCCAATCCAAGGATCAGAACACACGATGAGAGAAAGTCCAGCTATTGGAACTGGGAGTGCCAAGTTGAAGCTAGACCTACAATGAAAGCTCCAAAATCTCCTTTAAAGGGCTGATCCCATGCCTCAGCTACCCAGATTGTACAGATGCCATGTAACTCCAGATTTGGTGACAGAAGGAATTTAAAGGCTAGAACTAGATAGGGTCTTTCAGGTTAGGCCAGCACACAATGTGGACTTTTGACATCATCCAGATGCTTGAACCAACCTCAGTCCTGAGGCAGAATTTCCCGTGGCATCTGATACACAGCCTGGCTTTGGAGCACTCACTGGGATTAGATGCCATGGGAATATTGTGTTTAGGAACTCTGAAAGAGACAGGCTTCAACGAAGCAGACCTAAGCAACACGTAGCGTCTGAACTTCTTTATCAGCTTCCATTCCAGCCCACGAGGACAAAAGCATCACATACATATCCACTGTGGCTAACCTGTCCTCCGTAGGGAGTTTCCCCAGTACTACTCTCCCCTCTGTTCTGAGCCTACTTGCTCCTTTGTAATGTTTCCACTTTCTGTCCCACTCCCTAATAGATGATTTGTCCTCTCTGCCCAGACCCCTAGTTCTGATATTTGGATTGTCTGTGATCTGGGTAGTACTTAGGAGGCAGAATCAAAGCCTTGTTGATTGGATTTGGAGTTTCCAACTTCCTATTAAAGGCACTGATTAAGCATCTATTGTATAAAGTAAAGTAAGATTATGATCCAGTAAGAAAGATTCCACAAGTAGCGCAGGAAGAATTGGTTTCTAGTACACTTCATGCTTCAGGACAGGAAATCCAGAAAAAAATTCTGTGATACGTTAAGTGTGTACTGTAAGTTTCATTTCCATGTGAAAAACTGTAGTTAGCCAAGGAAGTACATCCATGAAGAATCCTGATTAAACTTGTTTAATCCTGGTTAAACTAGCTACTAGCTAAACAATAATTTCACAACAACTCAAGAACTCTGTAAAAGCATTTCCTCTGAATATTTTATTCAGAAAAAAAAAACACAAAAAGATAAGGCAGAAACAAAAATTCCAGTCATTTGCAGTATCTGTCGGCTTTCAATTTGGTTCTCTTGTTTAAACAAAGAAAAATAGTAAAATTAATCTATGTAAAACATGCCATATATATTCAACTGCTACTAAATATAAAAAGCTTTAAAACTGTGTGTTCAATTGTGGTTATTGTATTACCACAACACATATTAAAATATGTATACTTTTAAATTTGGTTTCTATAAAAAATGGATTCTAATCTTATAAAAGTTATTTCCTAATATTCAATAAATATTGCCTAAGGGCTTTTTCAATCCAAATAGCAATTTTAATTATTCCGGAATTTAAGGGTGCTCTAAATTTCCATTTAATAGGGTGAGAATGCTGTATTATTACAAGTGAAAAAAGTTACAGGACAAAGAGGTTATTCCGTTTCAGAGTCCACATCCTGATTATATTTTATATCCTCTTCTTGATTTCTTACAACTAGATACATATCCATTTGCTCAGCTGGAAAAAATTCTTAACATTATTTACTGACTTTAGGTATGAACTCTACCAGCTAGTTAACAGGAAATATGTAATTAAACATTGCCTTTATCAAGTAATGTAAAAAAAGGGTAAGAGTAACTTTGTAACATAGGACTTAAATGAGCGGCTGGTGATTATCAAAATCTGGCACTTAATTGATTTATACTTTTACACTCACAGCTAAACGTCTCTACCTGTTTTTCTATGTTGTAAATCTAGGACATTACTTATCTACATAGGAAGAGTAATAAATATGAATAATGTGCTATGATAAACATCCTGCACTCTTCCAAATCTTACAATAAAACTGCTTCAATTTCACTTGTTTAGCTTTTATACTTAGTTTTTTAGTTGATCTATGCTTATTTTAAGGAACATGAACTACTCTAACAGAATCCACAGAATTTTTATATTAGTCAAACTGCTTCTTTCTAACTCTGGTTCTAATAGTTATAAAAAGATAATGATAAATTTATGAAGTAGATACAGTCAAACCTGAATTTCTTAAAGTATATACTTATAATCGGTTATAATTTTTAGATATTCTTTCTTGACAGTCTTTTCCCAAACTCATGATGTCCTCTCTAGGTAATATTGCCACACTCATAAATTATAAATAAAGACAAAAATGTGAAAACTACAGTAATTTAAGAGAATATAGGTTTTCTACATGCCATTTCTATTAGCTACTGAAAATAGTGAAAATAAGTAAATAAATAGCTACCTGTCCAGAAGCGTCTCATGCAAAAATCCATCTTTCTGAGCCTTTTTAAGAATTTTACTCTCTTCTTTACTTATTTTAAGTTTGTGGTCTTGGAAGCTCTGAAATTTCTTTCTGCAAAGAAAATGTCTTCATTGAAAAATACCTCAAACTCTGATTACACATATTTACTATTAAATTTATAAATACTGTTAATTTCTTTTTTCACTTATTAAAAAAGTCTAACTGTAGGCCAGGTGCAGTGGCTCATGCCTGCAATCCCAGCACTTTGGGAGGCCAAGGCAGGCAGATCACTCGAGGTCAGGAGTTTGAGAACAGCCTGGCCAACATGGTGAAACCCCGTCTCTACTAAAAATACAAAAATTAGCCGAGCGTAGTGGCGCGTGCCTGTAGTCCCAGCTACTCGGGAGGCTGAGGCAGGAGAATCACATGAACCTGGGAGGCAGAGGTTGCAATGAGCCGAGATAGTGGCACTGCACTCCAGTCTGGGGGACAGAGTGAGACTCTGTCTTGGGGGAGAAAAAAAAAGTCTAATTGTATTTTTTTAATAAGCTGGAGCTTTTGAACAACAAAGATGACCTTCATGACCTCTCAAGAGGAGGGCCACTCATTGACTGGGTAGCAGAAGGCCCCACTTCTATTAGGGCATGCTGGCTGGAGTCCCCTCTGTCCTGACCATAGCACAGCCTTTGACTGGCATCACGCCCATTCTATGAATGAATAGAGAGATTGACTAACCCAAGTGACTAGCTTTGGGAGCTGGTAGGATGATTAGGAAACCTGAAACCTCAAGAAAAGCATTTAGCTCAGTGCTCTGTCCTAGAGGCTACATTGTGTTGCCTCTTCTTGTCTATCAGTTTTCATTTTTTCAGACACGGTCTTGCTCTGTCACCCAGGCTGGAATACAGTGGTGATCAGAGGTCACTGCAGCCTTGAACTCCTGGGCTCAAACAATCCTCCTGTCTCAGCCTCCTGAGTAGCTGGGCCTACAGGCATGCAACACCATCCCCAGCTAATTAGGTAATTTATTTTGAAAGCACTTTGAGAAGCACTTCACTGTCAAATCTGTAGGTCTAAAAGGAAAAGCATACATACACATAATTGATTTCACATTGTTTTACATTTCCTTTGTCTTCTTCTGGAATGTCATCTTTTTTCTTGGTTTCTTTTTCAGCACAGGATCTAATCTAGATATTGGAAAAGAGAATCCAATGGGTTATATGTTTATCTTCCACCTTCCCCACTTTATGTGTCACATAAGAACATTCAAGATGATTTCTTATGCAGAAGAAAAAATTAACTGAGCAACTATAATCAGAAAAAGACAGGTTCTGGCTATGTGTTTTTACTTCATATATATAATCTATATGAGTAAGTGCTGTCACATGCTTCCTCCGCAGCCCTTGTGTCAGAAACACTACAGACAAAATTATTTCAGAAACATTTTACACATCAGATCCTGCTAGGCAATAAAGCAATCATTAGTTAATTTAACTTTGTCCTCCAAGTGAATACACTAGGATCAAATTATCCCTAGTAGACAAGTGTTCATTTGATCAGATTGAAAGCTTAATAGCTATTTTACATTGCACAGACTATTACCAAAGTATTAAAACTTTTAACATTACACAACTTGTTTTTAATTAATTGGAACCCACCTCTTTTACTAGCTTCTTATATCCTCCTAAGTTTGGACAGATGCTTACTATCACATGTCATAAATTAATTGTTCTGCATTCAACGATTAGGATCGCCCACAGAACAGGCAATTGGCAATGGTAAGGACTCATGTCTCCTAAGGGATCTCTGTGGCCAGAGTCCAGTTCCAGGGCTGCTTAGACAGTGATGACAAATAACGCGTTTGTGCCAATGACATCTTTGTGACAGTTTTGATTAGAGGGGTCCCAGACCTGAAAACATTCCCTGCTAGGGCCTGTAGCACAATGCTACCTTTAGTAAGAGGGATGTGTGTTCTGGTAGACAAGGCAAGGTCATAAAGATGAAGGGCTGACAGAGATTAGGAGAGCTTGCAATTAAATGGTACGAAAAGTGTCCTAAATAATCACTGTTCAGAGCTTCCAAGTACTTGACTAACCAAAGAGACCCAGAAAACTTGGTATTTCATCTGAAAATTTCTTTAAATAGTGAAAAACGCAATCTTTGTGTAAGTATCTTTGTATCTTTGTATAAGTGCAAAGCACTGCACATATATTTGCAATTGTTGCCTTCAATAACACTTTTGTGATGATATCCAGATGAAAAATAATTTACACATGATACAATAAAATATAAATAAGTAAAATTAAATGTAAGTCACAAACCCATCTGCATTTCCTCAATGACCTGTTTCTTGAGAAGCAATGTGCTATGAAATACTGAGAGTGGCCTCTGGAGTCAGCTGGGCCTGGGTACACATCCTGTCCTACCACACCTTGAAATCACTGTGATTTCCATGAAGTGACTGACAAAAACCACGAGGATGTAAGGAGGGTCAGAGGCTGTCTTCCTGTCTGTAAGGCTGAGCTCACATCCACCTCACAGGATCATTATGGAAATTCAAGACTATAACGCATGTGCGCATGTGCCGGATGCATGCAACGAAAAGTATAACATTTCACTTCTCTAACTGTAAGAAAATGCCTACATTTTAAATTGAAATTGTTTGAGCTTTAGATTTGAAATTATCTGAAATCAAGACTATTCTAAGAAGAAAATCAAACATATGACCAGAAATCTAACATGAAGCACATACAGAGAATTGATAGATGCTTTTAAATTACACTGGTAGTAGAGAAAAATGTAACATAAATTTTTATGCTCTAATTATAAGAACGAAGGGCATTTTAGAAAAGGCATTTGCCCCCTCTCTTAGAGCCTTCCACTCTGGCCCCCACAATGCCTTACAGAGCAAATCTGGGTCAGACTGGATGCAACCTGTGATTCCCAACAGAGACAAACAAAGCAAGGTTCAGGATGCTCAGTACTGCGATGAAATGCCAAGACACAGAAAAGCCATGTGTCAAGAAGGCGGGAGTTATTCTTTAGACACATCCTGGTATATGTTTATCATTAAAGATCAGTGGCTTTTGTGAGTCTAAAAAATTAAGCCTTAAATGTTTTCATCAAATTCCAGTTAACTACCTATCTAGGTTATATTAACAGTATTATTTAGAATTTCACCTTGATATGAAGATGTCTGTGTAACTTTTACAATGATGTAAAACAAAGAGTAGGATTAGGGAGGGCACAGGCCACTGGTGCAATGGATAATGCATCTGACTACGGATGAGGGAATTTAGCCTGGAATAAGGAACTTTTATTTCCAGCTTAGTGATGCACACAAATTTTAAAAATAAAATAAAAATCATGTTTTATGTGATTCATGTTTCTCCTAATGCAAAGAAGATGGGTACTATTAATAAAAATATTTTTAAAATGTAAGGGCTAAGGAGCCAGCAGTTCTGCTATGATTTTTAATGTTTCATAGAGTGATTATCATCACAGAAGCTCAAGCATTATGTAAATACAAACACGTATACCCCGACCTGGTAATTCTGCTTCTGGAAATTTATCTGCAGGTCCACCCGCACATCTACAAATTGATGCATATTCAATGTTATGTACTGCAGCACTATTTAGAAGAGCAAAAGACTGGAAACAACCTAAATTTCCATCTACAAAAGACTAAATAAATTAAGGTACATCCCTAAAATGGAATATTATGTGGCTGTTAAAAAAGAGAGAGAGAGAAAGAGAGGAAAAGCAAGAAAAAGAGAAAACTTTCTACATTCAAACTAATAGTAGAAAACTCTCCAAGATACAATTTTAAGGAAAAAAAAATCAAAGTCGAGAAGACTATAGAGAAGGTTGCCTTTAGTGTAAAACAGTTGAAAATTATAAATATATTCATATGTTTATAAAGAAATTTTAGGAGGCTATAAAAAAAAAAACAAAGGGAAAGAGGAACCGGAGCTGGGACACAGGTGAGTAAGATGCATGGCAGGCATATATCTTCATCTTCATATGCTTTTATTTAAAAATGTTGGACCACATGTACATGTTATCTATTTAAAAAATTAGATTTTAAAATACACGCAAGAAAACAAGAAAATGGAAGCTTAAAAAGAGCATGTGGAACTACCAGAAAAAGATACTAATCCATGGAGATAATGGCAAGGTAGCTCCTAGATGCACTGATTTCTCTACCACATTGTATAAACAAGCCATCAACTATGGGATTTATAATTAAAAATGAGTCTATTTGAAACACCACATTATAAAAAGCTATTAACTGAATCTTTAAAGTGACAGTAAATGATGACTTAACATTTTAAAGAGATACAGTCACATCGCATGTGTGAATTCAGTCATCTGTATAAAATGGCATCATTACCTTGATCATTTCTTCTTCTCCTGCTGTTTTACTTTTTGCTTCTATGTCCCCTGCTTCATTGCATCTAATAAAGCAGCTATTTGAGGCCAACAAAGCCATTTTCCCCTAAGTGAAACAAAATAACAAAATAGCCATGAGGATACTTCTTGTGGAAGAAACATTAAGTGCTTAGACTGAATTAATTTTTCCTCCCTGATTTAAAAGTCACAGAAAAGAACTGAGAGAAAAACCTCAAAAATATAATACAAGAACATATAGAAAAGGAAACCAAAATCACCTTTCATTTTACTATTCAAAGATTACCACAATAAACATTTGTAGTGTATCTTCCTAGTAGGATTGCTTCCTTTCTAAAAGATCTACTGAAGATAAAACTGATTTAGTTCTGCTTGGAAAATTAACTTTAAAGACAAGAACATAATTATGAATGCATACTTTATTCAGATATTAACATTTTAAGTAAAATTTATTTTCTTCACAATTAGAAAACATGAAAAGGTACATACAATGCCTTTGGTGTTTTGAATTTAAGAATCAATGTCTGAGGGACTTTTGTGTGTGAAAATAAATATTCATATACATTTTTAGTTGTTTAATGTTTGATGTATTACACTGGTTTCTATTAAACAAAACTGTAAAACCTGATTTTCTTGTGTATTTAAATCTGGGTTATAAATTTGGTTAGCTTAACTCCCGTAACAAATATAACGTTTATTTATAACTTGTATTTGGTTGATTCTTTTGGAAAACTTGGAATACCATAACATTTAGACAAAATATTTATAAATACAATGATTACAAAATATGTTAACCTTATATCACATCCAGTTAAAAATGTGCTGATAACATGGATTTAATTTCTTAGTCAAGTCACAAGGGCTGGGTGGTCTCTCATCTGGATGGCTCCTGGTGAGCCCTGGAACATGGCGGTGTGGTCCAAGGCGATTTAAACCTGTGCCACAGATTATTCAGCTGAGTCCTTTTCGCAATACAGTTTTAAGACCCTCTTTCATTTAAATTTAAATTTTTGAAACTTAGTGTCCTTCCTAAAAATAAAATGAAATGAACTTTCCTAAAGTGTTGTATTATTAGTACTATCTAAGCGATCATCCTGGCCTTATGAAATATTGGCATTTTCTACTGGTGTAACTTTTATTAGAAGCATCTCATCATAACTAGTAGGATCATCTCAAAGGGGTTGCAACACATTAGCAGGTAATGAAATCAATGTAATGTTTCCTGAACGGTATTGGGTGGGTTGGGGGGGAAAGGAATACACACAGACACACAGAGGAAGGGGTAAAAGAGAATACAAAATATCAAGGTGCATAACACATGGATAAGTATGTATTGTTAAGTACAACTCTTGCTCCAGTTATACATATGTTTGTGCTGGGCTGGCAATGTAAAAATGCATTTCTCAATGGATTGGGTCAAAATAGTTTTCAAGTCACTGACTTAAGATTTTATCCTAGGGGATGAGGAAATTAGTCTAAGTGATTACCTCTTTCTGGTGGGATGTTTGTTTAATCTGTCATCTTAGAAAACACTGCTGAGTTCCTATTTTCAGTTCATTATTGTATACTACCAAAGCTGCTACTCAAAGGCTGAGCTTATCTTCTATTTGCTTGTTCTGCGTGGTGCCCACTGGTCCTTACTGTTTTTGATATAGTTATCTACTTTTTAAAGACAGTTTAGCACTCACATATTTTTGTTCAATCTTTACTTCTCACACAAACAGAAAAAGGAAATTATGTATTCTGTATCAACAAAGATTTAACAAAACATCCATATACTACAACTGTCTACTTAATAAAATAAAGAATTAGTACATTAACTTTTTTCTTCTTATATTAAAACTATCTTTTCGTACACTATTTTAAGCTTATGAACTGAAAGTCTTTTAGAGATAATTTACTTCAATGAACTATTATTATTTATATTTTATACGCAAATTGTCACAACTTGGTCTTAGCTAGCTCCACTGTTCGCTTACGGCCTGTAATGTTTCTGAAAACATCCATGATTTCTGCTAAAAAGAAGATACTTAGGAACTATTCTGTTTTCCTACTCTGTGACCTAAAATTGACTGGTTCTTCAATGGAAATGAGATCCATATCTAGGCACTAAGGGTATACAGAAATAATTGTGGACAAAAGTACTAATGCTATTTTTGTTGCACTATATTTTGAGATCTCTTTAAGGCTCTATGTTCTTAGTGGTTTATTCCAATTTAATGTATTATACTATTGCATCCTACTTTTTCTTTTTAAATATATTATGATTGACTGTTACAGACTTTCTGTTAAACTGACAGGAAGTTTTTATAAACAATAACAGCACTTACATTTTGAAAGACTGGTTCCCATTGTTCTCTTGGTCCAATTGCATCTGAATGCCCAACAAGTTCATCTGAATTTATACCAAGATATTTTCCATAGCCAGATTTCAGGGCGATTCTGTACATTAATAAGATAGATAAAAGTTAAAAACGGAGAGAAAATTAATTATAGGACATCAAAACAGGACATGTGTATGTGTGTGGGTGTGTACATATCTAAAGTTTCAGACTGGACATATTCCAAGTGTTCAAAAGATGCATGTGGCTGAGTGGTGACTCACTCCTGTAACCTCTGTGCTTTGGGAAGGCAATGGGAGAATTGCTTGAGGCAAGAAGTTCAAGATCAGCCTGGACAACATAGTGAGACCCCATCTTTACAAAAAATTTAAAAAGTTAGCTGGGCATGGTGGTGTGCACATGTAATACCAGCTACTTGGGAGGCTGACGCAGGAGGAGTGCTTGAGCCCAGAAATTTGAGGTTATAGTGAGCTATGATCACACCACTGCCCTCCAGCCTGGGTGACAGAGACTCTGTGCCTTCAAAAAAAAAAAAGCTACATGTGACTAGTTGTTGCCATATTGGACAGTAAAGTTTTAAATTTAGTTTTTTATTTTGCTTTTTTAATATAAACATTGTACCTTATATATTACATAACAAATATTTTCAAAATTCATCATTCTTCAATTATACCTCTTTAGTTATAACCTTCAATAATAAATTACTAAAACTTTATGTCATCAAACTGTTTTCCAGAAAATGCTGCTTCCATTTACATTCTTACCTCAAATTAATAGAGTATGTTTTGTATCATGGATTTTTTTTAAACATTATGACTCTAAAAAAATACTTGAAAACCTGATATGGAAAAAAAACAGTATCCTATTAATTTGCATTTTAGTAGTTAACTAGAATAACAATTGTTTTTCTTTTCCTTTCTAGCTTTTAGATTATCTGGTAATGTCCCTTGTCCATTTTTCTATTCAGATCTGATTGTTCACAATTTCTCTACTGGGGTCTTCAGTGCTATGAATTCTATACAAGATACATATGAAGAGTAAGAACTCACTGCCTATTAAGATTGTTGCAAATATTTTCCTCATTTGTCAGTTAATTTTCTGTATAATCTTTTTTTGTTTATAATTGTAAAGCAGTTTAAAACTATTGAATTTTTCTTCCTCTGCTTTTATTCTGTCTTTCACCCTACTTATCAGAATTTCAAAGAAAGTATAGAAATAATCATCTTAATGTGATTTTTTAAAATTATGATTTCTTTTACCTTACTAAGAATCTCCTCGGATGCCATAATTGACTTTTACTCCTTTATACGTTAATGATTATATAACAGAAATCATTATCATGTTGATGTAACCAATTACTAAAGTATGTAAATTCACTTTCAGTATCTTTTACCCAAAGAATCATTCTATATTTCTGCACAAGGTGAGAATAAAAAAGGTTACTTTATAAAATGACTGTAAAAATAGTGAGTAAAAATATTCTTTTGGTTGTTATGATGCTGTAACATTCTCTGCTGGTTTCAACAATGTCCCTTTTTTTAGTCTTCCTGTTTGTCTTTAGACTTCCAAACAGTGAGTTTAAATATCATAGCAACAGTGAACCAGGTTTTGTACTATTTGATTTATTTTTTAATCTATCTTACTTGGTGTGTGAAATTATTAATCTTCATTTTTTAATTTACATATCTTTTTTCCAGCCTAGCATTATATATTGATAGGAAATCCACTAAAAGTAGATCACAAAATCTACTTTTCAAAAAAGCTATTTCATTTTTTATATCAAAATTACCATGGCCTTAAGACAGACACTAAAATTTTTAATGAATACAATTAAATTTTTAAAATAACTGGTTACTAATTATATTACAACATAAGCTCACCTGGAATCAGATAATTTGACAGCCATAAACTGCTCTGGAGGACTAGGGCCCTCATCAATATTGGAGAAAAAACATTTGAAAATAAATTTGACATTTGCTATAAATATAAAGACATTATTTTGCTTTAAAAAATGTGGCTATTTTCTTCTGCAATTAAATGTAAGAATATTCAGATATACTGATGTCACTGTAATACTGTATCTTTGGAATCAAGATCTATTTTACCTTCTTTTAACTACAGTGCTAATTTTATACACTGAGTAAGACAGGGTGATATAATGCTTATTTAATAACTTTAGAGATAGCTTCTCTTTATGTTTTAAAATACAGTCATAAGTAAGCACTTATTTAAAAAAGCTAAATGCTTTCATTTATTCAATGGATGGCCTTGCTGACCAAATGATACTGCTTTTTATCTTCTAATTACTTCGTATCTCATTAGTGCTTCCTCTAATGGGCTAAAGAAAACGAGGAAACTTCAAATTGTTAAATGCACCCAGGTTAGTTTTGGTAATAAGTCTGAATAAAAAAGAAATTCAAACATGTTTGACTGAAATAGGTTTTCTTTTTTCTTTCCACTTACTATTTTAATTATTCATATTGTTTAGATTTCCAAAGATACTCTTCTGGAACTATACGGAATGTTTTCAAATGCTTATATTAGAAAGAGGGACTTGCCAATGGCTGGTAAATATTAAGGAATTAAAAAAAATGGAAGAGTCAAATGCAATGGTTACATTCCTTTGGAAAATGTTTGATACTAGTTAGAGTTTGGCCTAAGTGAATGAATGTCCTAAAATCTACACTTGTGGCAGGATCTTCCCTTCCAGACACAAACCTTCTTTGTGTGGAGCTCCCAGGGTAAAAAGACCATTGTCGAGTGCATGTATATAGGTTCCCTCATCCATTTCAATGGCTATGGTTCCTGAAATTTCACCAAAGTTTGTTACTGTTCACCAGATTCCTAAAAAATAAAATTGATATTTCAACTTTATATTTTAGTTTTGACACAGAGTTGTTATTATAACTTAGTTTTAAAAACCTTTTATCTTGCAGTTGTAAGAAATAATATGAAGATCTCACATATCCTTTACTTACTTTGTCTCAATGATGACATCTTGCATAAGTATCATACATTGTTAGAATCAGGAAACTGACATTGATATAATCCATGAAGCTTATTCAGATTTCACCAGTTTTACATGTACTTGTTCGCATGTGTGTACACAGATTCATGCAACTACCAGCACAGTCAGGATTAGGTTTTTAAAATACAAAATAGCAACATACAGCCAGGCATGGGGGTGCATGCCTGTAATCCCAGCTACTCGGGGAGCTGTGAAAGAGGATCACTTGAGCCCAGGAGTTCAAGGTTATAGTGAGCTATGATCACGCCACTGCACTATAGCCTGAGTGACAGAGCAAGGTCCTGTTTCAAAAAAAGACCAAAACAAAACAAAAGGCAACATGTGAAGGTACAAAGTGATATATGGAGAACGGTCTCTCTCATGATAGACCCTAGCCATCTATTCATGCCTGCTTTCCAGAGGCAATGCCTATCATAATACTTCTTAAAAATGTCTCTCAGGAAGACTTTCTAGCATAGTAATCTTTTTTTTTTTTTTGAGACGGAGTCTCGCTCTGTCGCCCAGGCTGGAGTGCAGTGACGCGATCTTGGCTCACTGCGACCTCCACCTCCTGGATTTAAACAATTCTCTGCCTCAGCTTCCAGAGTAGCTGGGGTTACAAGAGCCTGCCACCATGCCCGAATAATTTTTTTTGTATTTTTAGTAGAGACGGAGTTTCACCACATTGGCCAGGCTGGTCTTGAACTCCTGATCTCGTGATCCACCTGCCTCTGCCTCCCAAAGTGCTGGGATTACAGATGTGAGCCACCGCGCCCGGCCAGTAATCTTAACTACGATTTTAGATTGAAAGCAAAATGAGCAGAATCTATGTCTATGTATACTAATTTCCAATTTGCCAATAGAAATGTTAGACTTTAGCAACAATTATTTTAGCAGTTGTTATAAAAGTTTATATCTTAATGTTAAAAAATATCCTCAAACCTCCTCCTAAATTGTACTTTAACTAGAGTAGAAATGAGTCAATCATTAACTGGATATGAAATATTAAGGAATTCTTGTTAATTTTACAAGGTCTGATAATGACATAGTATAATGCATAAAAGTAAAGGACAAAACAGGTGATGAGAGAAAGACATACCAAGTTAAGAAATGTACATTTATGTACTTATGGGTAAAATGACATAATATCTGTGATTTTACTTAGAATTTTCTAGGAAAAAATGTGTGTGGGGGTGTGTATGTAAATGAAACGAGATTGGCAAAATATTGATAATTAATGCTGGGGCCTGGGCACATGGGGGACTCATTATATTCTTCTATGTATGGATTAGTTTGGATATTTCCATAATAAAAAGGTTTTAAAGATTCAGTTAATTCCACTGCACAAAATTTTCTATTCAACTAAACATTTCATGCTTTTCATAATCAATTTTAAAATATATAAAATTTCAGCTAAAATGAAGTTGGACCCTTATCTAACACCAAATACAAAAAGTAACTAAAATAGACCAAAGACCTAAACGTAAGAGCTAAAGTTAGAAAACTTTTAGAAGAAAATGGGAAAAGCTTCACGACAATGAATTTGGCAATGATTTCTTATATAGAACATCAAAGGCACAGGCAACAAAAGAAAACATAGACAAACTGGACTTCATCAGAATTAAAAAGTTTTGTGCATCAAGAACCACTGTCAACACAGTAAAAGGCAACCCAGAGAATGGAGAAAATATTTGTAAACTACATACATGATAAGGAGTTAATATCCAGACTATATAGAGAACTCCAAAAAGACAAATACAATTCAAAACTGGGCAAAGGATATACACGGACATTGCTCCAAAGATGATATACAAATGGCCAATAAGCACTGGAAAAGATGCTCAACATCACTAGTCATTAGGGAAATATAAATCAAAACCATAATGCAATACCACTTCACACCCATTAGAATGCTATTATCAAAACAAACAAAAAACAGAAACCAAGAAAACCAGAAAAACAAATGTTGGGCAGGATGTGGAGAAACTGAAACCTTGTGCAACGCTGGTGGGAAGGTAAAATGGTGCATGTATTTAAATGCCACTGAAGTGTAAACGTAAAAATAGAAAAACTAACAAATTCTACATTCTGTATATTTTACCTCCACACACACACGAAACCAATGGAGAAAAAGAAAATTAATCAAAATTAAAATTTCAGCTAGAGGCGATTAGAAAGAAATAAAACTAATGACAATTTAGATGATTGAGTTATAGCTACAATTGTTTTCAGTAAAAGAAATAATGCTTTATTCAGAATCATTATGAACAGTGTTATGATTAGCAAGTCTTTCTTATAAATGTAATAGTTAATATTTTTAAATTAGTTTTATTTTGTATTTTCTATGCCACCTTCACCAAGTACACTTAATATTAAATAAAATCATTTAAATATAATATCTCATGAATGTTTTGCAAATGAAGAAGAAATTTGTGGCAGACAATCCTCAAAATTTTCACACTCTGTCCAAGTAGGGAAATGATACAATAACATTACTTATAATATTGTCAACTGAAAAAGAAATTACTTTGAGCAGATGCCAGTATTTCTTCTCAATGATATTTCAAAGAATAAGAAAGCTAAACACAGTATCATCAAGAATTAAATGTGAGCATTCTGCCTACTTTCTGCAAGTGGCCTACATTCAACCTTTGGAGGTATGCTTATACGTTTAATGACTAAAGTAACATAACATAATACTTAACAGTGCCACTCAGGGGTTTTAGGTGTGAAAAAGCCGTGGATCCTAGGAACAGTGGGCACTGAAGTTGCCTGTCTCTATGTCAGGTTACAGCTCAAGCTGTGTATATGCTGCAGACGCCCAAGCTGAATTTAAGAGAATCCGCTCTAAAACATTACTTGCTATTTAGACACATGCTTAAAGTTATTTCCTTTTAAACCTTAGGCAGATGATGAAATATTCCCACTGTGTTGTCTCACAATGCATAACAAAGCTTTTCACATATTTTCACATAGTTGAGAATGCTTCCATATATCTGGCATGCCTGTAACCCAGCACTTTGAGAGGTGGAAGCAGGAGAATCACTTAAGCCCAGGAGTTCAAGATCAGCCTAGGCAACAAAAGGAGACCCCCATCTCTACAAAAAAATTAAGAAATTAGCTGGGTATGGTGGTATAAGACTGTGGTCCCAGCTACTCGGGAGTCCGAGGTGAGAGAATTGCTTGAGCCTACAAGGTCGAGGGTGCAATGAGCCATGATCACGTCACTGCACTCCAGCCTGAGCAACAAAGCAAGAGCCTGTCTCAAAAAAAAAAAAAAAAAAAAAAAAACTGGCCCGATGTACCAGTGTCATGGCTGATAAGATACTACCAGGGCACCCTCATTCTAGAATCAAGGCTGTGTGACAGCTCACGTCACCTTCTGACTAACCCAGTGCTTCTGTGCTAAGGGCCCCCTTAAATCTCTACCTTCATTATGTGCTTGGCAAAAAGGAATGATATATCTTAGATTTGGAAATGGAATTTTCTTCCCCAATCTTACTGTAGTCTAAGTACCCTTCACAGACTTTCTATTAACACATAGCTTACTTAGCTTCAGTTCCTGAGTAAATCAAATCTGTGTTTTGCAAACTACGATGTTGTAAGTTCAATAGCTTCTGAATCTAGCAGAGCTCAGTGAAACTCTTTGCTTACAGACATGCTCATTTTTATTAATGTCACACATGGTATTCTCCATGTGAAAGACAGAATTTCTTTCATCCTATTTACCAATCCCTTCAGATCCTTGTGAGGAACCAACAGAACAGCTTTAAAAAATTAAAAGGGTTTTTTCTTTCCCTTCACAAATAGGCACATGCTTACTTATACGGCAAGTTTAGAAAATCCACAATGCAAAAGAAGGTGGAAGGACAAAGAGAAAAAGATGAAGAAGGACTTCCTCTTCCAGCCAAGATGGACTTGCCCTCCCACCATGACCAATGAGAAAACTGAAACTGGATAGAATATTTGAGAAAACTCTTTTCAGGGATTGGAACACAGGCAGAACAGGACTGTGATATTTGAGAACAGGAAAACACAGGAGGCAAATCTCACACACACTTCTGTTTTCTGCCCAATGGCAGTTTCTTGACCACACAGAGAGAGGTAGAGACCTCCAAAAATGAGGCAATGTCACTGTCACTAAGCTGAGAGTCTTGCAGTGCTAACATGTTTGGAGTTTATAGAATAAGGTACTGGAGAAGAGGGAACTACATACAGGTGAGGCCTCAAAAGAGAATGCAAAAGTTCTCTGCAGGTCTGGGGCCAAGGGCTGGGGGGAGTGCATACAGCAGGCAGGCTCCACAAGGCCTCTGCAGAGTGGCTGGCACTTCTGAGGGCTGACTGGAGATGCCAGAGATCACACAAATTTGGGACATAGCAGAGTGGAGAGAACTCATCAAGTATACCTAGAACATATGGCTGAGGCCCATGAGGATGAACATCTCCTAGAGTAAGAGTCACTGTCTAAGTCTGCAGGTAAAAATCTAATAAATAAGCACAAACTAACAAAGGCCCAGGCTTGACAGGAGCAAAAGGGTGGTCAAATAATTTAACTAGGCATCAAGACATTTAACAGAAATAAAGGTTAAAATGTTATGAAAATGAAAGACTGAATTTATAAGGAAGACTTAACAATCCTAAGTGTGTACACATGACAGCTTCAAAATACTTTAAGCAAAAACTGCTCAAGTAGAGCTGGAGATTTTAACATAACTCTCAATACATTGTAGGATGAGTAAAAAATCAGTAAGGACACAGAAGATGTGCATAGCCACAAGCTCCACCAGTTGATCTAACTGACATCTAAAGAACACTGAACCACTGGGCGCCACGGCTCACGCCCGTAATCCCAACACTTTGGGAGGCCGAGGCGGGTGGATCGCCTGAGGTCAGGAGTTTGAGACCAGCTTGGCCAACGTGGTGAAACTCCGTCTCTATTAAAAATATAAAAAAAATTAGCCAGGCATGGTGGCAGGTGCCTGTAATTCCAGCTCCTCCAGAGGCTGAGGCAGGAGAATCACTTGAACCTGGGAGGCGGAGGCTGCAGTGAGCCGAGATTGTGCCACTGCACTCCAGCCTGCTGGGCAACAGAGAGCGACTTCATCTCCAAAAAAAAAAAAAACCCTGAACCAACATCTGCAGAATACACATTCTTGTCAAGTGTACATGGAAATTCACTAAGAAAGTATGTTCTCCAACTATACTATAAATGAATTAGAAATCAGCAACAATAACATACTTATAATATCTCTATGTAGTAGAAATTAAAAAACAATACACTTTTAAATAACTCAAGTGTCCATGAAAAGAAAACTCACAAGGAAAACTAGATGATATTTTGAATGGAATGAAAATGAAAGCAAAATGTGTTGACTATAACTAAAACTAATGTGGAATGAAGAGATCTAACTCTCTTCTTAAGAAGCAATAAAACAAGAGCAAAGTAAACTGAAAATAAGTTAAAGGGAGGAAAATAAAGACTGAAAATAAATGAAATAAAAAATGAAAAAAATAGAAAATAAGTAATACTGAAACAGGCTTGTCCATCCTGAGGGCTGCATGTGGCCCAGGCCAGGTTTGAATGCAGCCCAACACAAATTCATAAACTTTCTTGAAACATTATGAGATTTTTTTCCTTTTTTTTTTTTTTGACTCATCAGCTTATCGTTAGTGTATTCTATGTGTGGCCCAAAACAATTCTTCTCCTTCCATTGTGGCCCAGGGAAGCTAAAAGATTGAATACCCCTGTACTAAAAGATCATTAATGATCTAAAATAAGTGATCTTATAAAGAATTGATAAACCTCCAGCTAGACTGACTGATCCAGGAAAAAACAGAAAAAACACAAATTACCAATATGAAGAGACTGCAATACAGATTAGATTCTACAGACAGTAAAAGGATATTAAAGGAATATTCTGAAAAATTTTATGCCAATAAATCCAACAACTTGGATGAAATGAAATTTTCCTAAAAGACACAAATTACCAAAACTGACAACAGAAAAATCTGAAAATATCTCTTAAAAAATCTTAATTCTCCCACAAAAAACTAAAACCAAACCAAATAAAACCCTCTAGGTTCAGATGATTTCACTGGTAAATCCTATCAAACATGTAAAGAAGAAATCATACCGATCTTACACAGCTATTTCCAAAAACAGGGAAGGAGACAGCACTTCCCATCTAATTTTATGACACCCAATAAAACCTTGACACCAAAATCAAATAAAGACATTACAAGAAAAGGATACAAAGTCCAATATCTCCCATCAACACCAATATAGAAATCTTAAAAAAAAAAAAAAAAGAAAAGAAAAAAAAACACCTAGAAATCAAATCTAGCAATATCCCAAAGGACAACACACCACAACCAAGTGGGGTTTATCTCAGGGATGTAAAGTTAGTTTAAAAGTTGAAAATGAAACCAATGTAATTCATTGGCAGAATGAAGAAATTTGTATAATCATCTCAACAGATACAGAAAGAGACATTTGACAGCATTAAACATCGTTATGATAAAAACTGCCAAGAAACAAAGTTTAAAAGGAATGTCCTCATTTTGATAAAGGTTTTCTCTGCAGATCATACAGACATCATACCATATGGTGGACTACTGAAAGCTTTCTGCCTAAGCTTGGAAACAATGCAATTATGCCCATTCTCGTGACTTCTGTTCAACACTATGGAAGTCCTGGACAGTATAATAAACCAATAAAAAGCAAGACAAGACATAAGGATTAGAAAGAAAGAAGTAAAACGATAGTCACAGGAAACATAATTGCAAATTTCTTAGTTTTCTATATAAACAAACCACTAGAAGTAATAAGTGAAACAGACTTATCAGACTACAAAGTCACTATACAAAAATCAATTGTATATCTACATACTGACAACAAACAACTGGAAAATCAAGTTCAAAAGTTCTACTGATAGTAGTGTAAAATTATAAAATACTTAAGAATAAATTTTTAAACACGCATGCAAGACTGCTACATTGAAAATTATGAAATATTGAGGCCCAATATTAAGATGTTGATTCTCCCCCAAATGCTCTGGACTCAATACAATTCTCCGAGAAAATCCAACAGGCTTCACTGAAGAAATCAATAAACTAATAGTAAGTACAAAGTTGGAGGACACACACTACCTGATCTCAAGACTTCATGAAATTATAACAATCAAGATAAATATGCCAAAAGAAAAACAGAAAATCGATAGAACAGAGTCCAGAAATAGACCAATACATAGAAAGTTAATTGACTTTTTATGAAGATACAAAACTGGATTAATGGAAAAAGGAAACACCAGTGGCGCTGGCACAAATGGCTATCAAGATGTTAAAAAAAAAAAAAAAAGGAAATCTTGGAACCAAACTCACACCATGCCAAAAATTAATTTGAGATTAATGACAGATTTAATGTAAAAACTAAAACTATGATGCCTCTAAAAGACAATGTAGAATATTTTCCAGACTTTGGGGTAAGCAAAGATCTCTTAGATCAAAGAGATAAGGCAGTAACCATAAAAGAAAAAAAATAAACAAAGCTTTATAAACATTAAAAGCTTCTGACCATCCTGGCTAACATGGTGAAACCCTGTCACTACTAAAAACACAAAAAATTAGCTGGGCGTGGTGGCAGGTGCCTGTAGTCCCAGCTACTTGGGAAGCTAAGGCAGGAGAATGGCGTGAACCTGGGAGGTGGAGCTTGCAGTGAACCGAGATCGCGCCACTGCCCTCCAGCCTGGGTGACAGAGCCAGACTCCATCTCAAAAAAAAAAAAAAGAAAAAAGCTGTCCATCCAAAAACCACCATTAAGAAACTGAAAAGGAGGATAAAATAGCGCAACCACTTTTGAAAAATTTTGACAGTTTCTTATATAGTTAAACATTCACCTATCCTTTGACACAGCAATTCCACATCTACATATCTACCCTAGATATTTACCCTAATTTTAGAATTGTTGATTTGCCATTTCAAAAGCAATGATTCTTCCAGAACATTAGCTTTACACCATTCCATATTTTATATATTTTTTAAGCTACCATAATTTATGAAGATTCAAAATGCAACTTGCCAAGTTTTAAAAGAGAAAAAAAAAGTATGGAAACAGCTAAACGGAAAACAGGCTGGTTAAGTGTGTTTGGGTCAGTTTATTTCCAGTATCATTTACAGGCTACCCTGATATTGTATTTAAAATTTTCATTCATTTCAGAGTTCACAAAATAATGATTTTTCCTATGAAGATACTTTGTTTAAGAGACAACTGACTTCTACAACTAAAATGTATACATGTTCAAAGAAAATAGCTTGTAAAATATATTTGGTTGAATAACATTTACATTAAGCCTTTAAAATTATGTATCAGAATCTCCAGCTATTATTAAGCAGTCTAATGGTGCCTACTAAGTCAGAGAGTTGTAATTCTTCTCTCCTGTGCTCTGTTCTGATAATGAAGTAAAGGCATCAGTAGCATCTACTGTGCTAAAGAATAAATGGAATTTGCAACTGTAGGTAATATTTAAGCACTTTAAGACAAATATGAATACATCATAAATTTCTAACTAGGAAAATATTTTCAATGAGATCTCAAGAAATGTTAACTTTTTTCAGAATAAAGCACTGAAAACTGACTCACCAACGTATCAAGCTGGGTTTCTTCATCTTCTCTTTTTCTCTTCTTATCTTTGCTCTTTTTCTTCTTACTACAGGACATAATTTATATAGATGAGTTTAAGTATATTGATTTGTGTGATAAATCAATATCGTAAGATTGAAACTTGGAAGTCTTTTAAGTTGTTTCATTTATAAATTATTGATTTAGGAAGACTTACATTGCTATGCCCTCTTAAATACAGTACTGAGAATTTGCTTCAGGCTTTGTACATATTATGTTAAAGTTCAAAGCAGATTGTAGAGCCACACTGCCAGATTTTAAATCCTGATTCTGTCACTTCTTAGCTCTGTGATTTTGGGAAAAGGTACTGAATCTCTCTGTGAGTCAGTTTCCCCACTTAAAAAATTAGGATAACAACTTAACTCTTAAGGCTATTGTGAGGATTAAGAGGTAATATGTATCTTCACACATTGCTGGTGGAAATGTAAAATGGTGCAGCATCTACAGGAAACAGTTTGGCGTTCCTCAAAAAGTTAAAGAGTTACCATATGACCCAGCAATTTTACTCCTAAGTATGTATACCCAAGGGAAATGAAAACATACACCCACAAAAATACTTACATAAGAATATTCACACTAGTATTAGTCACAATAGTCAAAAAGGGGAAACAATCTAAATGTTCATCAACTGATGAATGGATGAACAAAATATTACATCCATACAATGGACTACTACGCAGCCATAAAAAGGAACAAGTGCTACAAAACTGATGGACCTCAAGAATGTTATAAGTGAAAGAAGCCAGATACAAAAGGCCACATGTTGCATGATTTCTTAGGAAATATTCAGAATAGGCAATTTCACATAGATAGCAGACTAGTGGTTGCCAAGGACTAGGAGAGGGGGAAGATGGGATGTGACTGCTTTAATGGTTAGGAAGAGATTTCCTTCTGAGATGATGAAAATGCTGAGCAACTAGACAGTGGTGAACCTCTTGAATATATAATAAAAACCACTGACTGTACAAAAGGGTGAATTTTATAATTATGAATTACATCGCAATAAAAAAATAAAAACCCAAGAGCAATTTGAAGAAAGTTAATGTGCAAAGTGCCTACAACAATTTCTTGGCGCATTGAAAGTGCTATATAAGCATTAATTATGATTATTACGATAATCTTAAGACACTCTTGTCTGCATTTTCATCATAAAGTTTTCAGAAGATAACTCACCACTCCTCACAGGCATTTCACATAGTAAAAATCTCACATTCATTCAGGATATACCTGCCACTTATTCTGGCATCTTCATGAGGCCAGACTCCTCGAGAGGGTTCTCAAGGGCAGTGGCTTCAGCTCACTCCTTGATACTTTCTTTCCATCTCGCCTAACAATATCAAAACCCCTGTTTATCACGGAGGCCAGGAGGAAATGCTCAATATTTGTATGTACAGTCAACCTCAGGCAAATCTGCCAGTTAAAAAAGAAGCGGGGATATGAATGCACAGGTATTTTTCTCCTAAAGAGCTAATAAATTACCACTACGACCTCCTCCTCACATTTGGCTTAATTTATTTACTGCATGTATGTTCTCTCATTTAATCCTCACAGTATTCTAAAGGTATAAAAAATGGTCTAAAAGTTTAAATGTGTAAACGGAGGTTCAAAGATACTTGATCTCTTAATGAGTAAATGGAAGTTCAGACATATTAACCAATTTGCCACAAATTACAAAATTAGTAAATGACAGAGTGCAGGTTCCAACCCATATCCCTATCAAAGCCCATATACACCTCAACCACTGTGTGATTCATCCCGGTTTCACTCTACATATTAGCTTAGAAAAAAATTAATCAATAATTTTTCCAGGAAGAGACAATGGAGAAAAGAATAATCCCTAATAAAGGAAGTTATTATAATGAACTACAAGATCAGACTAACGCAGACCCACCAGGCAGAGGCCTGGAGAGATGCCTCAGGGGACCCAAACTCGTGGGTACGGGGCCACGGGTCACCCGCCCGTCTATCCTGTTTCCAGGGTCGTCAGCACGGGAGGCTGCCCCTCTCTGCACAGGCGCCAGGAACCGCGGTCCGGCCTCCGTCCAGCCCAGACAGGGTCAGAGCGAAGCCTGGGAGGCCACAAAGCCGGCTCTCTGCACCACGGCTTCCACCGGATTCGCGGGGGTGGAGTGCATCCGAAAAGAACTGAGGAGGCTCCCACCAGAGCTGCAGGACCCAGCTCTTCACCTCGGTTCCCTTGAGCACGAGCTTGCTAGACTTCACATAAGAGTACTAGGCCATGGCTCCGGGAGACTTCTGCGCGGACAGGCTGAAGCCGGCTCAGGACGAGTATGTGACCTGGAGCAGCACCAGGGCAGGGAGGAACAGAAGTGGAGGCGAAGTAAACACTCCCTGACAGCCTACGTCTGTCCAGAACCCGCCTCCGTCTTCACCCAAACGGTGAATGCCCGAGATTTCCACTTCCAGGTTTCTGCCGGGAGGGGGGGGGGGGGCGGGGCGTGAGGGAGGAGCTACGGCGGCTGCAGAGGGCCGAAAGGTGTCCGCATGCATCTGCTCCCTGGCGCCCTCTCGAGGAGCCCCTGAGGATTCGTGCCTCCCAGAGGTGGGGAAAGCCCGCCCGAGGCGCAGGTGCTGACGGTGGCGGGGCTGCCGGGCGCGCTGTGGAACCTCCTCTCGCTAGAGATGCGGGCTGGCGACGGTCCCCGCGGGGGCGGGAAGCGGCTCAGGCTGCCCTCCCCGGCCTGCGGCGGCGCATCTTGAAGCGCGGGCCACTCCCGCGCAGGTCACTCAGGGCTGTGCCTCGCGCGACTGTGTGTGCAGGAAACAAACAGGAAATACCCTAAAATGGAATGAAGAGACATGTTGAGGCCCGCGGATGTCGCGAGTGCTGTGGGAATGTGGGCGGAGGTGGAGAGTTATGGTGGCGCGTGTTACAGGCTCAGGGGTCAGGAAGAAGCCTAATCCTGGAGGCGGCATCTGAGGAGGGTCTTGAACGCTGGGCAGGCTTTTGCCCGATAGAGATGGAGGAAGCTAGTCCTGTCTGATGGAGGAAACAGGGCAGAGGCGTGGAGGGAGATGCGCAGTGCTGGTGTGAGGAGCCGCGAGCAGGCCAGGCCTGTAAAGCAGAGTGATGGGAACCAGGATAGAGAAGGCAAATCGGGGTCCTGCGGTCGCTGAAGAATTTGAATGAAATCATTAAACAGGTGAGAGGGATCCATCGCAAGAGCATGGGATGAAACGAGGAGTAGTCCACGGTGATCCCTCTGCAGCGGTGGGTATTATTAATCGCACATGTGACACCAAAACGGTGGGTATTATTGATAGCGTATGTGACACCAAAACCACCCCACTCAAGCTGTGGCTCTTTCCCTAAAGTAGAAAACAGAGACCAGTTGGGTTCCAAGCATCCACAAAGATCTTATTAAATTCGTGATCCCTGGTGGCACCATGGAGTCAGGATTGGCTCATTTCAAACCTGACTCAGAAATAAAACCATCTCAATGTGCGGAGATGAGCGTCCTTACCCGCTATCATAACGTATTTTCTGGTGTTTTCACAGTGCTGCGCTTCCTAATCCCCATTCTAGGGCAATCCACATGCCATGATGCCCAGAGGCATTAACAAAGGAGACACACAGGGGCTCCTCACGTTGGCTTTCCATGGTTTTGATGAAAATCTCAGTTTCCTCATCTCATACAATGTGGTTCGTAATAGTATCATTTAGGGTTGAAGAATTAAATGGTACAAATTATATAGAGTGCTTATTATAACCTACATGGAAAATGCCTAGGATATGTTAGCTATGCTCATCACCAACATCGTTATATGATGGTAATAATCAGATAGTCAGGAAGGCCGACACCAAGAAAATGGATACATGCTCTGAGGGAATGAATGTGGAGAGATCAGAAGGTCAAGAACAAAGCCGTACAACATGTCTGCAGTAAAGGGATAGAGAAAAGAAAGGCTATAAAAGAAGGAATTAAACAGTTAGAGTAAAATTATAAAATCAAAGCTAAGGAGAATTTCCAGAAAGGGTAATATCATTTAATATCATAGAAGTTTAGGAGCACAAGATGGAAAAAAGGCCTCTGGGTAACTGACATTGAGGCAGTCTTTAGGGAAGCTCCATTTCCGATAGAGAAGTAGACACAAAGTCAGCTTGAAGCAGGGACTAGGTGAAGAAGCTGTTGGCTGGTCGCATGGGGAAATAAATAAGGGATGGCATATGCCATATTTCTGGATTTCTTTCTTGCCCAGCCTCTATATATGCATAGAGTTTGGCGAAAACTTACAAAAAATAAAAATGAAACCAATTTCGTTTGTTGACTGAAATACAATGCTTCGTGTTAGAATCAAGATAAATTCATGCCTCTCCCTTCTATTGTCACCGTCAGTTTTGAAATTAAACATCAGCTTTTCTTCTTCATTAAAATCATTTTCAACTCCTCCCAGGTGTTGGTGGTTTGGGGGAGTTACATAAGCAGTCAGGTCTTGATGAGTAGAGGAGGAGGGAACAAACACTTTCAGCAAAGGCAGAATTCTGAAATTCTGCTCGTATTTTTCTCCAGTAACTTTCCTATGTTTGTGAGGTTATTCAGTCATAAAGATCCTAGTGAAATTTTTTTCAAGCTTGACTAATCATAATCACTGTGGACGTTTGTTTAAAATGTGTATTCCCAGGCTTCTCACCTGCTGATTCTGATTCAGGAGATCACGGATGGGACTCAGAATACATGTGTTTGACAAGTACCACAAGTGTTTCTTATGGTCAGGCAAATTTTGGAATCTAACCAGAAATTTATGTTTTTATGACTGGCAGCTAGAAAAGATTCCTAGAGTCTTTGCTTTTTGAAAATAAAATATTTCTTTTTTAAAAGGAAAATTGTATGAATAGATACAACATTTATACATGTGGCACATGTACTATACTGTGTGCTTTTGTCATATTTACAGTTAAAGATGTGTAAGAACATTCTGAGAAAAATTATACATTAAATGCAAAGAGGGGTAAGTCAGGGTGGGGGAGAAATGGGAAGGGTGTGCTTATTGTTGCCAAAAGGTAGAAAAGCCAGAATGATAGCAACTAAGGTTGCAAATAGCACATTGTAAGTTGAGGGAGCTTCATAATCATGTCTGAAACCTTTGATATACTGAGTTGTAAACAGTGTCTTTGGACAAGATTTGAGGGAGAAACCAACTATGCTTTAAAGTGTTCATTTAAAAGGCTTTAATTAAAGGAAAGTCTTTATATTTACTTCAGCTAACTTAACTTCAGGACTTTAACAAATTACTAGCCCTTAACCTCTTAAAAATTGTCTTTCATTTCAAATGAAAGTTTAAAGTGGCCTTTATGTTCGATTGGTATACTTGTGCGAAGACTTAACAGCAAGGTACTGTACATTTCTAAATGTTTACTTCTTAATTTTTCTGGAAGAAATATACTACTAAATTGATTATTTTTAAAGCAAAGTAAAACAATTTATTTTGACAAGCGACACTGTGTTTTCCCAGTTTTCTGGTAGCAAAGATTAGGCTTAACATCACTAATCATCAGAGAAATGCAGATCAAAACCAAAATGAGATACCATCCTACACCAGTCAGAATAGCTACTATTAAAAAATCAAAAAACAACAGATCTTGGGAGGCTGTGGAGAAAAGGGAATATTTACACATAATTGGAGCGAATGTAAATTAGTTCAACCACTGTTGAAAGCAGTTTGGAAATTTCTCAGATAATTTAAAATAGAAATTCCTTTCAAGCCAATAATTCCATTACTGGTATATGACCCAAAGAAAGTCAGTTATTCTACCAAAAACACATACGCACTTGCATGTTCATCGCAGCACTATTCACAATAGCAAAGACATGGAGTCAGCCTAGGTGCCCATCAACAGTGGATTGGATCAATAAAATGTGGTACATCCACATTAGTATTATTAGGCCATTCTTGCATTGCTATGAAGAAATACCTGAGACTGGGTAATTTATAAGGAAAAGAGGTTTAATTGGCTCATAGCTCTGCAGGCTGTACAGGAAGCATGGTGACAGCATCTGCATGGTGCCTGTGTAGTCTCCAGGGAGCTTTTACTCATGATGGAAGGCCAAGAGGGAGTAAGTACATCACATGGCCAGAGCAGTAGCAAGAGAGAATGGGAGTGGGGGTAAGTACCACACACCCTTAAACAACCAGATCTTGAAAGAATTCACTATCACAAGGACAGCATCAGGCCATGAGAGATCCACCCCCATGACCCAAACACCTCCTACCAGGCCCCACCTCCAACACTGAGGATTACATTTCACCATGAGATTTATAGGGGCCACCTTCCAAACCATTTCACACACCATGGAATACTATGCAGCCATAAAAATAACAAAATCATGTCCTTTGAAGCAACATGGATGCAGCTGAAGGCCATTATCCTAAGTAAATTAATGCAGGAATACAAAACGAAATACCACATGATCTCACTTATAAGTGGGAGCTAAACACTGGGTACTCATGGACATAAAGATGGACAGAATAAACACCAGGACTACTAGAGGGGAGAAGGAGGAAGGCAAGGTTTGACAAACTAACTATTGGGTACTATGCTCATGTATTAATCTGTTCTCACACTGCTATATAGAACTACCTGAGGCTGGGTAATTTATAAAGAAAAGAGGTTTAACTGACTCACAGTTCCACAGGCTGTACAGGAAGCATGGCTGGGAGGCTTCAGGAAACTTATAATCATGGCAGAAGGTGAAGTGGGAAGCAAGGCACGTTCTACCATGGTGGCAGGAGAGCAAGTGAGCCAGGGGGGATGTGCCATATGTTTAAACCATCAGATCTCATGAGAACTCACTTACCATCTAAGAACAGCAAGGGGGAAATCTGCCCTCATGAGCTAATCACCTCCCACCAGGTCATTCCCCCTACATTGGGAATTACAATTCAACATGAGATTTTTGTGGGGACACAGAGTCAAACCATACCAAATCAGCATCTGGATGATGGGATCATTCATACCCCAAAACTCAGCAATATGAGATATACCCATGTAACAAACTGGCACACGTACCCCTGAATGTAAAATACAAGTTAAAATTATTTTCAAAATAAATTAATGAATAAATAAATATGATTAAATGAAATTAAAATTTTGAATTAAAAAAATTTGAGAGTGATTTCAGCTTGACAGTTATGTAAGTTATGTACATTGAAACACTGAGTTCTGTAGGGTTCGGATCAATTGCACTATCTCTACTAAGTTGATGACCAGTTATTTGGATGAAAAGAAAAGAGGAGAAACATATAGATCTAACAGGAAAAAAATGGACCAGTTTTTATGATAGCAAAAAGAAGAATGGAGGAAACAGGACTGAGGTTATAGTGATTGATAGATATTAATAGATGACTAAGTCAAAAGCCACTGGTTGCAGAAAATATTGATTAATTTTGTTTTATTCCAGTCAGACAAAAAAATCCTATAACCTGCCTCTAGAGAAAACCCTTTTAGCCCTGTAATTATCTTTATTCCAACACCATTCCGTTCATTAAGTATAGGGTGATTAATAAGTGAATTATTCACAGAATTAAGACAGAATTTTTGAGTATTTCAGGATATTAATAGTATAGTCAATGAACTAAAATAAAATTTGACTAGAGGTGTGATCACCATGAATGCCATGTTGGTCTCTTGTTAGATTTGGCAACCTAAAGTTGACAAATTTATTAATAAAATAAACGTTCCTTGATGATTAATTTACATTTAGTAGACATGCTCTTTCTTCTTCCTTCCCTTTCTTATTCATTCATTCATTCATTCCTACAGAGCAGTGACTTTCATTCTAAGATTCCCAGAATCCTAAGGAATTCTTAAATGTCATCATAGGGAGCCAGGTGTGAGGATTCCCAAAAGTTGTATTTAATACTTGAAGAATCTCGAAAAGTTATATATTTACACCAGAAAAAACTATACAGGTTTTAAGTTATATACATATAGTTGAATACTTCTTATTTCTATCCAGAACTAAGTCATTAGAGTTAATAATGTTGATTATTTCATACTGACATAATGGGTAGCCTTTATATATCATTGATTACTTATTAGTAAAATAAGAACCCCCCCAAAATTACAAAATAAATATATTTTTAGGGTTTTTCTTAAGGCTTTTGAAACATAAAATCAGAGGAGAGGATTAAAAGTAATCCTTGATTGTTAAAAAGGCAGGGAACTACTAACTTAGAAAATTGCATGAAAACAGCAAGATATATACATGGCCCTCAGACCAGCTGCCTGTTTTAATAAAGTTTTATTGGAGCACATCCATGGATCTATGGTGCTTTCCTGCTACAATGGTAGAGTTGAATGGTTGCTATAGAGACCGTATGGTTTGCAAAGCCTAAAATATTTTTCATTTTAGGTCCTTTTTTTTTTCATTTAGGACCACATTTTCTGGTCCTTTATAGCAAAAGTGAACCCAGTTTTAGAACATTAACTTTACAAATTAAGATACAGTGGATGCTGCCTTAACTGACCTCCACTTAACTGATTTACAATCAGCACTTTCTTGTACCCGTGTACAACTTATTGACTGATGTCCACTGCAAACTGAAAGCCTTTGAGCTGCTTTTAATGCCTGTACATTTCTCCTTCCATCACAGAAATTGTATATTTTCTAAGAGGAAGCTGTGTTCATTCCTAAATATGTTTACGCCATTTGTTCTTGTTCTTGTAGTTATGCAATTTAATTAAATATGATGTTGAGAGGCTGAGACGGGCGGATCACTAGGTCAGGAGATCGAGCCATCCTGGCTAACTCGGTGAAACCCCGTCTCTACTGAAAATACAAAAAAATTAGCTGTGCGTGGTGGCGGGTGCCTGTACGCCCAGCTTCTGGGGAGGTTGAGGCAGGAGAATGGCATGAACCCGGGAGGCGGAGCTTGCAGTGAGCAAAGATCGCACTACTGCACTCCAGCCTGGGTGACAGAGCGAGACTCCGTCTCAAAATAAATAAATAAATAAATAAATAAATAAATAAATAAATAAATAAATATTACGTAAACTGAGAAAATGAGTATAACAAGAGTAGTATTGTTTCTCTGAGAAATAAACTAAATGTGTTGGAAAAATGAGAAACTCAAACAGTTGCTGTCAGCTTAACTGTTGGCAAGACAACTAGAAACAAATGGGAAAAATTGTGTAATCTAGGATTTCAGATTGCCTTACCCCAGTTGTCTTCACAGAAAGTGAACAAGAAATCAATGACAACATATCATTGGCATAGTTTCCACAAGAAACTCCACTCTGAATCCGTGCAAGGCTTTGACCTTGTCATCGAAATTCTGGCAAATTTATTTACACATGTCTTTTAAATTAAAGTTAAATTTTAAGGACTTACATCTAATACTTCTTATGATTCCTCCATCTAACTTAAATTTGTGATTAATCTGTTTATTACTGGTCCCAATCTGATTGAATAAGGGGGTTTCTACCGTTTTTGCTAACCAAAAGTTTACTTTGATGAAGATGGAATTATAAATACAATAATTCAAGTTTAAAGAATTAGAATGGTAATGGTTAATACAATTTAGTATGCCTAAAAATCACTTGAAAAGCTTACTAACAATGTAAATTCTTGTGCCTTAGGCCTGAGATTTTGATTCAATAGGTCTAGCATGGGGCATAGGAATCTGTATTTTTAGGAATGATAAAGGAAAATTGCTTAAAATAGGTTAAATTATGACTTACAAATATAAAATGAACACTTGTCTAAGATTTTTGTTTAACTCATTTGTTTAATGAGGGAGCCAGTAAGATGTTATACTGAGTTTTATGGAAAATTAAAAGAGCCACACATATCTAGGCACTAAGGAACACTGAAATAAATTTGCTTGATAGGTTCAAAACTGACTTCTTGATGGAAGGTGGAAAAAGGAAAATTAATTATACTTCCACCAAAATCAATCATTTGCCTGTCTATAAACATGAATATTTGCATTACTATCAGTAATCTACAACTAACAGAATTGCAAATAACAAAGAAAACAAAAGGCACAGAGACTCCATAGAAACAGATAACTCAGGTTATTCTAGACAAGGCTGAGGTTTCCATTAAAGACACTCAGTGGTAATTTCGTTGGTCCATCTTAAAATCTTTCCATTTTCTCCTGAAACAAATTGCTCAAGCAATTCAAATACAATGAATGTGGTCAGTGGGTCACACCTGGAGAAATCATTTTCTAACCTGTAGTCAAGGCTGTTGAATTACTCCCTTCACTGGAAAGAATAAAATATTACCACATAAATTCGTATTATGATAATGGTCCACTATGAATGCTTTGGTGTTCTTAATTTTCTTAAGATTTATTAGTATTTCTGAAGTAACTACTAAATGCCAAGCAATATATTTTCTAATTTAATCTTTCATTGACTTTTACTTTCGCTTCAATTGAGCTACTCACTTTCATGACTATAAACTTAACTTTTCAATAACTTAAAAATTGATTTCTAATGTTATAAACTTTAATGTTCCACTCTGTGACCTGCTCTTTCAGACTCTCTCTTCCTTACTGCCAATTCACCTTCTCTTCTATCTCTTCCAGTGCCTCAGTATCTTGACTCTTCCATTTTCTTTTTTCTTTTCTTTTATTAAGTGGATACATGATAATTTCACATGTTGATGGGGTACAATGTGGTATTTTGATACTTGACACATTATTAAAACCTCTCCTCCCTATCTTTCCCAGTCTGGTAACCACTCTTCTACTCTCTATTAGATCAGTGTTTTTAGATTTCACATATAAATGAGATCATGTGATATTTGTCTTACCGTGGTTAGCTTATTTCACTTACCACAATGTCGTCTATGCTCATTCGTGTTGTCACAAGTGACATGATTTTACCGTTTATTATGGCCAAATGTGCATATGATATAGTTTGGATATTTGTCCTGACCCATATCTCATGTTATATTGTAATCCCCACTGTTAGAGATGGGGTCTGGTAGGGGGTGTTTGGGTCATGGAGGTGGATCCCTCATGGTTTGGTGCTATCCTCATGATAGTGAACGAGTTCCCAAGCTTCCTGACTAGTCAAGCAGATGTTGGCATTATGCTCCCTGTACAGCCCATGGGACCAGGAGCCAATTACGTCTCTTTTCTTATAAATTATCCAATCTCAGGTATTTCTTTATTCTTGCAATGCAAGAATGACCAAATACAGCATATATGCCACATTTTCTTTCTCCATTCATTCATTGATGGACACTTAGGTTGATTCTAGGCTATTGTGAATAGTGCTGTAATAAACATGAGAGTCCAGAAATCTCTTTGACATACTGATTTAATATTCTTTGAATATATACCCAGTAGTGGGATTGCTGGATTATGTGATAAGTCTATTTTTAATGTTTTTGGAAGTTTTATTGTTTTCCATAACAATTGCTCTAATTTACATTTCCACCAACAGTGTATGAACATTGCCCTTTCTTCACATCCTTGCCAGCATTTGTTATTTTTTGACTTTTTCATAAAAAGCATTCTAAGCAGGGTGAGATGATATCTCACTGTGGATTTGACTTCCATTTCTCTGATTATTAGTGATGGTGAGCATTTTTTCATATACCTGTTGGCGATTTTTTTGTCTTATTTGGAGAAATGTCTATTCAACTGTCTTGACTTTTCTAATCCAATTATTTGTATTTTTGCTATTGAGTTGTTTGAGTTTTCTATAAATTTGGGATATTAACCCCTTATGAAGTGAATAGTTTGCAGATATTTTCTCCTGTTTTGTAGGTTGTCTCTTCACTGTCATGATTGTTTCCTATGCAGTGCAGAAGTTTTTATTTGGTGTAATCTCATTTGTTTATTTTTGCTTTTGTTGTGCCTGTCTTTTGATGTCTTTTCTAAAAAGTCGTTGCCCAGATCAATGACATATAACATTTCACTTATGTTTTCTTCTACTAGTTTCATAGTTTGGGGTCTTACATTTAAATATTTAATTTATTTTGAGTTGATTTTTGTATATGATGAGAGATAGGGGTCTACTTTCATTCTTTTGTATGTGGGTATGCACATTTCCCAGCACCATTTGTTGAAAAGACTGTCTTTCCCAATTGAATGTTTGCACCTTTGTCAAAAATAAGTTGCATGTAAATATGTGGATTTATGCCTGGGCTCTCTATTTTTGTTCCACTGGTCTACATGCCTGTTTTTATGCCAATACCATGCTGTTTTAGTTAGGGTAGCTTTGTAATATATTTTGAAATTAGATAGTGTAATACCTCTAGCATTGCTCTTTTTGCTTAAGATTTATTTGGCTATTTGGGGTGTTTTGTAGTTTCACATGGATTTTAAGATATTTTTTAATATCTGTGAAGAATGAAATTGGAAATTTGATAGAGATTATATTGGATTTATAGATTGATTTGAGTAGTATGGTAATTTCAACAATATTAATTCTTCTAGTCCATGAACATGGGATATCTTTCTATTTATTTTAATTTTTTAAATTGCTTTTATCAATGTTTAATTATTTTCATCTTTCTGTGGCTTAATTTACTGGTAGGTATTTTGTTTTTTTAATAGCTATTTTAAGTGGAATTATTTTCTTGATTCCTTTTTCAGATAGTCTGCTATTGGTGTATAGAGATGTTACTGATTTTTTATGTAGCTTTTGTATCCTGAAACCTTATTGTATTCATTTACTATTTCTGATTCTCAGTGGTGTATTTAGGGTTTTTTACATATATGATCATGTCATCTACAAAGAGGGACAATTTGACTTTTTTTCCATTTGCATGCCTTTTATTTCTTTCTGTTACCTAATTGTTATGACTAGGACTTCCAGTACTATGTTGAAAAAAGTGATTAAAGTGAACATCCTTGTCTTGTTCCAGATCCTAGAGGCAAAGCTTTCAAGTTTTCACCATTCAGTATAATGTTGCCTGTGGGTTATCACATATGGTCTTTATTTTATTATGTTCTTTTATAACTAATTTGTTAAAAGGTTTGATCATAAAAGGATGTCTAATTTTGTCAAATGCTTTTTCTGCATCTATTGAAATGATTATATGTTTTTTATCCTTCTTTGTTTAATGTGATGTATCACATTTTATTGATTTACATGTATTAGACTATCCTTACCTCCCCGGGTAAATACCACTTGATTATGGTGAATAATCTTTTTAATGTGCTTTTGAATTATCATTGCTAGATCTGCTGGTTTTGAATGTTTCCATCTATGTTTATCAATGATATTGGCCTGGAGTTTTCTTTTATTTGCTGTTCTTGTCTCATTTTGGAATCAGGAAATGCTGTCTTCATAGAATGACTTTGGAAGAGTTCCCTCCTTTTCATTTTTTTGAAATAGTTTGTAAATAATTTGTATAAATTTTTTAAATGTTTTGTAGAATTTGTCAGCAAAAACCACCAAGTCGTGAACTTTTCTTTCTTCCTCTATTTTTTTAGAGACAGAGTCTCACTCTATCACTGAGGCTGGCATACAGTGGTGCAGTCATAGCTGACTGCAGCCTCAAACTCCTGGTCTTAAGTGATCCTCCTGCCTCAGTCTCCTGAGTACAAGTACACACCACTATACCTGGGGAATTTTTATTTGTATTTTTAGAGACGGAGTCTCGTTGTGTTGCCCAGGCTAATCTTGAACTCCTGGCCTCTAGTGATTCTCCTGCCTTGGGCTCCTAAACTGTGAGATTACAGATGTGAGCTACTGTGTGAAGTCTTTTGGATTTTCCTTGAATGAGAGCCTAAATCGCTCCTTCCATCTCATTATTTGTCATTGGTGTGTTCACATTTTCTACTTCTTTCTTCAATTTTGATGGGTTATATGTGTCCAGAGCATACGTATTTCTTCTAAGCTTTTCAATTTATTGGCGTATAATTGTTTGTAGTACTTACTCACTATTCCTTATATTTCTCTAGAGTCTATCATAGTATATCCTTTTTCATCTCTGATTTTATGTGAATTTTCTCTTTTTTTCTTAGTCTGACAAAACATTTGTCAATTTTACGTTTTCAAAAAAGATTCCTTCATTTAATTAGTCGTTTGTATTTTTTGTCTTTATTTTGTATATTTGTGCTCTCATCTTTATATTCTTTTGCTAATTTGGGTCTTAGTTTGTTCTTGATTTTATAGTTCCTTGAAATACATTGTTAGATGTTTTATTCATTATCTTTCTTCTTTATTGATGTCAAAATGTATTGCTATAAACTTCCCTCTAAGAACTGTTTTGCTGTATTTCATAAGTTTTCATATGTTCTGATTTCATTTTTATTTGTCTTAAGACGTTTTAAAATTAAATTTTTTTTCATTGACCCATTGGTTGTTTAGGGATATGTTGCTTAATTTGTATGTATTTGCACAATTTCTGAAGTTCCTCCTGTTGTTTATGTCTAGCTTTATTCCATATGGTCAAAAAAAACACATGATATGGTTTGATTTTTTGATTAGTTAAGACTTGTTTTGTGCTCTAACATATCTATCATGGACAATATTCCATATGCAGGTGAAAAGACACTGAATTATGCAATTGTTGGATGAAATGTTATGTAAATAACTGTTAAGTTCTTTTGATCTAGAGTGCAGTTTAAATGTTTCTTTGTTGAGATTCTCTCTCAATGATCTGTTCATTGCTGAAAATGGGATATCGAGGTTTCTTACTATTATTGTACAGTTTTTTGTCTCTCCTTTTAGATCTATTAATGTTTGCTTTATATATTTAGGTTCTCCAATGTTGAGTGCATTATATATTTACAATTATTGTATTCTCTTGTTCTACTGACCCCTTTATTATTACATAATGGCCTTGTTTGTCTGTCTTTACAGTTTTTTTACTTGAAGTCTATTTTATTTGATATAAATATAACTACTTCTGCATTCTTTTGATTTCCATTGTCATAAAATATATTTTTCCATCTGATCACTTTCAATTTATGTGTGTATTTACAGGTGATGGGAGTCTCTTGTAGAAAGAATATAGTTAGGTCTTGTTTTTAATCCATTTACCCATTATCTGTCTTCTTACTGGATAATTTAATCTATGTACATTCAAGGTAATTATTGATAGATAAGGACCTGTACTGCCATATACTGTTTTCTTGGTGTCTTTTAGAATTTTTGTACCTTTTTGTCCCTTTGTTGTCTTCCTTTGTAGTTAAGTGATTTTCTCTGTGTGTTTTTGTTTCTTGTTCTTTTATTTTTAGTGTATCTAATAAAAATGTTTGCCTTTTGGTTACTATGAGGCATGCGAAGAATGTATTGTCATGAAAAGCAATAAAACTGTGATAATAGAAATTAAAAGTGAGTAGGAACTTATTTAAAAATCATCATTCTCCTTTTCAATGCAAAAATAAGAACTAGAAACTTTTAATAAGGCAATAGTCCAAAGAAATAACTTATGGAAGATAACATGGGTTTTTTAATCTTAAAGCGTTCTTTTGTATATTCAAGGGTCGATATTGGCTGCCTTGAATCCTACTAAAATTTCAATGTAAGTTTTAGAGACGGAGGAAAGAGTCAAAGAAAAAAATGTACTGGAAAAAGTTAAATAAGTAAGGAAGATATTATTCAAGCTATTGCAATACGGGAGAGAGGCCAGACCTAGTCTGAACTCAGCTCCCCTGATACAAAGGGCCGTGGAGTTTTTGAAAGTGAGGGTAAGAGGGCGATCATAGGCCACCTGTCTTTGCTAACTGTCTTTTCTCAAAGGAAAAATAAACTTTCTTTTATCTTTATGATATAAGGTAATTTTTACAACTTGGAGCAAGATTAGGCTCTTACTCTCTCCTGGAGACTGGGAAATAAGGTATTATCCTTCTGGAGGATTACATTTGAAAGGGATGGCTACCAGATCCTTGAAAAAGGAAATTTTCTGCTTACAAGTTACACATGCCACTTCTACCTGCATTTCACTGGCCAAACAGGTCACATGTCTTAATCTGACCCTTCCTTCAATAGGACAGAAATGTATAATCTTCTAGGAAATAGGGCCACTGCAGTAGGAAGACCAGATAATGGGAGAATGGTAATATAATCTACCACAATGACCACAGTGAAAACATTAGTAATCCTCAGGATTAAACCAAGTCTTTTTGGACATTTAGGTTGATTCTAGGCTATTGTCAATAGTGGAATAACAAAAAATAAAGAGAATAGCCCATTTATTTTTTTCAGAGAAGCTAGACAATTCACAGGAACTCATGGCCTAGACAATTTTATTTCTTGATCAACACAACTCTTTATAGATGCCTGTGGTCTAAAAATGCGGATTCCTAATCGTCCCCCAAAAGAAGGGATCCTCTGCAAGGCAACCTGGGAGGGAATTTAGGACTGTTCTGAGGCAGTGAAACCCATTGAGATTCACATGTAAGAGAGTAGAGAAAGGGAATCCACATGTTTTGATCCCTCCATGTGCTGGATATAAGTTGGTCTTCATTACATTGCACCACTTTGGTGTCAGAGAGAACTGGATTTGAATCCCAGTTCCATCACTCATTGTGATTTGATGGTGAATGCGTTTATAACTCGTCTGCGCCTCAGTTTGCTCATCTATAAAAGATGGGATTGTTATGAGACTTGCATAAGGTAAGTGTTTAAAAATCTGGGAATAATCCCTGTAATTTAAAAGACGGGGTTGTGATGAGGCTTCAATAAGGTAAGTGTGTAAAAATCTGGACACAATGTTACTAATTTTGTAGGTTTTCAATATATAGAGAAGGAGGATTATTTTTCTCTCATTTAATTTTTAGAACAAGTTTATAAAATTGGTATTATTCATATTTTTGAGATAATCAAAGGATCAGTAGGTTTAAATAAATCACCATAGTCACAAAGCAGTTCACAATATATTAACTGGATAATTGCTAGTGAAAAGTAGCAATGATGATCACATTGAAAATCTTGTGTTAGGTGGTGGTTTTCTCTTGCATAAGCCTCTTCATTTGTTGAAACCATAGATTCTAAGTTTGCTCTATCAAAGTGATCATTAGAAAAATATAATATACTTAGTGTATAAATTTTAGAAAATTTCCTTTTTAGTCCTGTTAATTTTATTGAATATGTACATTTTGAATTATGAATATAAATATGAATATGTATGACATATGAAATATGACTTGACATCACAGAGTAAACTTAGATCGTGGCAATGTTTTTTTCTGAAAGCACCTGCAGAAATGTATCTTCTTTCTAGTTTCCAAAAAACTCAGAGGCCATGGGGGAAGAGGGGACTATGGCTGTCAGATAGTGCATGAGGTACATTAGGATACAGTAATTTCATCATAATTCATATTCATAATTCACAGTGAGGAAACCTGAAAGTTGCTACCAGCTACCAATAAATGAAAGGTGGGGCGGGGTCTCTGGGGGGCACGGCTTTGTGAGCCAGTGCCTGGACTCCCACGTGACAAATGGAAGGGCAGCGCGTGGAGGGAACTCAAGGCCTGATTGGTTCTTCCTAAGCAGGACACGATCTCGTTGGCAGGGCAACCGGCCTTTAGTTGGTGGCCTTCAGTGGGTGGCTTAAGTTGGTGGCATTTGGTTGCCTTTCCTGGGGAGAGGCGGCAGGTGCTCAGCTCTGCAGACGTGGGGGCAAGAGAAGGCCCAAGCTGCCTCGAGAAGAGCAGAGGTGCCCCATGGGGACCATGATGACCGGTCGCATGTGCCAAAGCCAGCCCCCGGCAGGGCCAGCGCAGGGTTTCTGCGGGGCCGTCCTGTGGCTCTGATATCTATGAGTGGGTGGCCAGCAAAGGCACAGGCACCAGCAGAAAGGAGCAGAGATGCCCAGAACATGCTGTCCCCCAATGCCAGCCCCAAGCGAGGCCAGCTTAGGGTGCGGTGGGCAGAGCCATCCTGCAGCTCTGAGATCCACGAAGTGGAGGTGGGAGTAGCGCCAGGCTCCACGGCGTTGGAGCTCTCACAACTTGAGCTCAATTTTATTCCGGAGCCATGACCTGCAGCACATTGGTGACCAGAAGACGCCCAAAGGTAGGGAGGCGACAGATACCTCTTGGCTTCAGGAGCTCCTCTGGCTGTTGCTGAACCAAGTTTCCCCCAGAGACATCCACAGCCTGGGGCTCCTCCCTTCTTCACCTATTTCCTTTCCTAGGCCCAGGCCCCAAGCATGAGGACTGGCTCTGCCTGGCGTCTTCATCACTTCGTCTTTCCCTGTTTCATCCATCCGGTTTCTTTTCCCCTCCCTACCCATATGCCCAGTTCTGGGCCCTCTTCTTCTTCCTAGAGGCTTGCCAAAAACTAAGTTTTTAAAGTACAAAATGGATGCTACAGATTTCGTTGCTGTAGAAGAAGTGTCTGACAGCTCTTGTATTTAAACTTAAGTAGCTACACTGGGACTCACAGTTTCACATCTTGAGTTCTAGACCAGAGCTCTCTACCCTAAAGCAACGGCAAGGGGTTAGAGGTACTCTTCTTGATTCTAATAATAAAAAATGATTTTTTTTTTGTAGGGACAAGGTCTCACTGTGTTGCCCAAGCTGGTCTTAAACCCCTGGCCTCAAGTGATTCACCAACCTTGGCCTCCCACACTGCTGGGATGACAGGCAAGAGCCACCACACCTGGTCATTGGAGGTGCTCTTGCTTTGTGTGTTTCGGCTGGTCTTCAGGCGCAGCTGTCAGTAAGATGCTCCTGCAGTATAGTTCTAAGTCTCTCTGCACAGATTCAGTGGATCCTGTGATTTTTTTACATGGAATAGCCCCTTTATTTTTTGCAGAGAAGGTAGACAATTCACAGTAACCTATGGCCTAGAAAATTTTATTTCTTGATCAACACAACTCTTTATAGATGCTTGTGGTCCAAAAATGCAGATTCCTAATCATCCCCACGAATAAGCGGGCCATTGCAAGCAACCTGGGAGGGAGTTTAGGATTGCTCTGAGGCAGTGAAAGCTATTGAAATTCCCACATGAGGGGGCAGAAAAGGGAATCCACATGTTTTGATCCCTCCATGTTCTGGGTGTAACTTGGTTCCCGTTAAATTGCACAATTTTTGGCATCAGAGAGAACCAGATTTGAATCCCAGTTGCATCCCTTGTTATGATTTGATGGTGAATGTGTTTTTAACTCGTCTGAGCCTCAGTTTGCTGATCTATAAAAGATGTGATTGTTACGAGGCTTCCATAAAGTACATGTAAAAATCATGGCAAAATGCTTGTAATTTAAAAGAGAGGGCTGTTAGGAGACTTCTATCAGGTAAGTATGTAAAAACCTGGACACAATGCCTATAATTTTGTAAGTGTTCAATATATGGAGAAGGAGGATTATTTTTCTTTCATTTAATTTTTAGAGCAACTTTATAAAATTGGTGATACTCATATATTTGAGATAATCAAACCAAGGATCAGAAAGACTAAATAAATCACCATAGTCACAAAGCAATTCACAATACTTTTACTGGATAATTTCTAGTTAAAAGTAGCAATGATGATCACCTTGAAAATCCTGTATTATCTGGAGGTTTTCTTTTACATAAGCTTCTTGGAATTTAGTAAGATAAGTTGCAGCTCAAACAGCAGATCCGTAGAATATTTTGTTCCAGAGATTGTAGTGGGGGCCAAAGCATTGTATGAGTTTTGTTGGGAACAAGGTGTGGGCTGAGAATCTAAGCAAACTTCATTTGGTGGTTTTCAGTTGGTGGGCAGTGACAGAAGGAGGAGGAGCTCCATCTGTACTCTCTTTTCCCCCAGTCACAGCCCTCAGGCTTGTTGCATCCAGGCCCTTCTAAGTTAAACCAGACAGGTTGACAGGTTTATTTAGCATTTAGCAGACAAGTCAGCTCAGGGTAGGCGGGTGAGTTGGGGTGTGGGCTGCTAGTACAGTGTCGCCCTTTGACCCAGGGCTGCCCGTGCCCATGGGGCTATTCCATATATCATATATTTTATATATATATATATATAATATTTTCATATATATGTATATAAGCCTGTTGGTTTGTTAAAACCATGGATTCTAAGTTGCTCTATCAACGTGATCATTAGAAAAATGTGATGTACTTAGTGTGTACCTATTTTAGAACATTTCTTCTGTTAGTCTTGTTAATACTCAATTCTTTTCTAAAACACCTAGCCCAAATCTCCATAGGTTTTAATCGAATTATATTATAATTTGGATTTTCCGGTCTGCCTATCTTCCAAATAATAAAGTTCTTAAAATTAATTATCTATTTCTGCCATAACAATTTACCACAACTTTGTGGCTTAAATCAAAGTCTTATGACCCTATAGTTCTGTAGGGCAAACCTCTGACTGTGGTCTTACTGGGCTTAAGTCAAGGTGTTGTCAGGGCTGTATTGCTTTCTGGAGGCTCTAGAGAGAATCCATTTCCTTTTCAAACTTTTAGATGCTGTCCCTATTCTTTGGATCATGGGACCATCACTCCATCTTCAAAGCCAGTAATGTGGGATGTCTGTGACCATGGTTCTGTAGTCATATCACATTCTGACTGTAGCTAGGAAAGATTCTCTGATTTTATAGACGCAGGTAATTAGATTGGCCCCCAAGATAATCAAGGATAATCCCCCTAACTCAAGGGTTAATCACATCTCCAAAGTCCCTTTTGCCCCATGTAAAGTAATATGGTCACAGATTCCACGGACAAGAACATCTTTATGGGGTCATTATTTTGACTGTCACAAAGGCAAAGTCTTGGACTTATGCATATCTAGGTTTTCTTTGCTTAATTTCTGAGCCTAGAACACATTAGACTCTAAATAAATGTGAATGAGTGATAAATATTATATTTACAGATTGCTGCCACATTACAATTCTGTCCTGCCACTGGTGGTGGAATCCTATGTACTTTTTACCATCTCCATTTTGCATTCAGACTGAACATGGCTATGTTATTCCTTTCACCTGGGTGATTTGAAACCATCTCTCTATTTCTATTTGTAGAGATCTTATCTATCAAGCCCTTCTCAAATGCCACTTCAAAAAACTTTTTCTAATCACCAATTGTCTTAGTCAATTTATGCTCTTACAACAAAATAACACAGACTAGGCAATTTATGAAAAGCGGACGTTTATCTGTCATAGTTCTGGAGACTAGGAAGTCCAAGATCAAGGCGTTGGCAGGTCTGATGTCTGGTAAGGGCTGTTCTCTCCGTTCAAGATGGTGTCTTGATGCTGCATCTTCCAGAGACAAGGAACACTGTGTCCTCACATGGTGGAAGGCAGGAGAGCAAGAGGGATGAACTCCCTCCATGGAGCCCTTTCATGAGGGCTCCTAAACCCATTCCTGAGGTAGGAGTCCTGATGGCCTCATCACTTCCTGTAGGCACCACCTCAACACTATCAAATTATCAACGCTGAATCTCGGAGGAGGCACAGTGAAACCACAGCACCAATCAAGTATGATCTTTCTGTCCTCAGAAACCCCCTCATATGTTTAGACCTCCCATGCACTTTTATACATTTTGTCTCATGGTTTCTTCCTGTACAAATAAGGTGCTGTAAATGGATAGCTATAGTTTTGGGTTTCATTTCAACAAAACCCCCTTCCTAGTTTTTTGAACCCCAAGCAAAATATGAGGACAGGCCCCACCTTCCATTACAAAAGCTGAAAGGGAGTGCATGATCCTTTTTCCAGTTTCTTGGCCACCCACGTGTGGGCACATATCTAGGCCCAGCCAACTGATGTCTCTTTATTAGAACTTGGAACCCGATGAAATGATGCAAAAGACCTGAAAGAATCAGAGATGATTCTGAGAAATTGAGCAGAGATGCACGTCCAGGAATGTGGCAGCAAGTGCCTAGGTTCAGCAGAGCCCAGCTACAGGGTGACAAGTGTCAAATGACAACATCCTAGTGGTGGCATCCCAAGATCTCCTTCCGTCGAATGAACTTGGCTGTGCTGAGTTTCCCTCAGTTCTTACCTTGCTTCTTCAGCATCTTCAATGATTTTGTGAACTATTCAATATCCTTTCATTGAATTCCTGTTTTGCTTAAGTTGTCTAGAATTTATTTTTAGTGAAAAATATAAACCAATTATGCCCTTACATTAAAACACACTCCACTGAGGCATCTCCTGTGATCTCATTGGAGAAAAGTGTGGACGTTATTTGTAATTTGACTCAGAATGATAGGATTAGTTTGGTACTAGTAACAACGGAGATAAGTAACTAACTTTTTGTGAAACTTCTTCCTGGGGTGAAACAAAATCTATTGTGGAAACTCTTTCCAATCATCTCTGGAAATTTATTAAGTGACCTAGTATATAATGATAATTTACCATGATATTTGATAATATAGTTTTGTGTGTTCAGAATAATTTCTTTTTTCTTTACCTTTGAAAATAATGCATTGATACTTATTTTTCTCCTAAATTGTCTGTTTTTATTTCCATAAAAGGTATTTATTGAATGTCTCCTTACTTTTAATATAACTAGGCATTGTGTGATCAAAGCAAAATAAATATGTTCTTGTTTCTGGAATTACTAAAGCTTTGAAAATGGACTTATCGACCTCAAACCAATGGGACATATTCCTACATGGCCTTCTCCCCTGTTAGGGTTCCCAGGGTAAGTGGTGATTCCTTTTCTGTCTTTTTAAAGATTTTAGAAATGCAGCTTCTTCTGTGGGCCACTAGGTGGAGTACTTCAGAGCAGGGTTTGTGGGAGTACAAAGCTAACTTCTGCTGCTTTTGCTTGATGCTTCTGCAGCTCCCTTGACTACTGTGGATGATAAGTAACCATTTTCTTCCTCTTCTTTCTTTTTTCCCCTCACTCTTTGGAGTGAACTTGAAACATTTAGGAAGTTTGTTCATCAACGTATACCGTGTTTATGAAAATCTGGCTAAGATAATATGGTAGGACTCCTTTGGTTATAAATAATAGAATTCAAACTCAAACTGGTCTAAGCCAAAAAATATATATTAATTTGTGGACTCGTATAATGGAAAAATCCAGGGTATAGCTTCAGAATGGCTGAACGCAGGGACTCAGGACTTGGCTCCTCTCCTCTTCCTTGCTTTTTCCTTCCCCATTGATTTTATTCTCAGACAAGTTTTCCCTTTGTGCTGCAATGTGGCCATCATCACTCCTCCAGTTTACATTTCCTTAGTTCCATAGCCCCAGAATAAAGCAAAAACAGAAACACTTCTAATAGTTTCAATAAGAGACTAGAGATTGACTTTGGGTGTGAGGCTTGGATTTCATGTCCATCTCTAGTTTCATCTGTGCCAGGATTAGAAGTCTATTCATTGGCCAGGCCTGTGTCACGAGCTCATACAGGGTTTCCACTGTCCACACAGTGCTTTGCAAGTATTAGAAAATGGCTCCCCTTTCTCCAGTTAGATGCAACCTTGTATCGGTGCATGTGGCTTGGAGAAGAACATGCAGGCTGGATTTCAACCCCCCTTTCTCCCTTAGCTGGGTTTCTTCCTTGAGTGAACAACATACTTGTTAGTAGCTGTCCTGTGCTTATTCCTGAAACTGGGGGTGAAATCAGCCCCCACGCGAAAACTGAAGGACAGAAGGTGGCTTCATCTAGGGTATCAGATAATGGCTAATAACAAAGGGAGGGGACAGTGGGTGCTGTGTAGGCAAAAGGAGCAAAAAATAATCCTAACCTGTCTAGACTTCATCTCAGAAACCATATGCAACCTTCTTCAATGGAAATATTTAACACTTCAGGAGTGCCAAGAAGGCTATAAGGAGCATATCTCTTAAGGACCTAAGTTAGGGCATTCTAGAATGTATGCTTTATGGATTTACCTTATAAATATATAACATTGACTAATACACACAGAAAATATATTGCAGAGTAACATAGATGACAGAACTTGAAATACATGACATTCTACCACAGTCTATCATTATTTTCCAACTTATCAAAAGACTCAGAGGATCTTTTTTTTTGTATTGATAAATTTCTAGCCAGAGCCCTATTTACTCGTGTCTTGAACAACAGAGTATTTGCAAATATATCTGAAGAAGGAAGAGAAAGAAAATGATTCCAAAAAAGCTGATAACATTAAGACAGCTTTTTATAGAAGATGTAAATTTGCAACCACAAATTAAAAACTTATAGGAGATACACAAAATGTGAAGAAAAATAAATGAAACCAAACCACTACAAGAAATAACCAAACTAAGAAGACAGCAAGAGAGGAAAAAAAAAAAAAGAACTGCAAAACATATGAAAAACAATTAACAAAATGCAAGTTACTCCTTACCTATCAACAATGACTTTAAATGTGAAAGGATTAAACTATCTAATTAAAAGACATAGAGTGGCACAATGCATAAAAGATACTCATCAGTACATATTTATAAGGGAGTCAATTTAGATATAAAGATATATAGAGGCTCAAAGTGAAGGGATGGGAAAAGATACTCTATGCAAATGGTAACCAAAAAAGAGCAAGGGTATCTATATTTAGATCAGAAAAAATAGACTTGAAATCAAAAACTGCCACTAGAGACTAAGAAGGTCATTATATAATGATAAAAGTTCACTTCAATGGGAAGATTGTAAATATATATCCACCCAACATTAGAACACCTAAATATACAAAGTTAATATCAACAAAGATAAGGGGAGAAATCAGTAACACTAAAATAATAGTAGGCAACTACAGTACCCCAAATTCAATAATGGATAGAACATCTAGGCAGGAATAAAAAAAAAGAGGAAACAGCTGACTTGAACAACACAGTAGATTAAACACTGACATATACAGAACTTTCCATCCAACAGCAGCAGAATATATATTCTTCTCAAGTGAACACAGAATATTCTCTGAGATAGATCAAATCTTAGGTCACAAGGCATCCTACAAATTTAAGAAGTTTGATATAATGCCAAGTATCTTCTCAGACCACAATGGAATAAAATTAGAATTCAATAACAAAGAAAACAGAAACATTTACAAAAATGCAGAAACTAAACAACACACTCTTGAACAACCATTGGGTAAAAGAAGAAATCAAAAGGGAATTTTAAAAATATCTTGAGACAAACAAAAATGAACATACAACTCAACAAAACTTACAGGATGCAGCAAAAGAAGTGCTAAGAGGGAAATGTTACAGTGATAAATACCTACATTAAAAAATAAGAAAGATCTCACTCGAACAACCTAACTTTGCAAATAAACAATTAGAAAAAGAAAAACTAACTAAACCCAAAGTTAGCATAATGAAGTAAATAATAAAGATTAGAATATAAATAAAATAACTATAAAATAAAAAACAATAGAAAAATCAAGAAAACTAGAGTTGAATTTTTGGAAATACAAACAAAAATAACAAACCCTTAGCTACACTAAGAAAAAAAGAGAAACTCAAGTAAATATAATCAGAAATGAAAATGGAGACATCATAACAAATGTGCAGGAATACAAATGATTATAAAGGACAATTAAGCAATTATATGACAATAAATTGGATAACCTAGAAGAAATGGATAAATTCTTAGAAAGATGCAATCTACCAAGGTGGAACAAAAAAGAAATAGAACAGACCAAAAGCAAGCAAAGAGATTTAATCAGTAATCAAAAATTTCCCAACAAAGAAAAGCCCAGGTGCAGACGCTTTCATGGGCAACTTCTACCAAACATTCAAAAAGAACTAACACCAAAACTTCTTAAACTCTTCAGAAAAAATAGAAGAGAGAATACTCTCAAACTCATTTCATGAGGCCGATGTTACCATGACTTAAAAGCTAGACGAAGACAACACAATAAAAAATAATTACAGACCAGTATCCTTAATGAATATAGATGCAAAAATTCTCAATAAAATACAAACTAGCAAACTGAATTCAAAAGCACATTGAAAAGGTCATACACCATGACCAATTGGAATTTATGTATGGGATACAAGGATGTTTCAATGTGTAAAAATTAATAATGTGATATACCACATTAACAGAACAAAAGATAAAAATAACATTCCAATAGATGCAGAAAACACATTTGACAAAATTCAATATACTTTCATGATAAAACTCTCAACAAAATAAGTATACAAGAAACTTACCTCAACACTATAAAGGCTGTATATGAAAAACCTATATCTAATATTATAATCAATGGGGAAAAACTGAAAGCTTTTTCTTTACTATCTGGAACAAGACAAGGATGTCTACTCTCATCACTCCTATTCAACATAGTACTGGAAGTCCTAGCCAGAGCAATCAGGCAAGAGAAAAAAAAGGCATCAAAATTGAAAGGAAGGATATAGTTACCTCTGTTAACAGAAGACAGGATTATTATACATTAAAACTCTAAAGACTCCACAGAAAATGGTTAGAAATAATACAGTCAGTCTTTCATATCTGCTGGGGATTTGTTTCAGGACCCCCTCAGATAACAAAATCTGTGATGATCAACTCCCTCATATAAAATTGTGTACAGTTGACCCTATGTATCCATGGGTCCACATCTGTGGATTCAAAACACCACAGATGGAAAATATGTACAAGTTAGGTTCATGGTTGATTGAGTTAATGGTTGCAGAACCCATTGATATGAAGGACTGACTATATAATAAATATACTAAAGTTGTAGGATACACAATTGACATACAAAAATCATTGCTATTTCTAAACACTAACAATGAATTGTCTGAAAGGGAAATTTAAAAAACAGTGTCAAATAAACTACTTTGGAACTAACTGACCAAAGAAGTGAAAGACTTAAACAGTACAAATTATAAAAGATTGATGACAGAAATTTAAACCAAAGTAAATTGAAAGACAACCCATGGATTGAAAGAGTTAGTACTGTATTATTAAAGTGTCCATATTACTCAAAGCAATCTACACATTTAATGTAATCCATATCAAAATCCCAATGGTACTCTCACAGAAATAGAAAAAAATGATCCTAAAATTCATATAGAATCACAAAAATCCCTGAGTGGCTGAAGCTATTTTGAGCAAGAACAGAGCTACAGGTATCACAGTTCCTGATTTCAAATTAAATTACAAAGCTGTAGAAAGAAAAACACTGTGGTACTGGCATAAAAACAGACACATAAACCAGTGAAACAAAATAGAGAACCTAGGCATAACCCACACATTTGCAACCATTGATCACCCTGGAAGGTGACAAGGAGACACTATAGGCAGAGGATATGCTCTTGACCAAATGGTGTTAGGAAAGCTGGATGTCTACATGTAACAGAATGAAATCGGATCCCTAGCTCACGCCTTATGTAAAAATTAACTCAAAGTGGATCAAACGTTTAAATGTAATCACTGAAACCACAAAACTCCTGGAAGAAGACAGGAGAAAACATTCTTGACATTGGTCTTGGCAATAATTTGTTTAGATATGATTCCAAAAGCACAGGCAACAAAGGCAAAATAGATAAATGAATTACATCGAACTAAAAAGCTTCTGCACAGCAAGGAAAACAACTAGTGAAATGATAAGGCCACCTATGAAATGGGGAAAATGTTTGTAAACCATATCTCTTATAAGGAGTTCAAAAAATAAGAAGGACACACACACATCAATTCCAAAATTATAAATAACCTAATTTTATTTTAAGGCAAAGAACCTAAATAAATACATCTCCAAAGAAGAAATTCAAATGGCTAACAGGTATAAGAAAATGTGCTCAACATCTCTAAACTTCAGAGTAATGCAAATCAAAACCACAATGAGATATCATGTCACACCTGTTAAAATGGCTATTATCAAAAAGAGAAGAGATAAGTGTTGGTAAGAATGTGGAGAAAAGGAAACCATTAAACACTATTGATGGGAATGCAAATTAGTAAAACACAGAAAACAGTATCGAGGTTCCTCCAAAAAAAATGGAAAATAGCACTGGCCTGGTGTGATGGCTCACACCTGTAATCCCAGGATTTGGGGAAGCCAAGGCAGGAGGCCAGGAGCTCCAGACCAGCCTAGGTAACATAGCAAGACCCCATCTCAGAAAAAAAATTAAAATTAGCCCGATATGGTGTTGTACACCTGTAGTCCCAGCTACTCAGGAGGCTGAGGTAGGAGGATCGCTTGAGCCCAGGAGTTCAAGGCTGCAATGAGCTATGATATTGCCACTGGACTTTACCCTGGATGACAGAGTGGGAACGATTTCAAAAATAAAAAAAAAGAACTACCACATAATCCAACAATTTCACTTTTGGATATATGTCCAGTGAAATTGACATAAGAGTCTTAGAGAGGTGTCTGTCATCCCGTTCATTGCAGCATGACACACAATGACCAAAATATGAAAATAACCTAAATGTCCTTTGGCAGAGGAACAGATGAATGGGTAAAGAAAATGTGATGTGTATACATAAAATGAAATATTATACAACCTTAAAAAAGAAGGAAATCCTTCTATTTGTGAAAACATGGATGGAGCTGGAAGATATTGCGCCAAGCAAAAATGCAAGACACAGAGACAACTACTTCATGATCTTACTTACATGTGGAATCTACAACAGTCAAATTCTTAAAAACGGAGACTAGGACAGTGGTTGCCAGGAGCTCAGGGAGGGGAAATGGGGTGATGTTAATTAAATTGTGCAATGTTCAAGTTATAATAATTTCTGGAGATATAATGCACAACATGGAACTACACTGTATCATATTCTTGTGTTCTGCTAAAGGACTAGATCATAAATTAATTACTGTCAACACACACACAATGGTAAATATGTAGAGATAATATGCTAATTTGCTTGATCATGGTGATCCTTTCAAAAAGTATAGAAATATCAAAACATTAAGTTACCTTAAATTTATACAATTTGTATATGTCATGTTATTATGATAAAGCTGTTAAGAAAGATTTAGTAAATCATGTCTACAACCTGGGAACTTTCTCATGACAGGGAGGGCTGCAGTAGGAAAATGGAATTTTGCAACAAGGATAGGGTGAGGGACATGGGAAATGGTTGATCAAGTATTTAAGAAATGACCTGGGTGGAAGCTACATCAAAGGGTATGAGCTTTAGCGCATCAGTCCGTAAACTTTTTGGTTTCAGGAACACTTAACATTTTTAAGAGTTATTGAGGACCCCAAAGAGCTTTTATTTATTTGGATTATGTCTATCTATATTTATCATATTAAACATTAAAACTGAGAAATTAAAAAAATAATATACTTATATGTTTACGTAAATCACATTTTTACTTAAAATTATCATTTTTAAGCAGTAAAGTTGGTGAGAACAGTGACATTGTTTTATATTTTTAGGTATGTCTTTAATGTCTGGTTTAATAGAAGAAGACTTGGTTCTCCTTTCTGCTTCTATGTTTAATTTCTTGTGACATCCCACGTCAGGTAGCTGGGAAACTCCAATTATACTTGTGAGAGAATGAAAGTGGAAAAGGTAAACAAAACCTGTGTATTTTTATGAAAAGACTTTTGCCCTTGCAGAGCCCCTGGAAGGGACTCAGGGACTTCTCAGGGTTCTCTGGCTCATGTGTTCATAGAGTAGAGGGTAAGTCCGCAAGAGAAAGCAGTGATTGGCTGTGGGAGGTCTTGCTGAGAGGTGGTAGAAAAGAGGTTGGATGTGGAGAAAGTATGGTCCTTGTTTTCATTTCTTTTCCCTTTCCTTTGGCCTCTTGTTGCTGGGATTTCCTCTTTAGATGACCGTATCATAAATTAGAAACAGCATTAATGAACATTCTTGATACTGCCTAATGAAAGTTTTTGTTTTGTCTTCCTGAGTCTTGATACATTTCAAGAAGTCTTCTATCTCATTTATTTTTCCCACCCAAATTTGGAATTTAGGAAGAGTCGATATAGCTATATTTAGATGATTTATCTCCCTGAAGACATTTTGGGATCATTTATAAATCTCTATAAATAATGCTCTGATGTCCCTGTATTTTGTTTAGAGACTGGGTCTTGCCGTGTTGTCTGGAGTGGAGTGGCTCGAGCGTAGCTCACAATACACAATACAATCAAACTCCTGGGCTCAAAGTGATCCTTCCACTCAGCCTCCACAGTAGCTAGGTCTGCAGGTGTGTGCCAGCACGCCTAGCTTTTGATTACTATTATCATTTTTGTAGAAATGGGGGTTTCATTATGCTGCCCAGGCTGGTTTTCCGACTCTTGGCCTCAAGTGATCCTCCTGCCTTCCGTCATCTGAGGAGCTGAGATTACAGGTGTAAGCCACCATGCTGGTCCTGATGTCATTTAAATACAAACATGATACTATATTCCTTGTAGAAAGTGCTACATAAATATAATTTTTTTGAAATAGGGTCTTGCTGTGTCACCCAGGCTGGAATGCAGTGGTATGATCACACTCACTGCAGCCTGGACCTACTGGGCTTAAGCAATCCTCCCACCTCAGCCTTCCAAGTAGCTGGCTCCTGAGTTATGAGCCACTAAGCCCAGAGAATTTTTCAATTTTTGGTAAAGATCGGCGTGTCACTGTGTTGTCCAGGCTGGTCTTGAACTCTTAGGCTCAAGTTACCCTCCGCCCAGGTGTCCCAAAGTGCTGGGATTACAGGCCTGAACCACTGCACCGGGTCCTAAAAATTCATTCACTTTCTTTTTTTGTCCACAAGGTACTGCTGTTTCCCTTCTAATAACATGAGACCGCTCACTTGAGAACATCAAGAACACGACATTCTCTAAAATAAATCACAGTAGTTCCTTTCCCATAACTATTAAGTTTTCAAGGTGTTATCAGGTTTATTTCATAGAAAGAATGTGTAAAATTTTTCATGTAGAAACATAATCTTTTAGCAATGAGTTAGTTAAAAAATTGGCATTGTCAGAATGAAGATTTCCTTTTCCCTATAATTTTATTTATTATAATTATATTTTTAATGATATGAATTGCTTTATAAAAACTCATTACATTATATACCCAATGACTGTGAAATCGTCTGCTTTGAAGCACAGTAAAATCATCAATCAGCATAGTGGGTCTAACACAGTTCCTTCCATTTTAAGAAAGCTATTTACACTCCAATTTGCAAGTTGGACTTTACAAAAATTAAAACATTTATAAAATATACTAACTATGATTGTTTTAAAAAGTAATGTTTTTTTATGGTAAGGAAATAAATTGAAGCTTTGTGTTGGAAAATGCAGAAAACAAATCGGCATTCTTTATAAATAGATCTTACTGCTGGTTTAGAAATTACCTTATGTGCTTTATAGATGATGGAAAATGAAATCAGCTGCAGTTAGCAGTGTGCATGCATCGTATTTGCTTTGTCACTTTCAGAAAGGTTATGGAATATTGGCAGGTCAGGATTCTCAAAATGATAAGTTCTAAGAAAAGGCTAAATGAAAAAGAATTTTAAAAGCAAGCCTAGTTGTTTAATATATACATGGACGAGTTATGGGGAAATCCTGGACTGGGAGCTAGCAGATCTATGTTCTGACTTTTACTAAGTCATTGGCTGCTACAGCAGGCCAAGCAGACATAACTGCCAAGGCTGCCTGGGAGTTGGGTTGATTGGCAATTGGCACAGGGAGAGAGGACAATTGCCAGAGTAATGGCCAAATATTCAGGTTTCATGTTCAGTGAAGCAGGACGTGCATTTGTATCCCAAGGGCAAAACTGACGCTAGAATCTGGGCCTCCTGGCTGAATCTGAGTCCACAGTCTGATGAGTAGGATGAAGTAGTCTCAGAAATCCAAGCCAGCCAGAACCCATGAGGTGTGCTCTGCAGATATTGGCTGGTGAGCTGCATTAAGATGTTTCATTCCATTGAGCAAACATTCTTTGGTTGGTTAGGTTAGCATCCCACAAGAGCAGAGACAAATTCTTCAGAATTTGTCCATGAAGCTATAGTCCCAGAGCTTATATTTCAAGGGAGGAGGGAAGAAACAGCATCTCAGGATGGTAGGTGATTACAGCTAAACTGAATTCTGAAAATAAAAGGAGCCCTATGTCTTTGTCTGCTCAGGCTGCTGCTACAAACAACTGTAGACTGAGTGGCTTAAACAGCATATACTTGTTTCTCACAGTTGTGGGAATTCAATGATTAAAATCTGGACCAGCAGAGCCAGTGTCTGGTGAAGGCCCTCTTACTGGTTTGCAGGTGTTCTTGTTGTATCTTCACATGGCTGAGAGAAGAGGGCTCTAGTCTTCTGCTCTTCTTATTAGGATGCTAACCCCATTGTGGGAACTCCAACCTCATCAAAATCAAATTACATCCCAAAGTGCAGTGCACAGCATCTAATCTAATCAAATCAGTTGTCCCTTGAATAAAATTCTAGCTCCTATAACAAGACTTCAAATTATGACTTGGTTGTTGCCAAAACTGTCTATCTGGATTTGCTAGAAATCAAATATACTTGAATATTTCCTCTAAAGATTTTCTCATTCCTACCCTATTGTTTATATTTACAGAATTCTTAAATAATTACATATACAAGGCTTCTATTAGCTCTGACAAGAGCTTCTATTAGCTTTGACTATCGCAAGCAGCTTTATAGCACTGTAGGTAAAAGCATGTGCTTTGAAATCATACAATAAATTTATTAAATGCTAAGCACTTTATATTCACTATTTAATTTTATCATCTTAATCACCTTCATTATTAACTCCATTAAACCCTATTTGTTGGCTACTTATATTATTCTGATTTTGCAAATCTAAATTTGAGAGGCTTTCCCTATGTCACATAAGTTAATAAGTGGCATAGCTGGGATTTGAATTAAAGTCTACCTGATTCCAAGATCTATTTACCATTGTTCTACAATATGTACTTTTTAGGTCCCTGAGGATGCTAACAGCCTTTCTTTTGAAATCTGCCTTCTTTCTGGATAGCAGCTTTATTAATATGTGATTAGGGCACCATATTTCAGGCAACAAATTCTTCGAAATCTTTCATTTCCATAGTGAGATAAGGATCAGTTCTGTGGCATTGTCAGCCAGAAAACATCATTTGGAGACAATCTTGTACAAGAAGTAGAAGATACAGCTGGGGGCCTGCGGAGGACAGAAAGCTCACAGCTTCTGTCCATACCCCTTTCACTTCCTCCTCAAGGAGATGGACCTCTGTGGTTGGTCAAGCTTAAGGATCTTTTATGGGCCACAGATAATGGTGAAATCTTCCTAACTCTAGGTGAAGATTAATGGGCAAGTTGGAGAGTTAAGGTAGCTTGTGGCTGCTCCTTTTAGAAGAAAGTCTGATCATTGCTCTCTTATTTGTGGAACCCTTCTGTTCCCCCAAATGCTTGATAAGACATGCCTGAGGACCAATCCTGTGTCAGTAGACTTCATATCTACTCTCTTCTACCAATCACACAACTACAGACAAATAAGAAAAATAAAACAAAGCTCAGACACACTCCCCTGGCATGGAGGCCACTCTCTGGCTGGCTGCTTTTCTCTACCCTGGCACCTCCTGGGCATTTGGCTCTTTCTTAGATCAAAGCGAGACATGGGTTTGGGATTAAAGAGAAGTAGGTGAAAGGGGTCTCTGGCCTGTTTTGGCATTAGACCATGTAAATAACAGAGTTCTGGCTTAAGCTCAGCTCTGTAGAGCTTTCTCTGTGTTTGGGGAAAATCTCCGATAGTAATGAAGTGATATTTTACTGTGCTTCGTTTTCTGTACATATATCTCTTTCTTAGGTATGTTGTGAGGAGATTCGTTCCCTGGACGAATATATTTCTCAAATAATAAGACTTGAAAGTCAAAATGATGCCTCAATCCATGGACTACAGAATAGATGTTGTGTTGGCAGGCATGAAACCAGCATGTGTTTCCCTGTACATCTCCATTAGAACTCTTTAGTCACCAGGTACATTGTCAAAAAGCTGAAGTATTTGAAGTGAATCTTTTTTTCTGAGCTGTAGGTCTCAACAGTGAGATTAAAATACTCAGTAACCCATGCAGTAAACAGCTCTGATATCATCCAAGTGTTGTTGTTCCATTTATAGAGCAGGGGTAGTGTAGATTTAGCATAATTCTTAAGAGGTGCCCTAGGATTTATGGAATAACAAATGAGCATTGGCTTGTAACAAGACAGTCAGCCTGTCCTTTAAATCTTTTTCTTTTTCTTGCTATAAGGTCTCACTCCATTACCCAGGCTGCATTGCAGTGGCATGATCTTGGCCCACTCCATACTTGACCTCCTTGGCCCCACAATCCTCCCACCTCAGCCTCCTGAGTAGCTGGGACTAGTAGCATGCACCACCATACATGGCTTATTTTTATTTATTTATTTATTTATTTTAGAGACAGGGTTTCACCATGTTGCCCAGGCTGGTCTGAAGCTCCTAAGCTCAAGCCATTCCCCCACTTCAGCCTCACAGAATGCTGGGATTGCTGGCGTGATCCACTCTGTCTGGCCTCTAAATTCGTGTTATGGAGACTCATTTTCATGGTTAAAATGTCCTGAATTGACTGTGGCCTGTTGGGAGGTGGGATGGAGGAAACTACTTATGGAAAATGAAGAAGAAAGGAAGCACACCAGAAGCAAGAAAGTGTCATCAATTTTTACATCATGGACTCCATGATAAAAAGAAAGTACAGGTGGCTTGTTATCAAGGCTGACCATTGGACTGTGGACTGCACCTACATCTACCAGGTTCTTCTGCATAGTCCCAGTTTTAAATTTTTGACCTGATATTCATGAACACAGTGCTACTGGTCAGACCTTTGTCCAGGTTTAAGCTTCAGAACATAATGTCTTCATGCAGTGGGAGGCCTGGTTAGGGTTATGACTCTGCCCTGGGGCATCTGCCCCTTCTGACCTGAAGGTAAACTTGGCATCTACTACTTACCTCTACACTTGAACAGCCAAGGATGGGCTGAGCACAGAGGCTCACATCTGTAACTCCAGCACTTTGGGAGGCCAAGGCAGGAGGATTGCTTAAGGCCAGCAGTTCAAGACCAGCCTGTGCAATATAGTGAAACCTCATCTCTGTAAAAACTAAAAAAACCGAGGATGGTGGGTGACAGGGAGCAGTTCAACATGGGAAACTGAGAGCTGGAAGGACCCTTAGACCAGCCCCCCATTAACAGATGAGACTCTACCCTGAGATTATAGCCTAAGGTAATGCATTGAGCTTTTCTAGAGATTTGAAAATAATCAATCCTAAAACCCCCAAGCATACTGCTAATGTTTGCTATTGAATAATGTTTTCTAGTCTGGGTGTGGTGGCTCCTGCCTGTAATCCCAACACTTTGGGAGGTTGAGGCAAGTGGATCACCTGAGGTCAGGAGTTCGAGACCAGCCTGGCCAACATGGTGAATCCCCGTCTCTACAAAAATACTAAACATTAGCAGGCCATCGTGGTGTGCGCTGGTAATCCCAGCTGCTTGGGAGGCTAAGGCAGGAGAATCCTTTGAACCTGGGAGGTAGAGGTTGCAGTGAGCCAAGATCACACCATCGCACTCCAGTCTGGGCTACAAGAGTCAAATTCCATCTCAAAACTAATAATGATAGTAATAATGTTTTCTACAAGCAAGGAGTTACTTTGTACTGTGAACTGGTGTGAAGGGATCCCCCATGTGTAAGCTTTTGGATTGATGACAGTTATTTCTAGATCACAGAGGTGGGAATGCTTGTTGATCATCTTCTGTGTTCTTTGTTATATTGATTGATTTTTTAAAATTAGCATTTTTATAACAATAAAGTCATAAAAATAAGTAACTAAAATAAAGTAATCTAAAAAGGCCGAGCATGGTGGCTCATGCCCAAAATCCCAGCAGTTTGGGAGGCCGAGGTGGGTGGATCCCCTGAGGTCAGGAGTTCAAGACCAGCCTAGCCAACATGGTGAAACCCCATCTCTACTGAAAATACAAAAATTAACCAGGTGTGGTGGCAGACACCTGTAATCCCAGCTACTCGGGAAGTTGAAGCAGGAGAATCGCTTGAACCCAGGAGAAGGTGCTTGCAGTGAGCTGAGATTTTGCCATTGCACTTCAGTCTGGGTGACAAGAGCTAAACTCCATCTCAAAACAAAACAAAACAAAAATTTAATGTAATCGAGTTGAATATTTAAACTTTTAATTGACATTTCAAATTAGATTCTAATTCCACTTAAAAGAGCATCTCATAGAAGCAAATGTACTCAATTATATTAACTCTGTGGTTTCATTTAAGCAATTTGTTTTGTGAAGGGACACAAAGCCAACCAGATTTTAACAGTGTATAAATATGTATTTATTAATTTAATTACAATGACAATACTCTCAACTCCCCATTTGAATATAGGAGAGAATCTGATCTGTGTTCTGGGACAGCATGCACTATAGGTGTGTGGAAATACTGATGCCCTCAGCTGTGTGGCAGGCTCAGTGGGACCTGGAGTGCAGGAGCCCCTGGGCCATTCACCTCTGGCCACAAAAGTCATTGTCCATTTACCCCCAACTGCTATAGAAATACTATTTTCAGTGGTTGTTATGATGCAAAAGAAAAGAAGAAGGGAGATTTATTAAATTTTTACATGTAAGATATGTTAGTAAAGAAAGTCTACTTTCTTCTGGCTTAACTAAAAATCTATACTAGTATTTATGCCTTTTGGAAATTAGAGATGTCAATTTAAATATTATGAAGCAAAGCAACTGAGTATTAGGTAAGACAGCCAAATACAACTGCAGAATTGTAGAGGTTTTGTGTTACATGTATAAGAATATTTCATAGCAATAATCTTTTAAGACTCTGAAGACACTCCACAGTGAAGCAGAAATTAGAACAGAATTAATAATACTGTGTATGCTCTCAGTTCACCAATTTATCAAAACTAGCTTTATGATTCAGGAGGGTGTCTGCTCTTTTGCAATTGGAAGAAAAGAAAGAATATTTTATTTTTTGACTCTTTAGATTTTCTTCACTAACAGTATTTCCAAGGCTAAGTAAGGGGGTTGCAAGTAACACCAAGAGAAAAAAGCAGTCTTGAGCAACTTTTTAAAAATGGTCTTAAAATATGGAAAATGAAGCCAGGTGTGGTGGCTCACTCTTGTGATCCCAGCACTTTGGGAGCCTGAGGTGGGAGGATTGCTTGAGGCCAAAAGTTTGAGACCAGCCTGGGCAGCATAGCAAGATCCCCATCATTGCAAAAAACAATTTTTAAAAAAAATTAGCTGGATATGGTGGTGCATGCCTTAGAGTCCCAGTTACTTGGGAGGCTGAGGTAGGAGGAGTTCTTGAGCCCAGGAGTTCAAGTCTGAAGTGAGCTATCATTGCACCACTGTCCTCAAGCCTGGGCAACAAAGTGAGACCTCTGCCTGTCTCTCTCTCTCTCTCTCTCTCTCTCTCTCTCTATATATATATATATATATACACACACATATAAATATATAATATATATAATTTCCATATATATATGTATATATACATATATGGAAAAGGGAAGGGGCCAATAATATCAAAGACATTGAAGAAAAGGAAAGATTTGTCCTGCCAAATATCAGGACTTTTATAAAGCTACAGCAATTAAGACAGTGTGGTCCTCACTGATACACTGACTAGTGAAACAGAATAGAGTTCCCAAGCAAATCTCCACAAATTTAATCTTCGATATGTGATGTAGGTGACATGGCAGATCAGCAAGGAAAGAAAGGACTTTTCAATAAATAGAATAGAAAAATAATGGTTATTGATATAAGAAACAAAATGAAATTATATTCCTACTTCATTCTATATACAAACATTAAATTCCAGATGGACAAAAGACTTACATGTCAGAAAAAAACTTTAAAACTTTTAGTAGAAAATGTAAGTGAATGAGACACAAAAAGCCATTTAACCATTAAAAAAGAGTAGACATTTTGACTATCACAAAATTAAGAACTTTTTACATCAAAAAGTGGAAAGATAGGCTGGGTACAGTGTCTCAAGCCTGTAATCCCAACAGTACATCACCTGAGATCAGGAGTTTGAGACCAGGCTGGCCAACATGGTGAAACCCCATCTCTACTAAAAATACAAGAAATTAGCCAGGTATTAGTGGCAGACACCTGTAATCCCAGCTACTTGGGAAGCTAAGGCACGAGAATGGTCTGAACCCGAGAGGTGGAGGTTGCAGTGAGCCACTGCACTCCAGCCTGAATGACAGAGCGAGACTCTGTCTCAAAAACAAAAAATAGAAATTAAAAAATAAAAGTAAAAAAGTGAAAAGATAAACTATAAATTAGAGAAGATATTTGCAGTAACTGAAACCTACAAAAGATTAATATCATATCAACTAAGTATAAGGAGCTCCTATGAATTAATTTTAAAAATAGCAACCCAACAGAAAATTGGGAAAAGACATTAATAGGGATTTCACAAAAGAGAAAGCCTGCAAAACATAAAAATTTTCTCAACCTCATTAGTAATCAGGGAAATGCACAAGATACTTCACATCTATTCTCTCCACAAATATTAAGAAGTTTGACAATACGAAATGTATTAGTCCATATTCACACTGCTGATAAAGACCTACCTGAGACAGGGAAGAAAAAGAGGCTTAATTGGTTTAAGGGTTCCACATGGCAGAGGAGGCCTCAGAGTTATGGCGGTGGATGAACAGCACTTCTTACATGGCAGTGGCAAGAGAATATGAGAAGGAGGCAAAAGAAGCAAAAGATGAAACCACTGATAAACCCATCAGATCTTGTGAGATTTATTCACTATCACAAGAATAGCATGGGAAAGACTGGCCCTAAAGATTCAACTACCTCCCCCTGGTTCCCTCCCCGAACACATGGGAATCCTGAGCAATACAATTCAAGTTGAGATGTGGGTAGGGACATAGTCAAACCATATTATTCTGCTCCTGGCCCCTCCAAATCTCATGTCCTCAGACTTCAAAACCGATCATGCCTTCCCAACAGTCCCCCAAAGTCTTAAATCATTTCAGTATTAACCCAAATGTCCACTTTCCAGTCTCATCTGAGACAAGGCAAGTCTCTTCTGCCTATGACCCTGTAAAATCCAAATCAAGCTAGTTACTTCCTAGATACAATGGGGGTACAGGTAATTGAGTAAATACAGCCATTCCAAATGGGAGAAATTTGCCAAAACAAAGGGATTACAGGCCCCACGCAAGTCCAAAATCCAGCAAGGTAGTCAAATTTTAAAGCTCCAAAATGATCTCCTTTGACTCCATGTTTCACATCAAGGTCATGCTGATGCAAGACGTGGGCTCCCACAGCCTTGGGTAGTTCTGCCCCTGTGGCTTTGCAGGGTATAGCCCACCTCCTGGCTGTTTTCATGGGCTGATGTTGAGTGTCCACAGCTTTTCCAGGCTCATGGTGAAAGCTGTCAGTGAATCTACCATTCTGGGGTCTGGAGGAGAGTGGCCCTCTCCTCACAGCTGCACTAGGAAGTGCCCCAGTAGGGACTCTGTATAGGGGCTCTGACCCCACATTTCTCTTCTGCACAGCCCTAGCAGAGGTTCTCCATCAGAGCACCACCCCTGCAGCAAACTTCTGCTTGGACATCCAGGTGTTTTCAAACATCCTCTGAAATCTAGGTGGAGGTTTCCAAACCTCAATTCTTGACTTCTATGCATGTGCAGGCTGAACACAACATGGAAGCTGCCAAGGCTTGGTGCTTGCACTCTCAAGGCCATGGCCTGGGTTCTATGTTGTCCCCTTTCAGCCATGGCTGGAGGGGCTGAAACACAGAGATACAAAGCCCTAGTCTACACACAGCACAGTGAACCTGGCCCAGCCCAGAAATCCATTTTATCCTCCTAGGCCCCCGGCTTGTGATAGGAGGGGCTTCTGTGATGACCTATGACATGTCCTGTAGACATTTTCCCCATTGTTTTTGGGATTAACATTCAGCTTCTTGTTACTTATGCAAATTTCTGCAGACAGCTTGAATTTATCCTCAGAAAATGGGATTTTCTTCTCTATCACATTGTCAGGCTGCAAATTTTCCAAAACTGTATGCTCTGCTTCCTTTATAAAACCGAAGGCCTTTAACATCACCCAAGTCACCTCTTGAATGCTTTACTGCTTAGAAATTTCTTCCAGCAGATACCCTAAATTATCATTCTCAAGTTAAAAGTTCCACAAATCTCTAGGACAGGGGCAAAATGCTGCCATTCTCTTTGCTAAAACATAACGAGAGTTACCTTTGCTCCAGTTCACAACAAGTTCCTCATCTCCATCTGAGACCACCTCGGCCTGGACCTTATTGTTCAAAACACTATCAGCACTTTTGTCAAAGTCATTCAGCAAGTCTCTAGGAGGTTCCAAATTTTCCCACATTTTCCGGTGTTCTTCTGAGCCCTCCAAACTGTTCCAATCTCTGCCTGTTACCAAGTTTCAAAGTCACTTGCACATTTTTGGGTATCTTTTCAGGAGCACCCCACTCCACTGGTATCAATTTACTGTATTAGTCTGTTTTCACACTGCTGATAAAGACATACCCAAGTCTGAGAAGAAAAAGAGGTGTAAAGAAAAAGAACTGTAATTGGATTTACAGTCCCACATGGTGGGGGAGGCCTCAGAGTCATGGCAGGAGGTAAAAGGCACTTCTTACATGGCAGCAGCAAGAGAAAATGAGGAGGAAGCCAAAGCAGAAACTCCTGATAAACCCATCAGATCTCATGAGACTTATTCACTATCATGAGAATCATACAGGAAAGACTGGCCTCTGTGGTTCAATTACCTCACCCTGGGTCCCTCCCCTAACATGTGGGAATTCTGGGAGATAGAATTCAACCTGGGATTTGGGTGTGGACACAGCCAAACCATATCACCATATATGGAGAGACTGGATCAACAAGATCATCTCGAACTAATACAGGAGGTGAGAGTTTAAATTAGAACAACCACTTTGGAAAGCAATTTGGATTATCTTATAAATTTGAGCATTCTCATATGTTATGGCAAAGTAATTCCTCTGCCATAGGCCCTGGAGAAACTCTTGCCCATATGTACCAGAAGTATTAAAAAAAAATGCTCATGTAATGCCATTCATAATAGCAAAAATCTGGAAATAAGCCAAATGTTCATTAATAGGAGAATGGGTAAATTAATAGGAGAATGGGTAAATAAATTATACCCTTAAAAACTAAATAATATGTCATTTAGGGTAATCATATGTATGCAATCAAACAATGTTTTTTTTTTTTTAAAGGAAGAGAATCCTAAACATAAATTCAGGGTATTAGTTACCCTCGGGCTGAAGGTGGAAAATCAGAAAAAAGGACAGAGGAGGAGCAGATGTTAGGGTCAGAACCCTAGTTCTTTGGTTGTGTTGTAAGTTCACAAGTGATTACCATATTGTTCAAATACATTTACACAGAGGCTCAGGCACAGACAAGGATGAAATAGGAGCCAAGGTGTGCTATGAGCCAAGGATTATGATTAATCCAATTTTGAGCACTTTAAGTCATTTGAAAAACAGAAAAGCAAAACAACAAAATAATTTTTAAGAAATTGAATATAGGGTGCTATGCTCTGAATGTGTCCCCCTAAAATTAATCACCAATGTCATAGGATTAGGAAGTAGGGCTTTTAGGTAGTGATTCAGTCATGAAGGGAGAGTCTTCACAAATGGGTGTAGGATCCTTACACAACTGGAAGGAGTGGGCTTCCCCTGTTTTGCCCTTCCGCCTTCTGCCATGTGAGGACACAGTGCATCTCCTCCTGAAGACACAGTGCACAAGGTACTATCTTGGATGCAGAGACCAGGCCCTCACCAGACACCAATCCTGCTGGCACCTTGATCTTGGACTTCTAGCCTATGGAACTGTGAGAAATACATTTCTGTTCTTCAGAAATTACCCAGCCTAGTGTATTTTCTATATAGTAGCACAAACTCATTAAGGCACAATGCCTCTTGTCATTTTCTTCTACAGTTTTCTTTGTTGCCTCTTTAGCACTGGGTCATTTTATATTTGATCCTTCATAATACCTCTTACTTTCGGTTTTTCACATTTCTGTTCCAAGTGTATTCTTAGATACATATTTTCCACTATTAGTTAGCCTCAGGGGTTGCCAGGGAGTGTGTGTTTCTGTGCCACCACTGTAGGACTGTGTGTGTGTGTGTGTGTGTGTGTGTGTGTGTCCCGTTCTCTCTTCTCTCTCTGTCTCTCACCCTCTGTGTGTTTCTTTCCCTCTCTCTGTCAGTCTGTGTGTGTGTGTGTTTGTGTGTGTATGCCTGTGTGTGTGTGTATCTTTGGACGAATGTGCTCTGTTCACCAAAATGCAAATTTTTGCATATCGGCCAGTCTTTGTTGAGCCTCTTTCTGTGTCTCTGCCTGGGTCCCCTGGCCGGTTGTCCGTCATTTTCACGGCGGTTCCACTTTGGGTTTGTGAAGTCCTCGATCATGTGAGGAGACGCGTCAGTCCCGGAGCAATCGAAGTCTCATCCCCATCCTGAGCGGCCACTTTTCTAAGATCAAGAGGACCACACTCCAGCCCAGGACAAAACCCCACAGCAGCTCATTGTCCGGCAGGAGAGGAGCAGACCCACCTCCAAGAAGATGGTTGTACCCCTGCACGGCTCTTCTCTGAGCAATGAAGCCACACCACGATACAATTCTGAGGAGGAAGCCGGGAATGGGAGACGGCAACAATCCCTGTCCCTGGAATGCTGGCCTCTCTGGACAAGTCACACATTTCACACCCCTCCCCTTATGCCCGTGGCAGTGGCAAGGTCCTGTAACCTGCCTGGGCTCTGGCCTCTGCTCTGTCCTCCCTCTTGCTCTGTCTCCCCTGTTTCTGAGGGGCCTAGTTGCCTCTTGGTCTGGCTAATAACTTCTACGAAGATCGCTTCCCAGTCCATCAGGGAGACACTTTCTGGAGATGCGTGACATGACTCTTTCTCTCTCCAAACCTGTTTCTGCTGGATTGGGCAGGTCTGATAAGCCTGGAACACTTGGCTTCCATGCGTGTCTCAGACAGGGAAGCTTCTTTGGTCTCCTTGCTTCACCTCATGGGTGGGTGGATTGCCTAGAATAAGCGCTAGGTGATCATGACTGGCCTTGTCTTCTAGGACAGGTGGTGTCCCATTTCCTCTGCAAGTCCTGTCTCACAAATGAGGGATATCCTCTCCTCTACTCATAGGTGGACTGATTCCTTGAATCTTTTGGCTGTAATGAATGTCAGGAAACCAAAGGAACTGGGCTGGGCCTGGGGATGGGTTTGGGGCTGGGTGCAGGGAAGGTTGCATCAGGGCTACCTGGGCGGTGGAGGCTTCGGGGTGGGGTGAATGTTGCAGAAACCTCTGTGCTCCTCTGGCAGGCATTTCAAAATGTGGCTTGGACTGAGGCACAGGCCCCATCCAGGTTCCCAGGTCTTCTTTGAGTTCCCTTGGCACTCAGGGAAAGGCCACTTGTTTCCCGTTTCCACTGGGCACATGCCTGGACACCATTGTTGGTTTCGCCATCACCCCATATGCCTCCGGTGACGCACATTCACACCATCTGCTGTGGGATACGCCAGTGCCACACGTGATCGCATTGTCTCCACCTCTGCTTCGCACCATCCCTGTTTGCACATGTCCTGGAAAGCGGTGTCCGCTTGCAGGAGCCCCAGGGCTTTTAAAAGCGGGGCACGCCACTGCTCTTTCAACGGAGGAGGGAGGCAGAGGGCTCACGGATCAATGAACTTTCAGCTGACACCACGCTTTGAGGGCCATGGGATCATTCTGTGCTGCAGCGAGGACCTGCCTGCCTCACCAGATGTGCTGAGCCCATCCTTTCTAATCCAGAGGGGTCCAAACTAGGATCTGAAGAGGAGTCCTGAGAACCCAGCAGGTGCCCTGAAGATCCCCCTCCATCGGTGGAAGTCGGCTCAAGGAGGTCCTGAAGACTGGACTCCTGGGGGTTTGGCCCGGGGACAGGATACTCAAGGACTCCTCTCCCACCCCGCCCCAAACTGGACCTCAGCCCCCACGCCACAGCCCCCACTTTCTCCCCAGAGCTGAGGGACAGAGAATTGCGACTAGAAATTCGATCGATTGCTACGAGGGACCACGTGGCCAGGGGCTGGCCAATGACCAGGCCGCCCAGGATGAGTAATAATGGAAGCAATTTGTAACTTTCAGTAACTCTCTAGGCCTGGGTACCGGAGGGAGGGAGGCGGGCAAAGGAAGGGAGATGGGCACCCCCAGTCTTTCCATCCTCCTCATTCGTCTAGGTGCACCCGAATCCCCTATTCCTTATTTCCCGTATCACTCAGGCACTGGCAGCGTCCTTTGCCCACTCCTGTTGGCCGCGGCGGCTCCAAAGCGAGGTAAGCTGGTCCTCTACCCCTCAAACTCTTCACAACCTTCACCCCGTTTACTAGCACCTGCAAACCACAGCCTCCCTTCCTGTCCCATTAGTGAATTTAAATCGGATTTTGTTTTTCCTCTTAGTTGAAAGAAAAAAATCTTTTTGTATTCTTTTGTGTAACCTATCTCGGATTTGGAGAAAATTTTAATTCAAATTAATACACTTATATTGGGGGGGGTGAGTGGTACTTTCCTCCTTTTCAATAAATTTCTATACTTGCTACTTTATGGAGAGTTTACTTTTCTTTGGGGATGAGTTACACCTTATGTTTTCACATGTGTTACTTCTTTAATGATAAGTGCAACTCCTTTCTCCATTCCATCCTCCAATTTTGCTATTTATAAATATCACCTAATGGATTTAGAGTTTATTCATTTTTCTCCTCCCTCACTAGTTTTTCAGCTGTTACCGAATCACCACAATTTATTTTTCTCTGTATGTGGATGAGGTTTTGTGTTGATTCCTCTTTTTGTTTTGTAAATGAATTTATTGTTTGGGAAACTCTTGGGGTGGTGTGTGTAAAAAAGGTCTTTTGATTAATTCCAACCTCTCCTCTTCTGAAGAACAATTTGCTTGAAATTTTTGTGTATTTTCCTCATTTTTATTATGTTTAAATTTGAGGTATTTTACCTTCTTTAAAACCTGACCTCTTTTTAAAATTTAACCTTTTGCATGTTAAACCATTTTTAAGGTTTTTATTTTATAAACTGCAATGGTTAGTAGATTTACTTGTCTTTCCCTGACCTCCTTCACGCTCCTGCCTCCTCCATCTCAAAACTCCCATCCCCAGCTTCCACAATTCTCAGCTTCCAACGGACTCATCCTCCCCTCTCCTCCCAGCCAAGGAGGGATGCCTGGGAAGTAGACAGTGTCCTTCTTGGGTCAGAACCTATGCTCTGGTTCTAGTTCAGGACACCTCCAGTCTCACCTCCAAGCTGGCAAAACGAGTGAGAGCAGAATTTCTGTTCAACTTTTTCATTTGGGACTAAGTTCTTTCCACTTGGCTGTATTCTGGAGAACTCTGATACATGAAATTGAATTTTAAATTCTCATTTTTTCCTTAAATTCTAAGAAAAGTGCAGGCAGATTGTTTTTCTTCCTTAAATGTAAGCTGTTAGCTTAGGGGTCAGCCCTTTGGGTCTTTTACCTCCTGGGGGAGACTTCTCAGAGAGACATACAGTGTTGATTCTTCCTTTTAGTTTTTGTTAAGGTAGAAGGGGCAGGGATTGAGGAAGCCCAAATTGATCCCTGGCTCTAGCTCTGAACAAAGAAGGGTAGAGAGCTGGCCTGGGGACTTGTTCCTTTTGTCAGTAAGGTTTGGCTTAGGAGAGAGTTTGAAGTAAATCCCAGCCCTGAGGAAATTCTTCTTTTTAGCATTACTGTGAAAATAAACTCTTAAAATGGTGTGACATGGCTTCAAACTATTCAGATTCCTTGAAGTAACAAAAATAAACTTACAAGAGTAATTTGTGTTTCCCAGAGATCCGCCTCCAGTGACTCCATTTCTCTCAGGGAAACAGAACCCAACTGGGCAGAAGCAAAACTGCCACCCCTCCGCTTTCAGGTCCCCAGTCACATTGACATTCTGGGCACATTTGGCCCAGCCCCCGTCCCTGCTTCTCCCAAGTATGAATCTAAGTTACTATTAATAAGGGGCCGCTCCAAGTTAATTGGCATTAAAAGAATTCATTTCAATTTGTTAATATTAAATGAATGCTCTGCACTTTAGCTCCCTTCTTCGCCCTGGATTCCCAGATGAGTGATGGGAAGAGGGGGCAGGGAAGTAGAATGAGGATTTTATTTCTGGCTCTCCAGCTTAGCCACTGTGGTGCCTCCCCTGGGGGTGTGCGATTAGGCACAGTGGGGGACGGCTTGGGGAAAGTCTGATGGTCTTTTTTGGTGAAATTCATCTGTTTCAGCAGGAGTTGTGGAGGAGGGTTGGGGGGAGCAGAGGGAGAGAGACAGAATGGTTTGGGGGACTTTGTGGGGAGCAGAGGGACTAGGGAGAAAGTGGGAAGGGAAAGGGACGGAGGTCAACAGGAGTTTTGGAGAACAAGGGTTGTAGGCTGTGGGGGGTAAAGCAGATTTGTGAAGAACTTATGATAGGAACTAAACAACCCACCTAGAAGGGGAGGGGCTTTGAGCAGGGGTGGGGAGGTGGGATTTGAGGCAAAACAGCTAGGAGTTCTGAAACTATTAATATCTAGCTGTGTGACTCAGGGCAAGTTGCTTAACTTTTCTCTCTGCCTTAGTTTCTTGACCTGTAAAACAGGGATACTAATAATAGAACTTATCTCAGGGGGTTATTTGGAATTAGAAGAAATACATGCCATGTGTTTTCCACAGTGCTTGGCACATAGAAACTGCCAGTAAATGTTAGCTCTTTTTATGGCAGAGTGGTTAACAGGATGGATTCTGGAGCTAGACGGCCTGGTTTTGAATCTCGGTCATGCCTTATGTGAGTTGTATGACCTAGGCAAGTTACTTAACCCCTTGTGCTTTAGTTTTCTTGTCTGTAAAACGGGGTTAATAGTACCTAGCTCAAAGGCTGCTGTCAGGATTAAATGAGTTATATGTACAAAGAGCCTGGAACAATGTCCATCCCATAGGAAACACTATGTACCCATTAGTTGTCATTGATATTGTTGCTCTTCTGATCTAGGAAGGTTGAAAATAGAGGCATAGGTGAGCTACTACTTACAGGCTAAGATTGGAATCAGATCAACTCTTTCTCTCCTATCCCTGAAGCTAGTCCTGCAAATGGGGCTGCATATGAGGGCTTGGGGAGAGAGCCTATAAACCTGGAAGCTGGGATATCCAAGTCTTTCCTCTGCTCTAGCTCTTGGGTTGGTGGTCCCTCCAAGACCCATAGACTCAAAGTCACTTCTTTTTCCCTGGGCAAGGTTGGGTTGGATCTGGTAATGGGAGAATTACTTTCTTGGTCTAATAACTCCCTTTAGTAGAGAGGTAGTCCTGGGAGTGTGAGTTGGGGGAGGTTGGGTAGAGCAGAGGAGATTAAATATCCTTTATGTACCAGCCCACACACACTTGACCTCACCAGAGGGTTGGGAAGACAGAGATTCAAAGAGAGGAAGTGATCTGACAAAGTTCTAAAGCTAGAACTTGGCAGAGTTGGCATCTGAACTCTGATCTGCTTGATGACAAACTTAAAGCCCTTCCATTGCTGCATGCTTTTTGAAGGGAGGGATGGGACACGTGTAAACTTGGGCCAGGACCATGGGGTAGATGGAAGATGGGTGAAGATAGAGTATTGGAGTGGAAAGTGGCCAAGCAGGAATTTTTCAATCATGGAAGATTTCCTGAGAAAAGAGATTCCAGATCAGGGTTCAGATGGTAGGGGAATGAGGATAGGAAATAAAGAAGAGGGAGGGAGCCATGCATTGACAAGGAAGGAGAAGAAAAAAGAATTTATGCAAAGGCTGGGTCAGAGTAATGGACATGAATTTGATTTGCCTTCCGTTTGCCTTACCATTTATTGAAGGCATACTATGTACTAGGTACATACATGATCACATTTGATGTTCACAACAGCCCTGACAAGTGGGTTTCTTATCCCTATTTCCAAAAGAGTTCATTGAAGTTCTGAGAGCTTAATCCCCGCTTTAGGTTACACAGTAGTAGCTGGATTTCCTGGCATGAGAACCCTCACCTAGGCTGTCTCTGAGCCTGGCTTCTGTGTCCCAGTCTCAATTTCCATGACTGTTTCAGGTCCTCCTGTTCCCTCATATTTGTAGTCACTCTTGGTGACTGGGAACAAAGGGCTAGAGCATGAGCTGAAACTGAGACAGGGAGTGGCAGGCAGGCAGTGGGGACAGAAACTTTTCTCACATCCACCCATGTGAAGAAGATGGACCGAACGGTGGTCTTTCTGGACGGAGGCTTCCAAGCCACTTTCCGGAAACAGCTGATCTTGGGATGAATGGCAGGGACCTGATTGGGTAGGGGATGGGTGGTCACATTGTTTTCTGGGCTGTAGACTTTATTTCCCTTCCTTTGGGAAGAGAAGAGGAAGAGGACAGCTCAGGTGTGGGTTTGAGCCCTGGATTAAGACTGCCCATTGTCCACTAAAATCTCTTCTTTCCTTGCTGCCCGAGGGTGGAGAGACACCCAGCTGGACACTCCATTTCCCAGCTGTCTTGTTGCCAGGTGTAGACACAGGGAAATGTGAGGAGAGCATGTCCTCAAAGCCTGACGGCATTGGGTAAATTCTCCTTTGTGTTCTCTCTTTCATGAGCTGGGCAGATGTGCCTGAGACAGGTTTGACCAGGCAACTGAAAAGATATCCCTAAGAGAAGACAAAGCAAAGGTATGAAAGGAACACACGTCCCTGACTGACTAGGAGGAACAGAGCTGCCTGCTGTCTGGAACCGCTTCCTCCCAGACTAAGAGAGAAATAAACTTCTGTTTTCTATATGCTACTGTGTTTTGGGGCCTTTGTGTTATAGCAGTTTTGCTGTCATCCTTTCTAATTCACCTTCTCACACCAGATATTTCAAATTAAAAAGATTATATCAGGCCAGGTGCGATGGCTCGTGCCTGTAATCCCAGCACTGTGCGGGGCTGAGGCAGGCGGATCACTTGAGGCCAGGAGTTCGAGACCAGTCTGGCCAACATGGTAAAACCCCATCTCTACTAAAAAATACAAAAATTAGCTGGACACAGTGGCACACTCCTGTAATCCCAGCTACTTGGCAGGCTGAGACAGGATAATTGCTTGAACCCAGGAGGCGGAGGTTGCAGTGAACTGAGATCATGCCACTGTGCACCAGTCTGGACTACAAAATGAGATTCTGTCTCAAAACAAAAAACTGATTACATCAGATCACGGAATAACTATAATGATATTTATTGGGCCAGATAGTATGCGAAGGACTGTATGCACATTATTTAGTGTAATCTATGTGACAATCCTCTGAGATACGTGTTACTATTATTCCAGTTTATACACGAGGAAACAGGTTCAAGGAAGGTAAGTTATGTGCTGAGGGACACACAGGAGGGGGTGGAGCTGGATTTCAAGCCCACTGGGTGTGCAGAACTGAGCCTCTTCACCATGGGGGCAAATCCCTCCTGAGGACAGGGCTGGAAAAGCCATGGAGATCATCTTGTGCTTGGACAAGCCTCTCGCCAGTCACCACAGGGTCCTGAGACTCCCATTCTTACCTTCAAGAAGCTCAGCAGGCTACTACTCGTGTTCATGTTGGGTCACTATATATGGTTTTATTTGAAGGAAGGACCCCAGAGTTAAACTCATGTGAAAACCCCTGATAAATTCAGTCCCCTCCCTCTTTTTACAGGTGAGGCCTGGAGAGAAGATATGACTTGCTTAAGGTCACACACTTAGTTTCTCTGTCAATCTTTCTAAATCTAGGACGAGTTCTCTTCCCACTGTATCAGGCTGCCTCAACAAATAAGGAAGTACAAAAATAGCCAAATCCAGGAAGGAGGGCAGTGGTCTGTGTCTCCTCCAATAATTTCATGGGACAGCCAAGCCTATTTCCTTGATTTCCCTTGTGCCCCTCCTGTTGGATATCAGATTTGGGACCCATCTCTTTTGGGCTTGCAGAGAGAATGGGCTGCACCAGTTCTCTGCCCTCCGCATCACCCAGATGGTCAAACATGCAAAGGGAAAGGAGAGCTGGGGCCAGAGCCAAGGCAGGCAAAGAGACTCCTCGACACCCTCCAGTCTTTCCACATTTATATTTTTGGAATTTCAGGCTCCCTCCTCCCCCTGGACCTTTCCTAGTAGCCCACCAGGGAGAAGAAGAGGGAAAACTGCCATAAATTTCTCCTATTTATACAAGATGACAGAGTTTCTTGTGCCAGTAAAAACACAGAAAGGGAGCTGTCAGGGGAGAAGGGACCCAGCCCTATACCTTCTGGGGTCAATTTATCTTTCCGAATCGTGGCTTGGGGGCTACCCTAACATTGCCTGTATGAAATGCAGGCTTCGACTTGGGGCAGCCAGGCTAGACAGCCCCTGAGCTTTGTTTCTGATCACAGTTTTCCTGCTTCATCTCAACTTCCCCCTACCCCTTATGCTGTCTTTTTAAAAAACAACTTTCTTGAGGTATAATTCATGTGTCATACAATTCACCATTTGAAATGTACAATTCAATGATTTTAGTATATTCACAGGTGTGTCAAACCATCATCATAGTTAATTTTAGAACATTTTCATCACCTCAAAAAGAAATCTTGTAACCTTTAGCTATCACCTCCCTATCCCCCCATATTCCTTCTTGCCCTTAACAACACTAATGTACTTTCAGTCTCTGTAGATTTCCCTATTCTGGACTTTCATATGAATGGCATCATATAATAAGAGACCTACTGTGACTAGCTTCTTTCATTGAGCATAGTGTTTTCAAGGTTCATCCATGTTGTAGCATTTATCAGTACTTCATTCCTTTTCAAGGCTGACTAATATTCCATTGTATGGGTATATCACACTTTGTTTATCCGTTCATCTATTGGTGAACATTTGGGTTGTTTCCACCTTTTGGATATTATTATTCTCTCTTTCCTCTCATTCTCTAGACATCTTGGATAGTATCCAGTGAGGCCTGTGGGCAAGAATTGGTGTTTCTTATATTTGGGTACACCTAATATCCATGAAAGCAGGGTCTTGGCACATGTCTGCTTTCATATTAAGTACATGTACTAGCTGGAATTTTCCTCCCTCTATTGTTACTGAGGTGGGGCTGCTCCCTCCTTTATCAATTCTCCCTTTTTATCATGATAGCTATGTTGGAAACTTGCTGACTCTTCAGACTAGGGGATTCAGATCCTTCTCTTGGGGCTTCAAAGACATGGAGTGGATGAATGAATGTCTTCCCATGAGGGAAGAGTTCCCTGAGTCTGGTCTCAAGTGATTCTCCAGTGCCTCACAGTGGAAGGAAGGTCTGTGAAGGCTCCAGGTTCTAGGGAAAGTTATGTTCTTGGAGGTATGACTGAGCCCAGAATCCAGGCCTCCAGTTTCCATCTCCTTGCCTGGACCATTTCAGTCTTCAGACATGCTTTGAGGTCAATCCAGTCACTCACCCAGCAACAGACACTGCCTCTGCCCTCATGGACCTTGCAGTTCTAGTGGTGAGAGTAAGATGAATACAAGTGAACAAAATGATGGCAAGTTGTTCAAGCTTGTTCAAACTTCTAAACACTGTTCAATGAATGAATGAACCAACAAGAACTTACTATGTGCTCTGGAAAGAAAATGTGAAAAAAGTCAGAGTTGTAAATCACTTTCTGCTACCACTACCTTTCCTAGTCTGGAAGTCAGCATTACTTCTCCATCCCTTGGAGGAGATAGTGGGCAGATATTACAAAATGTTAGCTAATAAGAGCTACCATTTATTGGACCAGACATACACCAAGGGGTTTCTATAGTTCATTAATTTTCACCCTTTGAATTAGGCATCAATATTTCCATTTTGAAGATGAGAAAAACCAAAACTCAGGTTAAAGTAGCTATCTGAAATCACACCCATAGCAGCAAGTGGCAGAACATTTGCTCTGGACACTGGGATAAGTATGTGTGTATGGGTTTTTTTTGTTGTTGTTTTTTGTTTTCTGTTTTTTTTGTTGTTGTTGTTGTTTGTTTTTTTGGGGGGATGGAGTTTTGCTCTTGTTGCCCAGGCTGGAGTGCAATGGCATGATTTCAGCTCAATGCAAACTCCACCTCCTGGGTTCAAGTGATTCTCCTGCCTCAGCCTCCTGAGTAGCTGGGATTACGGGTGGCCGCCACCACACCTGGCTAATTTTTGTATTTTTAGTAGAGACACGGTTTCGCCATGTTGGCCAGCCTGGTCCCAAATTCTTGACCTTGTGATCCGCCTGCTCCTATCTCCCAAAGTGCTGGGACCACAGGCGTGAGCCACTGCACCCGGCCATGTATGTGTTTTTATTCCTAGCACTTCATAACAAATGCCAATATCTCTTCCTGCAGCCTTACCACAGAGGGAGCTGATCAGTTTCCCCTCCTGCCCAAAGGCAAAGCAGCCACAGTGAAAGTGCCAGAGTACTCCCTCACAGCCTTCTGTCTAGTGGTTATTCCCGCTTCAAGGCTAAGGAAGGGAAGGACCCGTTTTGCTTTCAAAGGCTTTTTCCTTCCAGCCCTTGCTGTGTGCCCGTTGTGTGTGGGAGGGACCATGAGAAGCCTGGATATTGTCAACAAAAGACTTGAACAAGCCAAAGAGCTGATGATGTTGACAAGAAGGGGACCTTAACAAGGCAGATAATCAAAAGTTGATGACTGACAGCCCCTTTTGCATCCCTTCACCCTCTACTAAATCAGGTCTCTTACATGATCTTGATGACAAATAATAAAAATTATAAACACATTACAGTTTTCACATGCATTTGTTCACTTCTCACAGCAAATATGAGAGGTATCTAAGGCTGAGCAGCTTATTACAGAAAAGGTTTATGGGACTAGAACCTTAATTTTATGTAACAAAATTTATATAGAGCTTACCATGGATCATGTACTCTCCTAAATAGTTCAAAACTTTCATTTTTAGAGAGATGGGTGTCTTGCAGCCAGGCGCAGTGGCTCACACATGTAATCCCAGCACTTTGGGAGGCTGAGGTGGACAGATCACCTGAGGTCAGGAGTTTGAGGCCAGCCTGACCAACACGGTGAAACCCTGTCTCTACTAAAAATGCAAAACACAAAAATTAGCTGGGTGTGGTGGTTCATCCCTGGAATCCGGAGACTGAGGCAAGAGAATCACTTGAACCCAGGAGGTGGAGGTTGCAGTGAGCTGAGATCATGCCATTGCACTCCAGCCTGGGCAACAAGAGTGAAACTCCATCTCAAAAAAATAAAGGAGGGAGCGGTCTTGCTATGTTACCCAGGCTGGTCTTGAACTCCTGGGTTCAAGCAATCTTTCCACCTCAGCCTTCTGAGTAGCTAGGACTATGGGCCCATGCCACCAGGCCTGGCTGTATCTCATAACTATTAACTCATCTACTTTTTCACCACCATGTGAAGTAGGCATTACTGTTATTCACATTTTTTAAGATGTGGAAACTGAGGCATGGTAATCAAGTATCTTGCCCAAGGTTGTACAGCCAGCAGGTGGTAGAACAGGGATCTTGAGCCCAGCCCCAGCATCTGTGTCTAACCACTTCGCCAGGTGGGCTTTGCATGGGGACTACACTTGAAACTCTAGTTTGTTAGTCTGGTGCCCCTGCTTCCACCTGCCTCCCTCAGTCTTTATGGCCCATTGGCAAAAGGAAGCCAGAGCTGTGGCTCCCAGGGTGACGATCCTTCAGCTGCCTCCTTGGCACTGTCATTCCCTCCTCCCATCTCCCGCCAAGGGCTACAGCCGAGAATACCACAGACGGTTTGCCATGGATCAAGATTTCTCTCAATAGAGAGCTCACAGAAAGGCTGCTGTGAGAAAGGAAGTCACTTGCTACTCCCCTTATTCCTCCATCAGGAGGAGCCTGATGAGGTCACTGCACATTTGAGTGGGTGCTATCAAAGCACAGCCTCTGGCCAGCGTGGAGACAAACGTGGGCTGTGTGGCCCATGACTGAGTGGCTGAAAGGAAACCTGAAGTGGTAAATGATGGAACCGATTGAAATAAAACTACTGTAGGAATGCTGCATGTCATTCATTCAACAGTGCTCCCTGACCAGGGCCCAGGGCTGTGCATATGAGCTGCAAATGGGTTTGTTCATTCGTTTACATATCTATTTGCTTATTTATTCAATAAATTCTGATTATGCCCCTAAGAGGCACTGTGCTAGATGTCAAGGGTGAACAAGACAAAATCCCTTCCCCACAGGGGCTCCCGGTCTAGAGAGGGGAGGAGGAAGGAAGATGCACAGTGATTTGTATCATATGCTGAGGAAAGAGAGTCATTTACTATCGCCGTTTGACATCCTCACCCCCAGTGCGGTCCTTCTCTTTGTCTCTCCATGCTGGGAGTGGGCAGTCCCTGCCCTGCTGCCCTTCAGACACAGCCCTCTTCCCTCAAGCTGCCCTCTGCCTGGATCCCACCTTCCTTGTGAGCTGGAGTGTTTGCGTTGAAGGAGTCTTGACTCTCTTTCCCTGTCAGTCACTGTTTGGCTGCAGGTAGTGATAGAGGTGGCAATAAAGCAGCAGAGAGAAGGCTTTGGTATCAGAGCAGGGACTCGCGGGTGGGATGGGATGGGGATGGTTTTCTGTTTGCCCCACTGTGTTCTCTGTGCTGCTCTGCCCAGGGAGGCTGACCTCTGCAGACTGTGTCACCTGGGCCCCCTGATCTCTCGGCCAATAGAGGTCCCAGCTGAGAACGGGGAGAGAGGAGTCAGGGTATTTGTTTCCCCCATTCCCTGTCAGCCCCCCTTTTTGCCTGCCTGAAGCTCTGGTGGTGGTTGTGGTTCCTCCATGGTCACAGCTTTGCTGAGTGGCCTCTCTCCTGTGTCCCATGACCCCAGTTGGCATCGGGCTTTGGTAGAGATATTTCTATCCTGGTGCCACACTAGCCCTTATTAGTTTTCTTCATCTGATCTATGCCTTTAGAAACTGTCACATCACTAAACCCTTCAGTGAAACCCTTTCGAATGTGTCATTTATTTTCTGTTGCCACCCTGACTGGCTCACCTGGGTGCAGAGGAGGTGGGGACAGAGCAGGTTGGGGCTCCAGTTCAGCTCTATTATCCCTCTTTTTCAGGGTTTCCCAGAGGAAGAGAGAGAATTTGGACAAATGAATGAGGAACAACGCTCTCCTGAGGGTTTTCTTTAAGGGGCGAGGATCACTGCCGCTAGCTCCTTTGAAAGCAAAGTTAAGAGGCAGCGCAGGAAGGCACAGCAGGAAGGCTCATGGTTAGACTACAGAGAAGGAAGCAGCCACTGCTGGGGACCTACCCTGTGCTGGTCACTGACAAGCTGTCTCATTAAACCTTCCCGGACCCTCAACCCCTCCTAGTATCTTATCCTCATTTTACAGATGAGAAGACTGCGGCCAAGAGAGGTAAAGTTCTGGGGAGCAGGATGGGAGTTTCACTTTGTCTCAGTTGCTCTGGCAAAGAGAAGCCTCACCTTGTGATCAAGAGATTGGGAGGGTGACAGATAAATTTTGGCTTAAGTGTCAACATAGCACTGGGAATCTGGAGCTAAACGGCACTGGCTTGACTCCTTGTATCTGCATCTTAGTAGCTGTGTGATACTGGGCATACCTCTGTTTCCCCATCTATAAAAATGGGGCTAATGTTAATAACACCTGCCTTACAGGTTGTGTAGTAGGTTGAATTTGTAGTTATGAGGTGCCCAGGAACAGTGCTAGCACACAGTGAGCGCCATACACAAGTGTTAAAGAATGGAGCCTCCTGCTCTCTCCTTATTTTCCACCCCCTGCCCTCTTCTCATTGCCCACCTCCCCTGCCTTCTCCTCACCATCCTGAAAAAGGATGAACAGCCACCCAGGAGCCCCTGAACAAGCATGTTGGCCCCAGGCCCTTTGTGAGCATGCTTTTCCCTGCCCTGCCCCTTGTCATCACCATTCTGGATGGAGCAGCAAGGACGGAGACACTTATTTGGGTTATCCACTCCAGGTCCAATGCCAGTGGGATCAGCTTCGATGGGATGCGCACAGACTGACCTCTTCTCCCCAGCCCCTTCAACTTCCCAGAGCTGCAGGGGGCCTGGGAGTTCTTGGTAACAGCACATTAAACCTCTGTTTGTGGGAACTTTAATTTAAACACAAATTAGAGAAGGCAAATGACTCTGGCAGCCAGATAAGCCATCCCAGGAAAACAAGGAGAAAGCCAAGAGAATCAGCCCAGATAAGGTCTGACTTTAAACTACTGCTGATACCCAGAAGCCTGGGACAGATGAAATCTAGGGGTCCTGAATGAAGAACCCCAGAAGCTCCACACCCCAGTTGTCCTTGCTCTGGGCTCTATGCCAGCTCCCTTTCCTGTGTTCTCTATATTTCTATCTTTTTGCAAAATTTTATCCTGATTCTTTGGCTCCATCCCTCCCACCCCCACCCTACTGTTTTAGAGAATGCACTTTCTTTACTTTGCTTCTCATCTTCTTCTGTGACCTACTATTCTGAGAAAGTTCTACTTGTTATCTAACCTCCATCTATGCTACTACCTTTAGAGTCTAATACATCCTGCTTAGTGATAACTCTGGGAGTTTCTGTTCATGTGGCAAATGTGGTGTAGTAAAAACAACCTGAAAAAGACCTGGGTGAACTTCTCTGCATCTCAGTTTCCTCATCTGTATGATGAGCGTGTGAGAAAGAATCTCTAAGGACTTGTAAACTCTGACTTCTCACAGAGAATCTGAGGACAAGGACATCCAAGGAAATCTCTATTGTTCTGGAACCCATGAATTTTCCACTGTTCTACTGTTTGGGAGTGAGCGTGGGGAGAGCAGTCCAGCCTATTGATTCCTTTCTGGGAGGGGTCTACAGGCTTTGCTTCTACCCTTCCGCCCACAACCCAGACTCAGGCCAGGCCCAGGCCCAGGAGAGAGGCTGCCTTTCCAGTTCTGTCAAGGCCTGCTGAGCCCAGCTCTGTGGGGCTGTGGCTGTTAAGATGTTGTCTCTGTCCTCTGGGGTAGGAGCAACATATGTTCCCTCTGTCACAGCACCTGTGAGGGTGGCAGAGGGATGGCAACCCCCAAGAGGGCAGGGTTCCATCTCTCCAACTGACCTTGAAGCATCTTTTTATCCTGCTTTTCTGGGAGGCTTAAAGTGAAGGCAGAGGGAGATATCACACAGTCCCAAAGCCCCCACTAAATGGGGAGCTACTGTCTTTCATCTTTCATGCAGGGTAAAAGAAGACACCTCAGCTACAGCAAGAGGAAAGAAGGTCAAACCACAGGCAGAACTTTCAGGTTGAATGTTAGAGCAGACTGTGATCCCAAGAGGTCATCCAAGACCCTTGGTCTCAGAGGATGCCTATGAGGCCCTGGTCCCTGGCTGGGGTGGGAACAATAATCCCAACAGCCCCATGCCAGACTGACTTGGGAGTCAGAAGGTACGTGGGACTAGAATAGAAGGACTTTGGCATTTTCCCTGGCCTAGGGCCCTTAGACAGAAGTGGGCAGCTGCCATCAGGAGCCTGGGGCCCAACTGTGTCCCCACCTTTCCCACCTCCCCCCTCCTGAGTGCCTGGCTGCCCCTGGAGCCCCAGGCTTGCCTGCCATCTGGGCAGCTCAGAGGAGAGCCCACTGCCAAGGGAGTGCCAGCATTGATTTATGGCCCACAACCTTGGCAGGCTCAGGCTGTGTGCCCGAACCACCTTTGCTCAGGGAAGAGATGCTCCTCTTAAAGGGACAGTGCAGAGGAATGCAGGAATGTCCAGGATGAAAGCTTAGCAGGGGGCTGGCAAGGAAGACCTCCACCCATCAGCACTCTGGGTGACTGTCACTCCCTAGGGAAACTTCTCCCTAGGGAACCGCCCATCATACCTGTTATCATACCCTATCCTTTGTGGACTTGGCCCAACTGTAACATATTAATATGTTTACTGTCAGTCTCTCCCACTGGACTGTAATCTCTAGGAGGGTAGAAACCAGACCCATTGTGCTCATTCCTGAATATTCAGCACCCAGCACAGTGCCTGGCGCCTAATAAGATCTCAGTAAGAATTTGTCAAGTGTAGGAAAGAATGAATAAATGAAGGTCCTTGTCCATGAGGTGGAGGGAAGCCCACATATCTTCTTAGTGCCTGCCATGGTTTCCGAGACCCTGCGGCATCTGCTGCTACCCGCAGGATCTCTCCCTCCAGGACCCTTCCTCAACCCTGTCATATCAACCCAGGACCAATGGGGCCAATCTTATCTGGATACCCTTGCCTCCCCACTTCCCTTGAGTCACCTTTCTTAAGTCCTTCACACAATGTTCTTTTCCTCCCATTTTCCTTCCTCCAAGATACTTTCTCAGATTACCTATGGCCTCAGTGCTGGATTCAGATACTCTTTCAGATGGTCTTTTATTTTTTTATTTTTATTTTTATTTTTTATTTTTCTTGAGACAGAGGCTCCCTCTGTCACCCAGGTGGGAGTGCAGTGGCAGTCTTGGATCACTGCAACCTGTGTCTCCCAGGTTCAAGTGATTCTCCTGCCTCAGCCTCCAGAGTAGCTGGGATTACAGGCTTGTGCCACCATGCCCAGCTAATTTTTGTATTTTTAGTAGAGACGAGGTTTCACCACGTTTGCCAGGCTGGTCTCGAACTCCTGACTTCAAATGATCTGCCTGCCTCAGCCTCCCAAAGTGCTGGGATTACAGGCATGAGCCACTGTGACTGGCCTATCCAGCAGTATTTACTGAGTATGTACTATGCACTAGGCACCGGTTGCCAAGAATTCATGAATAAATGGAACAGGCATAATCCCTGAACTCAAGGACCACACATTTCAGAGAGTGAAACAGACAAAAAAATAAGTAAGCAAGTTAGCAAATAGATACATGCAATTTTGAGACCTGTTGTGAAGTGGGTAATCACAGACAGGGTGGAGCAGGGACCCTTTAAATTGGGTGGTCAGCTAGGCATAGTGGCTCATGCCTGTAATCCCAGCACTTTGGAAGGCTGGGGCGGGCGGATCACCTGAAGTCAGGAGTTTGAGACCAGCCTCACCAACATGGAGAAACCCTGTCTCTACTAAAAATACAAAAATTAGCCAGACGTGGTGGCACATGCCTGTAATCCCAGCTACTTGAGAGGCTGAGGCAGGAGAATCGCTTGAACCCGAGAGGCAGAGATTGCCATGAGCCGAGATCGTGCCATTGCACTCCAGCCTGGGCAATAAGAGCAAAACTCCGGCTCAAAAAAATAAAATAAAATAAAATAAAATAAAGTAAAATAAAATAAATTGGGTGGTCAGAGAAAGTTTCTCTGAGGAAGTGACACTTGGGCTGAGGTTTGAAGAATGAGAGGGAGCCATGTAAAGAGTGAGGTAACAGCATTCTAGAAACAGTTCAGTCACCTGGGTGTGCACAGCAGCATTTGGGGGATGGGAGTGGGAGGGGAGCTTTTCCAAACTGCACATTCCTATCTCTTTTACATTTTGAAAGCCCCTACCCTTCCAATGTGGGAGGACCATTGCTTAAAATCTTTGGAGAAGCAACCCTGGCCTTACCTGGAAGCTGGTTAGAAAACAGAGCTCAGGTGCCACCCCAGATCTACTGAGTCAGAATGTGTATTTTAACCACGTCCCAGGTCATTTGTATGCACAGTGGTGTTTGAGAAGCAGTGTTTCAGGAAATACCTCACAGGAGGAATGGAGTGTGAGGACATCAGAGGATGTGAGGTGGGTGGGGTTGGGGGGTTGGTTGCTGAAGAGTGGATTTGAATCAGAGATGGGGGTCTGAGTGTGTATATGTGCCTCTGTGTGTGTGTTCCTCCAGCCCTAATGACTGTGGGCTATCTGAGGATGTGCATCTCCAAGCGCTTTTCCTTCCATGGGTGTGGAGTACCAGGGGATACTGTACATCTTTATCCCACTGTGACAATGCCCCCACTTCCACCTACAGCTGTGAGTCAAACAGAATCTGCCAACCTCTGGGTTGCGGGAGCAACTTGGAAGCAAGGCAAGACAAGGAGATCCCTTGTTCCTGATCTCCGGCAATCCATTTATTTGACTCCAGTCTCATAAAGGCGTCCTGATGAACCCAATCGCTTGCTAATGGTTATGAGCCAAGACCTGGGGATTTATGGCTGAGGCCTCCGTGGCCACGAACAGGAGTAGGGCTGCACACAGGATGCCAGGCTGTGCATGGCTTCAGTTCATAGAGGCCTGTACCCAGAACCACGGTGGGGACTACCACACCCCCACCTCCAAATCTGGGGCAAAGAACATTGCCCTGGGTGGGGGAAGCTGGGCTAAGGAGAAAAAAGACCTCTGGCTGGAGATGTCCAGGGATGAAGGGTGAGTGTCTGGGAAACTGGCCTGACTTGGCTGGGTGGGGTTTAGGGGGAGATACTGGAGAAGTGAGTGGAAAGGGCACTGGAATTGGACCCAGTCAAACTGGGGTTCAAATCCTGGATCTGTTTTCCACCCATGTATGACACTGGACAAATCATGGCTCTCCCTGAGCCTCATTTTTCTCATCTGTCGATGGGAATTGTGACGCTATCTCATAGGTTTGTGAGAATTAAATGAGACCAGGTACGGTGGCTCATGCCTGTAATCTCAGCACTCTGGGAGGCCAATGTAGGAGGATTTCTTGAGCCCAGGAGTTCAAGACCAGCCTAGGCAACATGCTGAAACCCTGTCTCTACAAAAATACAAAAATTAGCCAGGTGTGGTGGCATGTGCCTGAGGCTGATGTGGGAGCATTGCTTGAGCCCAGGAGCTTGAGACTGCAGTGGGCCATGATCATGTCACTGCACTCCAGCCTGGGTGACAGAGTGAGATCCTATCGAGAGAGAGAGAGAATTAAATGAGATAATGTTTGTGAAAAGCACTTCGAATATCAAATGTATATATTTAAGTGGGTCAAGAGATTGGGATTCTAATTCCAGCTCCACCACTAACTTGCTGGGATTCTAGCACTAGCACTGGTTTTGTTACCAATGGCTTTTTTTTTTTTTTTTTTTTCCTGAGACAGGGTCGCACTCTGTCGCCCAGACTGGAGTGCAGTGGTATGATCTCAACTCGCTGCAACCTCTGCCTCCCAGGCTCAAGCAATTCCCCTGCCTCAGCCCCCTGAGTAGCTGGGATTACAGGCGCACTCCACTACTGCCCACTAATTTTTGTATTTTTAGTAGAGACAGGGTTTCGCCACGTTGTCCAGGCTGGTCTCGAACTCCTGACATCAAATGATCCACCCGCCTTGGCCGCCCAAAGTGCTAGGATTTCAAGCGTGAGCCACCCTACCCGCCCAGTTACCAATGGCTTTGTGACCTGGGGCACATCACAGGCCCTTTCTAAGTCTTAGTTGCCCCATAGATACTAAGAGGGGACACAGTGCTGTTTTGGTTGCCTCCAGCTCTGATGTTTTGTGGTTCTAACGAGGAGTCCTTGTTTGGAAATGGAACTTTGGAATGGTTTGGATCTCATTCTGGCCATAGAGAGGGCATCATTGCAACTGTGGCTTCAGGGCCAATGTGCGGTTGGGGGGGCTGAGTCAATACAGCCCCCTCTTCCTTGATAGTGCCATCCTGTGAGTATAACTCCTGTATGGGTGCTGGACACAGTGTTGGGGAAGACTGTGCAACAGGGGTAAGTAGGAAAGGCCCTGTGGTAGGGGGTTAGCTGGGTATCCATGGCAATGCCTGAACTACTCATGCCTTTTGCACAAGTAGGTCTTCAAATAATCTCTTCTGCTTCCCTCTTTCCCACTCTTTCCCTGTCTAAGGTGTGTGGTGTTGGTGTGTGTGTGTGTGTGTGTGTGTCTAACCTGATTGGGAGAGTAAGCCAAATGGAGTGAAGTGGAGAAACATCCCCAAAAGTCCCAGGTAGAGACCTAAGGATTCCTAAATCACAGTGCAGAACAGGGTCCTCTACCCTTTTCCCATTCTGGGAACATCCTGAAGCCAGTCATTGTGGGAGAGAGACATGACCCCAACCCAGCCTCACAGACAGCACCCCTCTTCCATGCTTTGCCCTACCCTCCTTCCGTGTGCTTATATCCTAACCTTAAGCCCTAGAGACTTCTAGGTACCCAGAGAGCAGCCTATTCAGTGATGTTTACTGAGCGCATGTTATGTGCCTTGCACTGGGCCTGGAGCAAGGGCTAAGGAGTGAATTTAGACCTGATCCCTGTCCTGAAGATGTCACAGCTGAGTAGGCAGAAAGACTTTAAACAGATAATGGCAACACGATGTGCTAAGGAACATCAATGTACAAGATAACAGGTAGTCTGTATTTATGGGAGAGGGAGGCGTAAAAGAAGATGCTTCAGCTGCTTTCTAAACATGTTTGTCGTGGAACATTAAAAACATATGAAAACAGAGCAGTATAGTGTCCTCATCATGCAGCTGCAACAATGGTCACACCAGGATCTTGGAGTGTCTATACTCCCACCCACGTTCCATACCCCACTGCGCCATTACTTGGGGTGGAACTGGGGTGGTTTTGAAAGAGGAACAGCAATTCCCCAAGTAGAAAGTGCTGGAGGGCAAAGTTTGCAGGCAGAGGGGATGCTGTGCTCAGAAGCTTGAGCAGTGCCTGATGCTGGTGCACCAAACCGAAGCTGAAGGAGTGGGACAAGATGCTTTGGCCCCCGTGCATGCTGGCCCTAATGCATCTGTCACACAGCATGCCCTGTGGCTCCTTTTGGAACTCAGGTCTCCAGGCAAGTCTTCAGCAGAGCCAGATTAGCGCAGAGCCAGCCCTTTGAGTGCAGGGAGTGAGGAGGCACCGCTAAGATGGCGGGCCTTGGCTGGGCGTCCGCGGGGCCTTGGTGGGCCTAGAGCGCTAGGGACTGGCACGCACCAGCACTGACGGGCAAAGCGGGCGCAGTCAGGCCCTCCACCCCGCGTCGGCACACGGTCTTAAATATTACCCCAGAGTTTTCAATTATCTCTCCTTAATGGATTTGTAGGGGCTCTTTCATCAAGCGCGGGGTGGCTGGGTGTGGGGGTGCGGGGAGCCGCGGCGAGGGCTGGAGCTGGGAAAATGGCCCATATTTCAATATGAAAGCCCTTTACGATCGTCAGCAGCATGAAAGATGCTGCAAATTAAACGGAGCCGCCCGCGCCAGCCTCTCCATCTCGCAAGTTTTAATTAACGCTGAGGGGGAGGCGGCTGACGGGCGGGTGGGAGCCGGGCCAGCGGCGGATCTGGGAGCCTGCGGATCCCAGATTCCGAACTGGAGCGTCAGGGATCTCGCGGGCCGGGCCAGGCCAGGCGGAGGCGGAGGGTGGTGGTCTCCGAGCCCGTGGAGATGGGCAAGGCTGAGGGGTGGGGGACAGGTTGGAAGGTCTCTGAGCATCTGACCGCGAAACAAAACTCTGCAACTGAAGGCAGGAAGCTTTGTTCTTAAAGGTGAGGGGGCTTGTGGCCAAATCATCGAGCTCTTCATCCCCAGGCTCCTTCAGCGCGCGTCCTTCTGCCTCTCTTCTTTCGACCAACACTTCCCCCAAACGCTCCCCCGCGTTGATTCCCGGTCCCCTCCCACCTCATCCTGTGGCTCCTTGTTTCGGGAGGCAGGCGTGCTTCTGTGACCCCGCGGCTCCTGTTCTGGGACATCTGCTTTCTCCATCACTCCCTGGCTTCCCGGGCGGGCCCCATCCTCCGGAGCGGATCGGAGCAGTGCGCACAGAAGCGCCACTGTTCTGCCTTGGCAGGGCCTGGCCCGACAGCTTGTGCCTGCGCAGCAGACCCATCCATCTGGCGGGAAGGATGGAGCGACGTCCGGCTGCCCGCTCTGAGGACTCCCTAGGGAGACACCTCTGCCTTGGCCCAGACTCCTCTCTTCCTTTCTCCCCACCCGCCAACCCTTCCCCCAACTACCAGCTCAGTATATACTTCTGTCTCTCCTCCTTTCCTTGCTTCTCCTCCTCCCTCCCATACACATGCAGCCTGGGGCCTGGGGCCCAGGAAAGCCACTCCTCTCATGGGTCACACTGAGAAGTCCTTCCTCCACCTGCATCCACATGGCAGGGCATAACTCTAAAGCTTAAAAAGATCCAGCGATCTCAGTGGACCACAATCCAAAGCTAAGTCAGCCAACCAACACTCAAGGGCTTAAATCAAGGACTTTGGGCAAACACTATATAGTGGAGGAATTAGAAAAATAATACAAATAAAATACATGGTCATTATTCCTGGGTATTTACAGATACTTTGTGCTTCCTGAAATGTTTTGCAGAAATCACATTCTCCTCTCATTGTGCTACACAGCTTGTAAGCACCAAGACAAGGAATTCTATGATAAAGCAAAAAGAAAAGAAAAGAAAAAATCCTCTTCTACTTTCTTCTCGGTGTGTATTTTTTCTTGTCAATTTCTGATAATCTATGAAGCCTACTTAAAATAGTGCCTGCTTATGCAGTATGGTTAGGATGATGAACACACACTTAAACAGGATAGGGAATAAGTACAAACTACAAGTGCTGTGGGGATGCAGAGTAATAGGACAAGTGGTGAAAATTAAAACATTTTTGGCTTAATCAAGGAGTACTTCCTGGAGGAGGGGAGATCTGATTTGGAAGGAGAGGTGATATAAACTTGAAAAGAAAGTTCCAGATGTGGAAACACTGGTTTTATTCTTTATTTTTATTTTGAGACAGGATTGTACTCTGTCACCCAGGTTGGAGTGCAGTGGCACGATCTTGGCTCACTGCAACCTCCACTTCCCGGGTTCAAATGATCCTCTGCCTCAGCCTCCTGAGTAGCTGGGACTACAGGCGTGTGCCACCACACCCAGCTAATTTTTTTGCTTTTTTTGTAGAGATGGGGTTTTGCCATATTGCTCCAGCTGGTCTTGAACTCCTGGACTCAGGCGATTCCCCTGCTGCCTTGGCCTCCTACAATGCTGGGATTATAGATGTGAGCCACCACAGCTGGCTAACACCGGTTCTAAAATTAGGCAGAATCTATATTTTACTTCAGGTTGAGGAACAGATAATCTTGGCTATATTTTCCCTGACAATACAGTAAGATGAAAGAAGCCTTGTGCAATAGCAGGAAGAATTCAGGGTAGACAGTGGGATCTTGGCTAATGCTGGAGACTAAAGTGAATGGAGAGAGACCCTGAAGCACCCTTCTCCCATACTTGGCTATGGGCTATGGGAGGGATGCCTGGACTCTGAGACTTGGTCACCATGTTGTGTTTTGCCATTAGAAGATTTGGACATGAAGTTGAATAAGGCAGGAACGACCTCATGGCATCAACCACAACCCCCAATGTGGCTGGAGAATGAGGGAGAGAGGGCAAAGAATATCTTCCTCTTACTCAGATTGTAAGTGGAGAAACTGAAGTCCATTCACTCAAATTGATAAGTGTCTACTGAGCACCTCCTATGTGGCAAGCACTATATAGGCCCTAAGGACCCAAAGATGATCAGGGCATGGTCCCTGTCAACATGGTGCTCACAGTCTAGTGGGAAATAGAGTTCACTCGTCATTCTATCATTCAATCAAAAACAAAAAGTATTGAGCACTTACTCTGAGCGAGGCAGAGTTGCAGGTGCTGGAGATGCAACTGTGAACAAGACAGACTCAATCCCTGCCCCATCAGAGAGTACCACCTGGTGCAGAAGACACATACATAAACAGGTAGCTATAATTCAGGGTGATGTATGCTATGAAGGGGAAAGGACAGTTGCCATGGGGTGGTATATCTATAGATATGCCATAGATCCATAGGTTCCCATGAGGGGATCTATCCGAGTCTGTGAAAGGGGATGCGAGGATGATGTGGAAGAAGCAACACCAAATCTGATCTGCTCACAAGGTGCGCAGAAGTCAGGTGTGGGATGGCATGGGGAGGGTGACCTGGGCCTAGAGTTTGTGTTCCTTCTCAGCATATTACTAGGAGCTGTGGCCAAATCAGGCCCAGGCAGAGCTTCTTCCCTCTAGTCACAGGATAGCACTGGCCTACACCAACACAGCTCTTCCAACACCAGCAGGGGAAACCAGATGATAATCCTAACAGAGCCAGACCAAGGAATGAGTTTATCAGTTTTCCTTTTTCTGCTGGGAAGTTTCTGCCTTGGAGCTAGGCTATGTGGGTGGAGGCTGGGAGGTGGGAGGGCACTGTGGAGGATCTTACTCTTTCCACCCTCCTCTCACTGATCCTAGTTTTGAACAAGAAACAGGTGATCTGTTTCTCTAGTTGCAGCTGAATAGAAACCAGGACAAGAAAGTGTTGTCCTCCCCAGGCACGTTTCTGTCTCCTGGGTCCTAACCAGCTGCCTACTTGAGCCATCTGACTTCAATCCACAGGGCCTCCCAGGAGCTGAATCCAGAAGGGCAAGAACAAAGTAGTAAAGCAGGAAAGGGCATTCAGAAGAGAACAGCATGAGCAAAGGCTGCAAGGCCAGAGCACTTGGAAACTGCAAGTCCCTCAGTGTAAAGATGAGTCTGTAGAGGAGGTTGACACAAGCTTGTGAAAGACCCAGTATGCCAGGCTAAGGGGGTGGGAACAGTGAGGGACACTGAGGGTTTTATGGCTTAAATTTTGACAAGTGTATCTACAATATAGACAACTAATGTAACACTCCTTTTTTTTTTTTTTTTTTTTTTTTTGAGACGGAGTCTCACTCTTTCGCCCAGGCTAGAGTTCAGTGGTGAGATCTTGGCTCACTGCCACCTGAGCTTCCTGGGTTCAGGTGATTCTCCTGCCTTAGCCTCCTGAGTAGCTGGGACTACAGACTGATCCCACCACATCTGGCTAATTTTTTGTATTTTTGGTAGAGACAGGGTTTCGCCATGTTGGCCAGGCTGGTCTTGAACTCCTCAGCTCAAGTGATCCACCTGCCTCAGCCTCCCAAAGTTCTGGGATTACAGGGAACACTTTTTTTTAAATTTTTTTTTTTGAGACAGAGTCTTGCTTTATCATCCAGGTTGGAGTGAAGTGGCTCAGTCATAGCTCACTGCAGCCTTGACCTCCCGTACTCAAGCAATCCTTCTGCCTCAGCCTCCTGAGTTGCTGTTAATTTTTTTTTTTTTTTTGTAGAGACAGGGTCTCACTATGCTGCCCAGGCTAGTCTCAAATTTCAAGAGACCAAGGCGGGAGGATGGCTGGGCTCAAGAGATCCTCCTGTCTTGGCTTCTCAAAGTGCTGGGATTATAGGCATGAGTCACTGCCTGTCCGTATAAAGTAACACTCTTGAACCCACTATCCAGACTTGAGGTTTTGTTAAGTTACTGTTAAAATTTTGTCAATTTTGCTCTTGAGTTTTCAAAATAAAGAGGTCATTACAGATAAAGTTGAAGTTCCCTTTGTCCCTTCCCCAGTACCATTCCCCTCCCTTTCAGAGGCACCACCATCATATATTTTTTCTATTTTTACCATAGATATATATCCATGAATAACATTATAAGTCTTCAGTGCATTTTAAAAAGAGGTCCAATGGTTATGATATAATTTATAACTTTAGTTTTCCATCGCACATTTTTTAAAAAGTCTTTATTTGAGGTTTTCGGCAAAGTGCTGACAAGGGTAAAACTAGCGTTATAAGATCATGCTGGTTACCAAGTGGAGTATTCCAGATGACAGAGGAGGACCAAAGATGGTGACAATGGGAAGGAGGAGACAGAGGTAAAAGGAGACTCCACACCACAGGTCACTGGTGATCGCCCTGTGAGGGCAGGGTTGTTTTATACATGCTGTTCTTCAGCACCATGAACAGGGCCTGGCTGTTGAAGATGCCCAATAAATATCTGTTGACAGAGAAAGGTTGACAGGGGCAGACGGATCCAGGATGACTCCCAAATTCCTGGCCCAGTGCAAAAGCCTGGATGATGATCCCAGTCTGCAGTATGAGGGCCCCAGGAGAAGAAGCTGGATTGCAGGGAAAGAAGAATCCAGAAGCCATCTCTCTGATCTAGAGGAAACGAGGCTGTGCGGTGTGGAAGGGATTAATGTTAGGAAGCAGACCGGACTTCCGTTCTTAGGACAGAAAAAAATCTTGTAGCAGGTAGTTCAAGGCTACAAAAGATCTGAAGGGACCCAGAGATGGTAAGAGTGGAAAGGTTCAGTCCTGCTGGGGGCAAAGGGATAGTTGAAAAACAAGACAAAAACAATAATCACTTTCCTCAGAAGGCCAGGAGGGCAGGGCCCAGCTTCTGCATCAGCCACAATGAGTGTCTTACAGCCCTCTGTGCAGTGGGTACCCACAGCACATTAGCCAAGGCAGAGGAGGAGGAGGAAGGTATAGTAAGTGCATCTAGGATCATAAAGACCTTGTCAGATGCCCACACTCAACTTTGCTCCCACTCCATATTCATCAACAAGATGGAAAAGTGGGGTGCTCACAGCTGTTTCTTAGGACCTATTCTTGACCAAATTCAATTTCTCTATTCAGGGAAGGATGTGAAATATAACCTGCTTTCCCAACTCTTAAGACCCAGAGCTCTGGCTCTTCACCTTAAAAGGCTGCCCTCTGCAAGAGCTCCCTCAAAGTCACTGCCACCCCCACCTCCTCGCCCCACCACCCCTGCCCCAGGCACAGCCACCACCCACCCTCTGCTGCTAATTCACCTATAAACGGTCTCTTCCCTTGCGTCTCCACTCAGTTTTGTTCTTTCTCTAACACGTTCCACTCTCCTGACAGCCCGCCCGATCCTTCCTGTTACCCTAGCACTGACTTCCTAAATGAAGTGCGGTGGCTCACAGATCTGTCCTTCTCTGTTTTTGTCACTCTTTCCAGCCCCTCACTTGAGCCTTTGGTAGCTTGGTCTCACAATTCTTTGGGTCCTGGCTATGGTTAAGTGGCATTTCTCTACTTCATCCCTGGGTTCAGAGACAGAAATGCTTTTACCATCCCCAGTGCCCCTCTCTGGGGGGAGCAGAGAGGTCACTTTAGTTTTGTTTGGTCCGGTGGAGTAAGGCACGCCCTTCTCTCAGAGAGGGAACTGTCATGGATCTAAGCTAGTCCCTGTCCTAGGAGTACTTGCAATTTAGACTTGCTCTTTAGTGAAGGAATGTTAAATATTGTAAAGCAATGCCGTAGCTGGAGGGGGAGAATCTTGGAATCCCCTTTCCATGAGCCTGCTATTTGAAGGTGTGGTGGGATCCCTTGGAAGTGTGGGCCCCTTGTACTCTGGATCTAATCCCTAGAGTCACCAAAGGGCCAACGTAATGATTCTCAAACAAATCTGTGATCAGTCCCCTCATACCTTGAACTTGAGCAGGCTGCTAATTTTTATCAGAGCAATACACCCTGTAGATACCACCTCCCTGAACTCTAAACTGAGCAGAGCTCTAAACCATCAAAGAATCAGGCTATATAGATTTCCACTTTAAATGGGTGTAGATTCAACAAGATTCCCAAAAGTCACGTGACTTGCCTCGCTAATCAGGATTCTTCCTCAGTGGGGAAACTTCTTGGGCCTTTTCTCCTTCTCCTTTTCACCTACCTGAATTATTACATTTATTTATAATTAACATATATTGCATGTAATATTAAAAAAATAAAACTTAGAAAGACTTGGTGGTGGGTGCTGCTGAATTAGGTATCAGAGCCCCAGTTAGGTGGGTGTCCTGTGGAGTTTCTGATGAATGAAAAGCCATTGTTGGGCACTTTAAAAACATGGATGCCTTGAGCCCTGGGCAGCCCCAAGGTTGTGCCTACTGAGGGCACCCACAGAGGATTAGAACTGGGGCACTGGAACGAGAGGATCATCAGAAGCAAGGCCTGGATGCTCAAATTCCCACCACAGTCATAAAACTTAAGAGCATCTAAGTCACAAGCAGCTTTTAGTTTCTTTCTTAAGAATCCAACTAATCTTGTGTTCCACCTTGTAGCCTTCTATAAAGTGTGACCATTCACTTGGTTGATGATTAATGATTCAGCTAGCAATTATTAAACAGAAAGGAACCAGAAATAAGAATCATAAATTTAAACAAAACATTTCATGTTCTTAATGCTAAACTTGAAGGTAAAACAGTAGGAAGGTAGAAAAAACAATGTTGCTATTTGTTTTGTTCTTTTAAAGAATGAAGAAGTCAGATTTCCTGGTCCTTGTGTAGGCTTTGTTCCTGACAGGGTTTCTCAAACTTTTCTGCCAAAGTCCCTTTGATATTAGAGGCAGGAGGGTAAACTTCGACCCCAGCAGTCTGGGGGCTTGCCCTGAAGGGCCATTAGCAAGGACCAATTATTTCTTTTTTTTTTAAAGACATGTTTAATTAAATAATAGGTTACTTCATCTTCATTATTTGCATTATATAAAAATAGGATTTTTTATTAATAAGAAAATAGCAGATTCTTTTTGTGGCCTTAAGTTTTAGCTCTAAAATGATGCAAACTTTGCATTTTATAACATAGTATATTTTATACAACTTAATATAAAAATGATATTTTAAACCATCTGCCATCAAAAAACCTCTGTGGCCCTCGGAGAGGCTTCTTATATATCCGGGGACACCCTCAGCGTGCAGCTACTGCAGTGGCCTGGGGCACTTGCACCCAGGTGAGAGGTGCTACGGAGTATGGTGGTTTGTTAAACTAGCTGCCACTGTCCCAGGTTGTATCTTTAATGACTACCATTTAGGGAGCACTACTATGTGCCAGACTCTACGCCAAATGCTTTTATATGCTTATGCCATTTAAATTCTCACAACCACCTGCCTAAGGCCACACAGCTGTAAGGTGGCAGAGTGGGGATTCAAACACCTGTCTGCTTGGTTTCAAAGCCAACTGTGACCCCCTGCTGACTCTTAGAGGCCAAGGCTGAAGACTCTGGCTGAGTGAGTGGTGGTGATCTGGGGAAAGGACTGTTGTGGTGCAACTGGAAAGAGTGTGGGGGGTGTTCCGAAGGTAGTGCCTTATCTCAACTGATTGTTCACAATCAGTTACAGATCAAACTCCTTGTTCTGCTCCTTCTCCCTTCTCACTACTGCACTTGACCAGTCTTTAAAAAAAAAAATACATACAATGCAGGTCTAATACGACAAGGGTCAGAAAAGCTAGGCTTAGGTCTAGCTCTGCCTTTGACTAGCTATAGATTCTTTAGGGAGGCCCTCAGCCCCGTCTATAAATGGGACTATAAAGGTCTGTGAAAGGGGCAATGGAAAAAAGATGAATGTTGAGCCACATCTCAGGCTCCTTTCTTGCTCCACTGCTTATCAGCTGTGTCATCTTAGGCACATCACTACAACTCTAGGCCTGTTTCCTCACTTCTAAAATGTGAAGAACAATACCCACCTCACAGGGCTGCTGTGGGGATGAAAAATAATACCCATGAAACACCTGGAACAGAGTTTACATATAGTAGTTGCACAATAAATGCTTCCCAATAGTAGTTATCCTTGTAATAGTGGTATTAGCGATACTACTAAAGTATTATTATGTAAAGTAGTATTAGCAATGCTACTAAAGTATTCATATTTAAAATTGTGATTATTAAAGTGAGAAAAATGTATGAAAGGAATACTACAAATTAAGGTAATCCATTAAAAATAAGGAGCTGGAGGCTAGGCATGGTGGCCCACACCTGTAATCCCAGCACTTTGGGAGGCCAAGGTGGGTGGATCACCTGAGGTCAGGAGTTCGAGACCAGCCTGACCAACATGGAGAAACCCCATCTCTACTAAAAACACACAAAATTAGCCAGGTGTGGTGGCAGGGTCCTGTAGTCCCAGCTACTTAGGAGGCCGAGGCAGGAGAATGGCATGAACCTGGGAGGCGGAGCTTGCAGTGAGTGGAGATTTTGTCACTGCACTCCAGCCTGGGTGATAGAGCGAGGCTCCATCTAAAAAAAAAAAAAAAAAAAAAAAAGGAGCTGGAGGAGGCCCACCTTAATGTACGCCAAAATAGTTCTGCTTGTTGAAGGCCTGGAGTTCCCTGCAACAGGTGGGGAAGGGGATTAGCCTGGGGAAATAATGCCTGGGGCAAGTTGAAGCAGAGTTAGGGAAGATCCAGGTCCCTCTGCTGAGGGACAGTTTGGAGGACAGAGCCTGACCCTCCATGAAGAGAGACTCTCAAGGTCTCTTTTAGCTTTAACATTGGCTAATTGTGATTCTATGACTCAACCAGTCTGCCCTAATTCCTCAGTGTGGGCAGGACATGAAAGACCCCCCACCAGTATCTCAGTGAGTTTGTGTGGCCCCCACCTTGGCAGCCATACACAGACACTTCCCAGAGTCTCAGTGATGACGATTCTCTCTAAAGGGAACCCAAGCCTTAACCAAAGACCACCTCTCCATCTTCCTGCTGGGGCCTTTCAAGTCAGCCTAGAGGGAGTTTTCCAGAGCAGGTGGCTTCCTGAGTGGCCAAGATCATGTGGGCAGGATAGGTTCTCTTCTCGCTGGGTCTTTCCCCACTAAGCTGGTGTCCCAGGCACCTCTCTCAGTTTGGAAATCAGATTCTTTATGGTTTATTTTTGACACCAGATCATCTCTGCCCAAGTTTCATCAATTTGTCACTGTTTTTATTGTCAGCAATTGCCCATAACTGTAGCACATTTAAAATGTCATTGATCTTGGATTAACAGTGTCATAATCGGACAGTAATAGGTGTAGCCAGAACAGGAAGCCCAGGCCCTGAGATTGATGGCGCACAGCACACCAATTATATTCTGTCCATGTAAGTGATAAAAGAGTATGTAGGAGGCATTCAATAGATAAATTAGATATCGCTCCCAATTATGTCCTTTATTTTATGGAGTCATATGCTGCCCTTAGAACTTTTTTTCTTCATTTGGCTTGTAAAGGGGAATTACCTGACCCCCCTAAAGACTGGGACTGCCTCCCCTGCCTGTCCCAACTTGGGTTCTACCCTGATCCCTTCTGACTGGCTCATAGTCTTTCACCTGGGCTTTCTCTGGGACTCACCTAGGAGTTCCCCAGTGTGGTAGGTCCACAGGTGTAAAGGGAAGGAGGCAGAGGTGCTTCACCATTTGGGAAGGAGTTGGGTCAGGCCTTTGGGAAGGACTAGGAAGTCTGGCAATGTCTTTAATGTGACACTGCCCCAATAAATGAGACCTGGAGAGGGGCTGGAAAATGGGTAAAAATCCTCCAGTCCAGACAACAGAGCCTTCAAATTAGGACAACGAGTAATTGGCTATGAATGGGGAGGAAGAGGATGGTAAAAAGGTTTTCAGTCCTGAAGAAGTGAATTCATCCACCCCTCTACCTCCACTCCAGACTGGGTGGGGCCAATTCAAGCCCTTCCTCGGAAGAACTCCCGGAATCTTCCACATCCCCATTCTGATCCATATCAGATGACTTCCTCAGCTCAAGTCCTAGCTCTGCCACTGTGGTAGGGACATAATGTCAGCTTTCCTGGGGGAGGAAGAGGGCTCCTGTTTGCGAAAAAGCCCCAAGAATGGTTCATTTCCAAGAAGAGAGCTCACCTGAGGCAGGGAAGTGCCTGGCCAAGGAATAGAGGTACAGTGAAGGCATAACTTTATTAGAGGCCTGGTTTATAAGCATCTTAAACTCTGAGAACAGCCTTGACCTGGTCCAGACCCCTGTTTCCCCATCCCCCAAAGCCAGCAGGAAACACAGCAGAGGCCGAGACACCAAGTAGTAAACAGTGATCTAGGTCCATTGATCGAGCTTTCAAAGAGAGAGTGTCCATGGGTTGGGCTGCTCCCCATTGCCCTGTTGCCATCTCAATGTTATAAATAATTCTGGCACTAAGTGTCCTGTTACACGGAGAGGAAGTAGATCTTATGGCGTGAAACCTGAGAATATGGGTCATGGGAAGAGGGGTGACTGGGGGCAGGGGTAGAGATGGGGAGCGATCACCCCAAGGCTCCTCAACTATACCCCTAGGCTGGTGATAGATGAATTTCTGGAGCAGAGGATGGCATTTCAAGTGAAATGGTTATAGGAAATGAGTATGATTTAAACAACGTCTTGGCTGATAAGCACCAGCCAGCTGGGGGGAGATGGCAGGCTAGAAGTGGAGGAATCAAAAGCCCAGAGGCCCCCAGTGTTAAGTAGCTGTCTGAAGCTCCGCTCAAACACACGCACAAGCTTTGGTCTCAATATGTTTTTAAGAGCTGGTTATGATTTCCTTGAGGGCTGCTCAGATTAAGACTAGAGTGGAGCCCCCAGCTAAGCACCTCAATAACTGTCCATCACATCCTCTTTAGAAACAGCAGTCTCTTCCCCTTGGCTCAGGGACCCTGTAACTGGGGAGGGCTGTGAAGCTGCATGGCTTGTCAGCCTGTTCCCAGACAACATGGTGCCTGTCTGTCCTTTGCCTGGGGTCCTGCCCCAGATCCCAGGAACAGAGATTGAGCCCCACCCACAGAGATCTCTCAGTATTCAAGAAGAGAGAAAACATACAACCTAGAAAAGAAGAGAGGAAGCAAAGAGAGCAAAAGGATGGAAGCCAAGGAAGAGGAAACTGCCACCAAATCCAGAATTTGGGCCTTTCTCACCACATGCACTGCTGCCATCCTGGTCCAAGCCACACATTTCTCACTTGGATTAGTGCAATGACCTTTCAACAAGTCTCCCTGCATCTTCCCTTGGCCCCCTGTGATCTATTCTCAACACAAAACACAAAAAGACTATTTAAAAACTGAAGTCCAGGCCAGGTGCAGTGGCTCACGACTGTAATCCCAGCACTTTGGGAGGCCAAGGTGGGTGGATCATGAGGTCAGGAGCTCAAGACCAGCCTGGCCAAGATGGTGAAACCCCGTCTCTACTAAAACTACAAAAATTAGCTGGGCATGGTGGCAGGTGCCTGTAATCCCAGCTACTTGGGAGGCTGAGGCATAAGAATCACTTGAACCTGGGTGGCAGAAGTTGTAGTGAGTCAAGATTGTGGCACTGCACTCTAGCTTGGGTGACAGGGTGAGACTGTCTCTCAAAACAAAGCAAGACCCTGAAGTCCAATCATGTCTTTCCTCTCTACTTCACTCCGAGTAAAAAGCAAAGTCCTTAAGTTGACTTACGAGGCCAAACATCATCTGTTCCCTCCTTACCTCTCTGATGCCATCTGCCCCCACTCTTGCTCACTCCCACAGACTTGCCAGGCATGTTCCTGCCTCAGGGCCTTAGCACCAGCCACTCCCTCTACTTGGAATACTCTTGCCAAGATGTCTATGGGGTTTACTTCCTCTCTCACCTCTAAGTCTTTGTTCAAATACCATATTCTCAGTGAGATCTCCTTGACAACCATATTAAAAACCTCAGATTTCCCCTCCATGCTGATCTTTCTGTACGTGATCTATTCCTTTTCTGTAACAATTATCATTTTCTAATATATGATATAATTTACTTATTTAGTAAGAATATTGTTCATTATCTGTCTCTCTCTGCTAGAATGTAAACTCCACACAGGCGGGGGGTCTTTCTCGGTTTTGATCACCAATGTATTCTAAGAACTTAGAATAGTGCTCAATATTAATTGCTTAGTGTGTAAATGCAAAGGATGAGGTTCACCAGGGGAGGGTTTGGAGAAGAGACCAGAGGGGAGGCCATCCCAGGCTTGGGGTGAACTTGTGCCTTATCTCACAACAGGCCATGTGTGAGGATCTGAGAGTCAGAGTGTTGGACACAAGTTCATGAGTTGGGCTAGGCCATCACCTAAAATGGAGAGATTCAGTTAACAAAGAGACTAGGCTGGATTTACCTCCCGAATCTGGTGGAGGACTTGGCTTTAGGTTGGGATTTTACCATCTTCATGACCAAAGCATACTTGGGGATAATAATGCCAAAGGGATGTGCAGGGCAAGAATGAGGTGGTTGGGAATGGAGGCACACTGGGAATTCAGGTGGGGGAGGGTAGCTGAAAGAACAGGCATGTGTCTTCTAAGTCTGGAAAAAAGATTGAGGTGGAATTAGAGGGCCTGAAGGAAAATTGTGTATGCAAGTGGGAGGAAGAGCCTGGGTCCCTGGAAGCTATCATCTCCAAGAGCATGTTCCATCTCCACTGACGGCAGAATCAAAAGCCATGGGCTGCACCTAAAGTTGAAGGAACTAGAATGAGACATCAAGGAAGGCCTCCCAATAATGTGACAGGTGGTGGAGGGGAAGCACTGGGCCTTGTTCTCTGGAAAACTTGAGCAGGACCTAACTGGGTGCATACCTGAGCCAGGCTAACCCAGAGGGCACTGTGAGGCTCTGGGGTGGGAGTGTGGTATTAGAGCCCCTGAGAGGCTTCCTGCCTCTGCCTGGCTCCCAACTCCATCCTCTCACCTGTGAGGCTTCTGAGCTTCTAAGCATGCAGAAATGTCCTCTCTCCTGACCTCAAGTTTCTGCATCTTTTCAGAGTGGAAACTGAGAGTATGTAGTATTCCAAGGCCCCACCAGTCCAGGGGCCAAAACATGTGTACCACCTCTCCTCAGAATATCAGTGCTCAACTCAGTTTTGTGATGGCCTCAGGGTACAAGCCAGGAGAAGCAGAAAATACCTTTGGAGGTTATACAATTCAGTGGTTACTGCAGTTATAATGGAGTGAGGACATGGGTGGCCTGGGAGTTCTGAGGTTCCGGGGAGACTTACTTGTCACTGTATAACTTTTGGTGCCTTTTGTGTTTTGAACCATGTACATGTATTTCCTATTCAAAAAACATAAAACTATTAAAATCAGAGGAAAGCAACAACAATAATAACAACAAAGAATAGGTCTAGGGAAGTGGGAACTTGATGCCTCCAATTGCTACCCTGAAGGCAATGACCTGCCTCCTCTTGCCCATGTGTACCCTCCTCCACATCTGGCATCTCCATTCTCTAGAGGCTCAGAGAGGGGTGTGGCTGGCCTGATGTCACCCAGCATTTAAGACTAGCAAAATTCTGGGGCTTAGCTGTCCAGACTTTCAGTGTTGTCTTTCTTTTCTGATCCTCAATGACCCCATCTACTCATTGACCTCTCCATGTTTTTGGCAGAACTTTGCATATGCTACAAATCAACCTTCAATGGGTTATTTTTAAAACTGTGTGGTCTTAAATGCCATCTTTTCCAGGAAGTAATATATTTTCACAAAGAGAAAGAGATGACAGCTCTCCTCTCCCCCTGGTGTGGTGTCTGATGGTTCATTCTCTCCCTTCCTGCCTCCCTCCTCCCTACCACCCTCTACCACTAAAGTGGCTCTCCACTGAAACTTGGCCCTGTCTCTGATGAGATATGTGACCTTGAGCAAGTCATTTAACTTTTCTGTGTGTCTGTTTCTTCATCTAAAATTGAGGATCCTGACCTTCCTCCCATGGCTCTTCACTTATGCATTTGTACAGCAAGCATGTATTCTGTGCCTGGTGCTGAACCTGGCAGTAAGGATCACACAAGACAATGTATGTGAAGTTAACACAGAGACACAGAGAGTTACGCCAAGGCCTCCTTCCTTGGATGCTGTTCTGGGCTGGGTGCTCCAACCCCCTCATCTGGCATGCACTTGGAGGAACTGCTTCACAGTCTACTCCAAACCTCTCAACTTCTAGCATTGCTTCTGGGCTGAAGCCGATATCCTGCTCTGCATGAATGGTCAGGGGGTGCAGAAATAGCCTATTTCCCAGGCTTTTTCATTTGGTTAGATCCTTAGGCACCACTTTGCCTACAAGAAGGAATAATGCTGAAATCTGTCTGTTGGTCTTTAGTCTGGAATTTTCAGTGTCCACCTCTCTTGCCCTCTGTTGGCCTTTCCCTGGGAGTTGGGCTGGAACAAGGGGTAGGAAACGGATTCTATTCGTGTCCTCGCTCTGCTCATTTCTCTCCTTTCCTGAATCCCATGCATCCATGGAGATTGGTACAGTGGCAAAGATTCTGGGATTGGAAACTCACATTTGTCTCCCTCCAAATGTAAGCTGGACTGTGGAGGAAAGATGGTCCCTTCTTTAAAATGAACACCACCATCTCAGAGTATACAGGAGCTTGCTTCAGGCAGAGGAGGCAGAGCTGCCTTCCAGAGCTCTTGGCAGGAAGCTGTCCCCACTCCCTGCCTGACCACCGGGGATTGGGTGAGCATCACTGGGAGGGAGGGGTGTTTGTAGAAAAAACGTGCTGCTTCAGCCCTGGTCATTGCTGATGGACCATGACAGCAAGGAAGGTCAAGTCCAGACTAAGGAGGCACTTCTGGTTGTCAGGGACTGGGTTTAAGGTGAGAGGTTGGTTGGAACTACTCAGACATGGTCTTCCCAGAGCAAGGAGGAAGGATGAGATGATCTGGGAGTTGTGAAGGACTCAGGGGTTCCATGATGTTGCAGAGCTGGCAGTGACTGGGAGGATGCCAGGGAGATGTCAGTTCACCCATGTCTAGAGCAGAAACCCCATGGTCAGAGACCAGGTATCTGGAACCCCAACATTCCCAGCATAATGCCTCGCACAAGGCTAACTGGAGACTGAGGAAGACAAGTCCTTCCCTGGAAGATGGTGACAACACTGTGCTCACAGAAGGACAGCTACTTTAAAGCCCCAGCAAGAAAATGGTCCCAGACTGTGGGACCTGGAAGTACTTCTTCATGTCCAGCCTCAATCCTCCTTACCACAGCTCGATTGGATCTCAGTGCAACCTGTGGGATTTGTCCATGCCCAGAGGAGAACCCCAGCAAGGAATATGGACTTTGCTTTTAGGCCTACCCTGTTGGCTGTGGGAGATAGAACAAGTTGGCCAAACTGTCAAGTACCTGTCTCCACACCTGGGGAGTCCCCAGGAAAGTGGAGAGGGAAGATCTTCCAGGGAACGGCCATCCTCCATGAGGAGATAAGCAGAACAGCAGAGGGAAAGGAAGGTTCAGTGGCCAGGAGAGGTGGGGCTCAGGGAGTCCCTCCTGGCTGGGGGTGAGGGAGCTTCCTGGATGCTCAGCCTCTCCAAGCCCCTGAGGAAAGACTGTAGCTTCTGGAGGGCAGGAGCTGATCCTGCATCATCCAGGCAGTCCAGTGCCCAGCACACAGCAGATGCTCAAAACACATGGGTTGAATGAATGAGCCTGTGGTCAAGAGCCTGCCCAGCCAGCAGGTGGAGTGGGTCTTTGGAGAAGGGATTCCCCTCTCTGGGCCTCCATTTGTTCATTTGTAGAATGAGGGGCTGCAGTAGATTGTCTCTAAGGTTTTGTCGGCCCCTGACGATCTGTGGTTTCCTGTTTCCCTGCTCTCTCGTCAATTCCTTGCCAATTCTCTTTCCCTCTACAGCTTCTCTTTTCCTTTCCCTTTAAGTCTTTTTCTTCCACTAACCCCCAATCTCTGCACCCCCATTTTCAGTCTCTCCCCTCCCCAGACAATTTATCTGGCTTTCCCCTTTACAGGTATTTCTTCCTCTCTGCTTCTGGTAACTGCCCCCATCACTACTCTTCCCTGATGCCTTCAGTGTTCTGCGCCCCCTGCCCCCCAAAAGTCTCCCATTCTAGTGCCCCTTTCATCCACCTTAGATCCCAGAGGCGGGAGATTGGAAGAAAAGGAGGAGGGTCCTAAAGCAGCCTCTCCCCTGCCCCTGCAGTGTCCCCACAGCGATGTCCTCGTCCCCCCGCACCACCCTCCTCCCCGCCACGCCTCTCCCTCAGCAGCCGGTGCCGCACTGAGCCCTCGCCCCACGCTAATGCGATCTGGAGAGACCCGGGCGGGGCGGGCGGCGGGCAGTCTGGCCCAGCGTCCAGGGCGGCGCTGATGGATGGTCCCCTGACAGCAATCGCAGAATGAGGACGCGCCAGCGACGCTCTTGCCCGAGGCCCCGCTGTTTGGCGAGCCCGGGAGTCCCTCCCTCCGCAGCGTCTGCCTTCCAGGCGCTCTCAACTCACTCGGCTTTGCGGGAGGCTCAAAGCCTCAGGTTAGGGCAGAGGTGCGGGCTTCCTCTGCTCTCTCTCTCCCAAGACACTGGTTTCTGTTTGGGAGCAGATCCCTTCTTGGATCCACGCTGCTTCTGCGATTCTGAACAAACCATCAATCTCCTGAGTCTCAGTTCTCCCTTCTGTATAATGGCCTTTAAAGCCTGGTGGAGTGTTGGGGGCACAGGAGATAATACTGGGGAAAATCACGCTCTCTCTTAAGTAGAAACCGAATTTCACTTTTAGTTTACAATGCTCAGAATAATCTGGGCCAAATGTGCGAAGCCAAGTAAGAGCTGAGTGGCTACTCACACACAGAATATATGTTTATACACATACACATAATGTTTTTAGCATACCAGGACTGCTTAGACGTCTTTAAAGAGAACACTAGCCCAGGTCCTTCTCCAGGGAGGCGACTGTCTCCAGCAGGACTTTTTCTCCCCTCTACTGAGGCCACCTACCTGTCTTAAGCCCCCAGACCCCATCCGTTCTGGGGTTCCCCTGCAATCCAGAGCCAGGCTGAGGTGGTATGCGGGAAGATCTCCCTTTGGAAAATGTTTCTGGATAATTTCCCAACTCCTTGACCATGTTCTCCCCACCTCACCCACATTCAGATAACACAGGTTCTAAGGCTCCTTCACTCCTCCACCCCCGGGGGGGATACTCCTTGGGCCTGGCCCTGTGGAGGAGCTGGGAGGTGGGATCCAGAACCAATTGCAATTCTGGACGCACACTCAACCGCCTCCTCACTCCCTTTTAACCTTTCCCTCTCGTCAGAAGCCAAATTGAGATAGTCTTGAGTTTTGATTTAATTCCCGAAATGGAGTCATAATCTGCTTAGTGTCCTTTTTCCCGAGTCCTAGATACTGAAGTGTGTGTGTCTGTCAGGGGGAGTTAAAAGAGCAGCTCTGTGACCTTTGGAGGACCCTCACACTCACTCATCTCCCAAACACCACCAAAGAGCAGGAGACGCCATGGCCCTGAGTTGCTGGGTAGTATGATGATGGTACTGACAACTCACATTTACTAGGCACTTACCACATGCCAGTACTGAGACAGGCACTATACACGCATTTCTCACTTAATTCTCACAACTACCTTTCAGGTAGGTACCATTCATATCCCCAATTTACAGATGAAGAAACTGAGGCTTAGCGAGGTTAAGCAGTTTATGTTCCATCCTGCAGTGATTACAGACGGTCCTTGACTTATGATGCTTTGACTTACAATTTCTCAGCTTTATGATGATGTGGAAGTGATATGCATTCATTAGATACTGTACTTCTAATACTCATACAACCACTCTGTTTTTCACTTTCAGTACAGTATATTATAACATGTTGAATCTCATGTTGAATACATGAGATGAATAAATATCTCATGTTGAATACATGAGATATTCAACACTTTATTATAAAATAGGCTTTGTGCTAGATGATCTTGCCCAACTGTAGGCTGATGAAAGTGTCCTGAACACTTTAAGGTAAGCGAGGCTGAACTATGATGTTTGGTGGGTTAGGTGTATGAAATGCATATCCACCTTACAATATTTTCAACTTACTACAGCTTTATCGGGACACAGCCTCATCGTAAGTCAAGGAGAGTCTATTATTAAGTGGCAGAGCCCAAATTTGAAACTACACAGTCAGACTGCAGAGCCTGTGCTCTTAACCACTTAGTTGTGTGACACCTGGCAGGGTATTTAACTTCTACATGCCCTGTTCCCTCATTTGCAAAACACAGATAAGTAGGGATGATAAGATATTCCCTTCAAAGAATTATGTTGTGTAATTGAGCTAAGGCATTCACCATACTCGCAGTAAGCATTCAGTAGTTTAGGTGCCCTACACACTGGAGCAAGGTTGAGGAAGGGAAAGGGTACAATCCAATGGGCTATTAATTATTCATTGTTACTGTTGATAATAATAGTTATCATGCATTGAGATCCAACTGAGCATTGGCCACCCTACAAGGTAAAAATTATGTCTGTTTTACAGATGAAGAAACTGAGTTTCACATAGATTAGGTAAATTACCTAAAGCCATCCAGTTAATAAGTGACAGAACAGAGCTCTTGTTCAAACACTGGGCCCTTGACTCCAAAGCCTGCAGTTCCCAGCACCCCCAGGGTCACCAAAACCTGGCCTCTCCTGGGGGAGGTCAGGGCTGAGGCCAACAAGCCCAAGTCACACCCTTTACCACCTGGGACATGATTTTCTCCAGGTGAGCAATGTTTTCTTAAAAGAACAGGAGGACAGTAAATAATTAACTAAGACAGTTTCTCCCTCCCTGAAGCCAAGGTAGAACCTCCCCCCTACAGCCAACCCCCACTCTCCTCACTCCTGTTTCCTCTGGGCTCAAGTTTGTGGCCATTAAATAGAAGAGGAGAAAGTTTGAACCAGGCATGAAATATTTATCAGGTAATTACAATATGCAGATTCTGTTCCTAGGGGTGATTTATCTTTTTGGAAATATAGGAAAAGGTCCTGGAAACTTGTATCCTAATTGCTTGGCCTATTATTGTAGCAACCAGGTAGAAACTCCATTTACTATGTAATTACAAATTTTCCCACTACTGGAGGTATCTGCCTCTGCTTCTATCACTGGTGGTCTGGGGACCATATGCTTTTCTGATAAGAGATGAGCCTCTTAGAGGTCAATTTGTCAATTCCTCTGTCTCCTCTTTGGGTGGCCCCTTTGTAAATTCTAATAGCTATAGGAAATGAAAAAGGTGAGAGTCTCTGAAATTCTGGGATCTCAAGAGAAGCTAATTCTAAGTGAAAACCTCCCCGACTGAAGCAGTGCCACTGGTGAGGGGATGTCCAAGGTTGAGAAGCAGCTCTCAGCTGAGTATCCCTCCCCTCCCTTGCTCTGGCAGAAGTGTCAGCCCTCCCCTTATCTCTTGTATCATTTCCTAGGGCCTGCAACTCAACCTCTGGCTACACATTATCAACCTGGGGAGTTTTAAAAATCCAGATGCCCAGGCCCTACTACAGGCCAACCAAATTGGAATCTCTGGAGGTGGGACCCAGGCATCAGTATTTTAAAAAGCTTGTGGCCGGGCATGGTGGCTCACACCTGTAATCCCAGCACGTTGGGAGGCCAAGGTGGGCAGATTACCTGAGGTGAGGAGTTCGAGACCAGCCTGGCAAACATGGTGAAACCCCGTCTCTATTAAAAATACAAAAATTAGCTGGGCATGGTGGCAAGCACCTGTAATCCCAGCTACTCGGGAGGCTGAGGCAGGGATAATTGCTTGAACCCAGGAGGCAGAGGTTGTAGTGAGCCGAGATGTGCCACCGCACTCTAGCCTGGGCGACAAGAGCAAGACACCATCTCAAAAACAAAAATGAACAAACAAAAAAACTCGCTGGGGGTTCCAATGTGCAGCGAAAGTTGAGACCCTCTAGAGCTAATAGAAGAGTATCACTGCCTGGTAAATGGGCCCTGCTTATCTGCAAGACTGTGTAATTTTTATCCCTCCCTCTCTGGTGCTGGATGAGGCAATTCCTTCACTTTTTAGAACCTGAAGAACATCTCTCTTTCTTCACAAGAAGCTTGTAACACAATAACTACCACTTATCGAGCCCCTGCTGAATGCTTGGATCTATGCAAATAAAATTTAATCTGATCTACAGAACAACTCTATAAGGTCAGTGGGTATGTCTATTTTATGGATGGCTCAGAGAGGTTAAGTAATTTGCCCAAGTTTGTACAACTAGCAAGTGTCAGATCAGGGACTTGAATCACAAACCCATGCTTTTAACCCCTGTGGTACACTGCCTCTCACTTTCTCAAGGTCAGAAGGGAAGGGCTTCAGGTCCACCATATGAAGTGCCTACGGAATGTCTTGGGGAAGGAAAGACGAGAGAAGCAAGGAGAAGTATAGAGAAGCAGACAAGGGCTACACATGCATAGGGCATGGAGGGCAGAATGGTGGCTGGGAAAGACTGAAGAGGGTTTGTGGGGTTAAGAGGAGTTACCTGAAGGAGGGTGTGGTAAGCCAACAAGTGCATGGGAAGGGGGCAGTCGCTATGGAGATAGCTGGGGAGTGGGGGAACGGGGTCCAGGAGTGGGCGCCGGCAGTTGGAACATCCAGAACAGTGAGCAGTGCCCATCGTGGACTGGGTGGTTGGGGAGTGGGAGGGACCTCGTGTCAGAGGAGGGGTCTTTGTGAGCGTGCAGCAGTGAGGAATGCTCCGCCATGAATACTAAGGGCAAGAAGAGAAAGGGCCAGAGGGGGCTGGGTGATGTTTAGCTGCTGGGGTGATTAATGGGGGTGAACGGAGGGTGAAACTCAAGCCCTTCCAACGAAGATGGTGGGGAATGGTTGTCCAAGAACAACAGTGCACTGTTTCATGGAGAAAGCCAATGTCCAGGGGAGGGGTGGCTGAGAAAGATGCTAGGCACAGTTGCTCCTTCCCTTTTTTCCCAAGTTCTCTTGATTTACCACCAAACAGTAAATTAAACTATATTAGCCAGTTCCAGGGGACCCTCTGGATGGGCTTCCTACCTGCCTCCTGGCTTTGGAGAGACCAAGGAATGTTGGCATGGCTTGGAGAAAGAGTGAGTGAGGTCTGGGCTGAAAGCTGAGATGACTCCATGGACCACCCCCATCGTGGGGCACAAAATGGTAATGTGTTGGCAAGAGCCACTGGCTCCCTCTGGACCAGACAGGCACTGAGAGATACATGGGGGTTGGGACTTCAGGTGTCCTGTAGAAAGTGGTAGTGTTCTTAGAGCAGTTTTTAGAGAAGCCCCTTGGCCTCAGGGAGGGACACAGGGCTCCTTTTCTGTGAGAGAGAGAGAGTTGGGGGAACAAGGAGAGAGGGCTTCCCATGGCTCTGGTTTTAGGGTGTTGACCTGGGTTTGAAGAATGGAGATAAACCTTGTGGGAAATAACAGGTTTAAGCCACTCTCCCCTCATTTCCTACTGCTGTCTCTTCCTCTAGGTACAGCTGTTGGGAGCTGCATCTCCTACCCTCAGTCTCCCTGTCTGTGGTTCCAGAGGGAAGAAGAGGGGAAAAAAAGGATGAAGAGAATTGTTTCAGTGCTGGGGGAGGTGAGTTTACAGCAGGGATTTAGATGGGCATTACCTCATGGGATAGGAGCAATTTTCTCCCTCTCCAGGCCTCTCACAGATGTGAAACAACCGGCAGATCTGACTTTCCCACCCCTAACCATCAGAGGGGATGATATGACTTGAAACCTGTGCTTCTCGATTGAGAGGCTGGTGGGGGAAAGAGAGATCAGGAAAAGGGTCCAGATGTGTGTTCAGGGGTCCCCAGAGAGTTGAGGGAAACTAGCATCTCCTTAGGGTAAGGAAGACAAAATGACCATTCCTGATCCCAGATTGCTTAGATACTGTGCCTGGGAGTCCTCCCACCTCACCTTAATTCCTGTCTCCACACACAGCTTGGCCAAGTTTCTTCCCCTGTTGGAGTCTCACTCCCAATCCGCTACTCTATCTCTCCAGGAGCCTACAAAGCACTTTGAAATCCGAAGTTTGTGGGAAGTGGCTGTATTGCACAAATACTCTGAGGTGCAACATTACTTGACTGGTAATGAGGCAACCATCCCACCTAGGGCAGAGTTCAAGGACTGCCTTCAAGAGGGGCTGGCCTCAGTTTGCCTGTTACAGAAGCCAAGGGCTAACAGAGGCTCCCCTCTGCCTCACAAAGAAGGAGATAAATGGGTCCACTGGAGAGCAACGGTCACAATCAAGTCTTAATGATGAATTAATAATTCATAATTACCCCAGACTTGCAGATAAGCACAAGCCTACTGGAATTATTTCCCAGGGAGGAACACAGTCAGAAAGGGTAAGAAGGGGACTTCAGTACAGACATTACTTCCAGAGGCCGTTAAGTTCATTCCTCTGCTTCCCAACCAGAACCCGGAAGAGATTCATTAGCTTCCTTGGCTGATTCCTCCTAACAGCTACCACCCCCTGAGCTTCTAAACAGTGCCATATTGCCCCTCTGTTCTTCATAAGGCCAGAGGACCATTCCTACCAAAGTGACCTCAGAGCCTGGACTCTGGATTTCTGGCGTCTCTCTGTTCTCTGCTCCCCATTCTGCTATTTACATACGAGGTCCCCTGTAGGAGGGCCTGGTGCTAGGTGTCCCGGCGAGATGTGGACATCTTTCTGGCTCTTCTCCTTCTCTTATCTAAGTCCTCACATGGTGGGAAAATACCTCTCTAACGCTATGTAGAAAGAGAAGCAGGGAGTGCCCCTTCTAGCGTGGATGCCTTTGGTTCCCAGATCTGGATTTGAGGGGCTGGCTCTATCTCTTAAGACATTTACCTAGTATTGATAATGGAGATGGGGCCTAAATAGGGCTAGGGAGGCACACCCAACTCCCGACCCAGCTCTCTGCTGTTCCCCTTCCCAGTGCACACAATCCCAATTCCCACTCCAGAAATTTTTTTAAAAACATATCTTAAAAGAAACCTCGAAGAGCCAAGCAGACCCTCAGCTTCAAGGTATCTCCTCATTCTCTCTCTCTCTCGTTCGCTCTCTCTCTCTCTCTCTCTCTCTGTCTCTCTGAATCTACAAAGAAGGAGTGAGTTTTGTCTCTCCAAGTACTCAGAGCCTTAGATCACAAAGGGGCCTTAGATCCTGGTCTTTAGGAGATCTTTGACCACCACCTCTGCTGTGGCACGACCTTTGTCAAAATGCTAGAAAGAAGAGAGACTGGCTCTTAGACCAAGGGAATTTGGGATTTGAAAGGTCTTCCAATTACAATTCTATAGATTTCCTTCCCATTAGCCTTTTCATGTGCATCAAATGTAAATGGCAGGCTAAACCTACAGGATGAAGAGAGTTGAAAGACTGCTGTCTAAAAATGCCCTTTTCCAAATCTGTGGGTGCAGAAGCATATTGAAAAGCAGCTACCCAGCCTGGCGGTGTGGCACATGCCTGCAGTCTCACATACTTAAGAGGCTAAGGTGGGAGGACTACTTGAGCCCAGGAGTTTGAGGCTTCAGTAAACTATGATGGTGCCACAACAGTCCAGCCTGGGAAACAGAGCTGGACCACATTTCCAAAAAAAAAAAAAAAAAAAAAAAAAAGTAGTTACCCAGGTAAGGTGGATGATCAAGTACACCCAGTGAGAAGCACACAAACCTTACCCTTTGCCCAACTCTGCCCCTTACCTGGCCCATTTCTGGTCTCTAGAGGAGGATCAGTTAGGGGGTGTGACCCAAGTTACCCAGATAATTAACTGTGGAAGCACGATTTTTTTTTCACTCCTTTGGCCTCTAAATATGAGAGATCTTTACATCTCTTGCCTATCTCCCTCTTATTCTCTAACCTCTCTCCAACATGCACGCAAATCCTAGCAACAAAAAATCCTAAATATAGGAAGACAAACCTTCCTGACCTACCATTTTGGCCCACCTGCAACCCCTGTCCCCCGCACACCCACCCCCCAATTTTTTCCTCACCTGAGCCTCTGCTCTTCGCTTCTAAAATAAAAAAAAAGAAGGCTCCCTCTCCCTCTCCCCCTCCCCCTCCCTCTCCCCCTCCCCCTCCCTCTCCCTCTCCCCACGGTCTCCCTCTCCCTCTCTTTCCACAGTCTCCCTCTGATGCCGAGCCAAAGCTGGACTATACTGCTGCCATCTCGGCTCACTGCAACCTCCCTGCCTGATTCTCCTGCCTCAGCCTGCCGAGTGCCTGCGATTGCAGGCGAGCGCTGCCATGCCTGACTGGTTTTCGTATTTTTTTGGTGGAGACGGTGTTTCGCTGTGTTGGCCAGGCTGGTCTCCAGCTCCTAACCGCGAGTGATCCGCCAGCCTTGGCCTCCCGAGGTGCCGGGATTGCAGACGGAGTCTGGTTCACTCAGTGCTCAATGGTGCCCAGGCTGGAGTGCAGTGGCGTGATCTCGGCTCGCTACAACCTCCACCTCCCAGCCGCCTGCCTTGGCCTCCCAAAGTGCCAAGATTGCAGCCTCTGCCTGGCCGCCACCCCGTCTGGGAAGTGAGGAGCGTCTCTGCCTGGCCGCCCATCGTCTGGGATGTGAGGAGTCCCTCTGCCTGGCTGCCCAGTCTGGAAAGTGAGGAGCATCTCTGCTCGGCCGTCATCCCATCTAGGAAGTGAGGAGCGCCTCTTCCCGGCCACCATCCCATCTAGGAAGTGAGGAGTGTCTCTGCCCGGCCGCCCATCGTCTGAGATATGGGGAGCGCCTCTGCCCCGCTGCCCCGTCTGGGATGTGAGGAGCGCCTCTGCCCGGCCGCGACCCCATCTGGGAGGTGAGGAGCATCTCTGCCTGGCCGCCCTGTCTGAGAAGTGAGGAGACCCTCCGCCCGGCAGCTGCCCCATCTGAGAAGTGAGGAGCCCCTCCGCCCGGCAGCCGCCCTGTCTGGGACGTGAGGAGCGTCTCCGCCCGGCACCCCGTCCGGGAGGGAGGTGGGGGTCAGCCCCCGCCAGGCCAGCCACCCCATCCGGGAGGGAGGTGGGGGTCGGCCACCGCCCGGCCAGCCGCCCGGTCCGGGAGGGAGGTGGGGGGTCAGCCCCCGCCCGGCCAGCCGCCCCATCCGGGAGGGAGGTGGGGGTCGGCCACCGCCCGGCCAGCCTGGTCCGGGAGGGAGGTGGGGGGGGTCAGCCCCCGCCCGGCCAGCCGCCCCATCTGGGAGGTGAGGGGCGCCTCTGCCCGGCCGCCCCTACTGGGAAGTGAGGAGCCCCTCTGCCCGGCCACCACCCCGTCTGGGAAGTGTACCCAGAAGCTCATTGAGAACGGGCCATGATGACAATGGCAGTTTTGTGGAATAGAAAAGGGGGAAAGGTGGGGAAAAGATTGAGAAATCGGATGGTTGCTGTGTCTGTGTAGAAAGAAGTAGACATGGGAAACTTTTCATTTTGTTCTGTACTAAGAAAAATTCTTCTGCCTTGGGATCCTGTTGATCTATGACCTTACCCCCAACCTTGTGCTCTCTGAAACATGTGCTGTGTCCACTCAGGGTTAAATGGATTAAGGGTGGTGCAAGATGTGCTTTGTTAAACGGATGCTTGAAGGCAACATGCTCGTTAAGAGTCATCACCACTCCTTAATCTCAAGTACCCAGGGACACAAACACTGCGGAAGGCCGCAGGGTCCTCTGCCTAGGAAAACCAGAGACCTTTGTTCACTTGTTTATCTGCTGACCTTCCCTCCACTATTGTCCTATGACCCTGCCAAATCCCCCTCTGCGAGAAACACCCAAGAATGATCAATAAAATAAACAAACAAAAAACAAAAACAAACAAACAAACAAAAAGAGTAGAGTTGTCAGGTCAAACATAGGACCCTCAGTCAAATGTGAATTTCAGATAAACAGTGAATAATTTTTTTGGCAAAAAAAAAAAAAAAGAAGAAGAAGGAATTTTCAATAGTCCCACTTGTCAAGGGAAGACCATCTTTTAACCTTCAACAGCAGCGAAAGCCGTGTGAACTCTTGGTGAACCAAGATTGAAGTCATAAATCACGCATACAAAGGCGGCTGAGGAGGCTGGCGCGGGCTGCTGCACCTTTAACGCTTTCTGGGGCTGACAGGCGGCGGCCCAGCTAAAGTTCATAGCGCCCGGGGAGAGTCGCCTCCGCCTCCCCTCCCGCCCCCGCCTCCCCTCCCCCAGGCCGGCCCCGCCCCCGGCCCCGGACCAGTCCGCCGCAAGGCCGCCTGAGCTGCGAGCTGAGGAGGCCCCTTGGCTGTTCCTGCAAAGGGCCAGGGGGCGCATTTTCTCTCCTGCCAGCCAGCTCCAGCCTGGTCGTTTATTCCTGGACTTCCCTCATCCCCCACCCCCACAGCCTGCTGTATGTAAATAGGGAAATAGATCTACACGGACACAATAATTTAGCTTGTTTGGTCTTTGGCATTTTCTACAAGACCCCAAGAGATGGACTTTCCTCTCCCCTTCCTCCTTTTAGAAATGGCATCCTTCATCACTGTCTATGCATGCCCAATTATCCAGATCCCCGGGGCTCCAATAGGGTCTGAGTCATTGGAACCAGGAACACCTGGCTGAAACATGCCACATAATTAGATTTTCTTTTTCTTTACCTTTTCTTTCTTATTTTTATAAGAGGGCCGGAATTAGTCTCTTCGACTGGGGCGGAGTAGCTGGGATGTGGGAAAGGAACATCTTCATACAACTTCCAGCTTTCAGCCCCTTGGAGAGATCTCCAAGTTCCCCCGAGCCGCCAGGACTTCCTTTCCTCGATCTCTCGGCCGCCTCCTCCTCCTTCTCCGATCTTTTTTCCCCCTCCCCCCACTGTCTTCTCTATGGTTAAATTAAAGTTCAGCGTCTCCACTTGCCTCTCCTCTCATTTCTTTCGGAAAGCGGAAACCAGACGACCCAGCGGCCATGGGACGAGCCGCCCCAACTCAACCCCAGCAGGACGCTGGAGGGGCCTCCCTCCCCCGCCTCTCTTCGCCGGCGCTGGCCTCCCGCACCCGGGTCTGCAGTCCCTCCGCCATCTCGCAGGTGTGCGGCCGCTAGGCCTGGGGGATCCGAATGACTGGGGCTGGATAGGAATGCCTTCGTGTTTCCCAAGACCCCTGGGCCTGCTCCACAAAGTTTGAAGGGTGGGTACACACCAACCCAGGCAAGTTGCTCCCCCAAACCCATGACTGACTAATCTGATATGACAAAAGCCCATGATGGATTTGGTATATGTTAATTCACAATGCCCTTTCCTCCAGAATTTAACTATAAGTTAATACACACCGGAAACCACGCGCATACACGCTCCTTAATGGGCTTAGGTATTAGCGAGTCCTAACGATGCATACAAATGTGCTCTGCGCTCTGTAGAACCCTCAAGATTTATGTGCCTTGAGCTCTCTGAAGCTGTAAACAAGGAGAAAAAAAAAAAGAGAAAGCGAAAGCGACTGGGGGGAAGAGACAGAGGCCTGACTCGCCCCTCCAGGTTGTGGAGAGAAGGGATTCTTTATGTATTTTCCTTTCCTTGCAAGCTCGGTGCGTGTGGGTTTTGGCGTTGGTCTGGGGGTGGTGTTCTGCCTGAATGCTGGTGTGCGTGGGCAGTGTGTTGTTTGAGTGCTGCGGTAGGATGCCTGCCTCTTCGGATTGCTGTGCAGGGGCCTGAACACAGCAGGCATTTGTGAGCATATATGCATGAGTGTGCACTGTGTTAGGGTGTGTGTGTGTGTATGTGCGTGTGAGAAAGAGAGAGAGACAGAGAGGGAGAGGCAGGCTTCCCCCTGGGCCAGGCTGCTGTCCCCTGAACAGTGGTGAACAAATCTCTAACAACAATCATAATAACAATAAATAATGAATAATAATAATAAAACAGTAGTTAACAGTCCCTCCATAACAGAATAACAATAAAATGCAAGAGGAAATATTTTGAGGTGGAGACAGAAGGAGTCAGGATCACAGCATCTGAGGGGGAGATAGGAAAGGAAGGGAGGAAGAAATCTTAATATGCTCTTGGTGGGGCTGGGGTTGGGAACCCCTTTCCCAGACAAGGGACGGAAGAGGGGAAGGAGAGCCAGAGACCACTCTTTATTGCTTTTTTTCTCAGGCTTCTGCTTTGTGTGATCAGAGAAGGGATCCCACATATGGGAATGGTTAGTGGCTTTTGGGACTCTCCAGGAGCCTCTGTTTTAAGAATGAGGCCAAATGTGCAGGCTCAGGCCAAGCGGCAGAGATGAATGAGGTGATGACCACAGCCTTGATCCGGCAGGAGCTCAGAGATGCCCGGGAAGACGGGGGGCCCGAACGGAAGCAGAAAAACACTTATGGCCGCTGGGAAGTTGGGAGAGCGAGGCTGGGGCTCTGGCAGGCCCAGGGAAAGTTCCCTGTCTAGGCTCTTTATTAAAAAATTTAAAAGGAGGAGTTGAGGCACCTTGAATATTCCTTCGCGAGTTTGGAGACTAGCCGATTTTTCATGAAGCAAGCAAAGACCGCGGTCCCGGATCCTGCAACTTCTACCTCATTTTCTCCAGGTACAGTTTTCTGGTCGTTTAATTAGTTTGTTTTCTTGGCGGTGATGGGAATCACAGGCGTAGAGATAATAAGTTTGCTAGAGAGGAAGCCACCCCACAGTTTCGGGTCTAACAAAATCCCTCCTTTAAAAACATTTGTACCCCCAATAAAAATAAAATTAAAGAGGAATATAGAAGCACAAATTAGCCAACTTTTTTAAAAGAGAAAAAAGAAAAGAAAATCATCGTAACAAATGAGCGTGAGAACTTCTAAAAAATTTGTCACGAACCCTTTCAGAGGTCTGGATTCTTTTCCAGTAGCCAGTGACACATTTGGTCTGAAAAGAGAAATACACTATCCACTGAGTCACTTATTTAAAGCCAGCACACACACACACACACACACACACACACACACACACACACACACACACAGACACGCATTCAGAAAGCTCTGGGTGCCCTCACATTTGAAAACAACACCTGGTGGAGGACGCTGCGATACCTAATTGGACAAACAGCAATAAAATAAGACCAGTGGAAGTGCTGAGCACAGGGCGCAGGGCTAGGGCCCAGGTTTTGTGTTCAGGCCTGCGGCGAGGCAGCGGCCCTGGGCGATGGGGCGCCGGGCGGTCAGGCACCGGCTGGCGACTCCGCTAGGCCTCCGAAGCCCGGCCTGCAGACCCTTTCTCCCAACCTCTGTGCCTCGTGGGCTCTCTCCGCTCCGACGCCTGGTCGGGGCTTCCCTGTTGAGAGGGTTTTAGGCAGAAGGGCCAAACGACTCAAGCCAGACTCTGCTTTTTCATTTTTCTCCCTTAGGCCTCTCCACTTGCCCGAGCTCTCAGCCACCAGGAGACAGACGGAAGGGGCTTCTGGATTGCGTTGGGAGCGGGCACTGTCCCCTACCCACTCCTGCTCAGTTTCCCAAAGTCCAGCGACTTCCGACCCTCCTTGGGGGGAAAAATACCAGTACCCAGACACCTTTGCACCCTGTTATATGACTGGGCTTGCTTCAGGAATATCTTACAAAGAAGAAGAAGAAGAAAGAACGGCTTGGAGTCATGTTTACATCTAGTTCTACTGATCCGTTCACATCTGGAGAGTTTATTTATAACTCCCTCTATAACTCTCTGTTTGGAGACACTGTGGCTCTATTGACAGACTGATATCTAGGAAATATTGCTCTATGTCTAACCGTACCTAAATGTGCTGTGGTTGTATTTACAGATTTATGTTTGAGGGAAATATAACTATTTCCATTGTATTTGTGCATATACAGTAGTTATAGGAGCAGATTTATATATGGGAAAATATACGACTCTCTTACAGCCATCCAGCTTTATGTACATTTGATATCCTGACAGATTTATATCTCTGAACAGCTATATAGATAAAAACGTATATTGTTAGAATTATGTATCAGAAGATATATACTTATTGATTGTGAAATAGAGTAGTTAGAGCATTCATTTAGAGCCATATATGGCTATGGAGATATTGCTATATTATTATCACTATATATAGGCATATCTATTTATAACTACATAGTTATAAAAATACATATAAGTAATTACAGTCCTATATGTGCATGCTGCAATCTCTCTCTAGAGTTATAGACACTTTCAAATATAACTCTATAGAGAGATCTGTATGCATATAAGGTGTAATTATCTTGTGATGTGTTTACATTGGGACTTAGGCCCGTCTGTCTAGAACACACATATTTATATGTAGGGGCTGGGAGAGACTTGTTCATAGATATCTGCAGAGGGCCAACTGGAAACACTGTATCTGCCCTCTAGGAAACCAGCTAGGAGAGTTGTGTACTTACGGAGGGATGGAGTTACAAAAGGTAAATAGAGCTTAGTGAGCCTTAAGGAGGGGAGGTGAATGGAGGGTGGGTAGGTGGTGGGCTCCCCCAGGCGGAGACGGGGGAAGCAGCAGGGGCTCCCAGCCTCAGGCCTGCCCGGACGGTGTTGGTTGGAGTGAGTCTCCCCAAATGTCGTGCCGCCGTCCGTGATCTCGAGGACCGGTTGGCCTGCGTGCCCCTGGGCTGCTCTTTCACCCGAGGGTCGTTCTGGTTGACAGCAGAACCCCGCAGCCTCAGGGGTTGCCTGGTGGTGTGTGTTTCAATGCCTCTGCTGTATGACCCTTTGTTTGTGTGTGTGTGTGTCTCCCATTCTCCCTTCTCTCTCTGTCTCTCAGTCTCTGTGTGTTTCTTTCCCACTCTCTGTGGGTTTGTGTGTGTGTGCCCGTGTGCTTGTGTGTCTTTGGCTGAATATGCCCTGTGAACCACAGAGCTGTCTCTTGCATGGCGGCCTGTCTTTGTTGAACCTCTTTCTGTGTCTCTGCCTGGGTCATGAGGCCGGTTGTCAATCGTTTTCGCCCCCGCGGATCTGCTTTGGCTGCGTGAAAGCCTGGCCCACGTGAGAAGATGCGTCGGTCTTGGAGCAATTGCTGTCTCGTCCCCATCCTGAGCGTCCTCTTTTCTAGCATCAAGAGGAACACACTGCAGATGAGGACAAGAGCCCCACAGGAGCTCTTTGTCCCACAGGAGATCAGCGGACCCACGTCAGAGAAGATGTTTGAGTCTTTTCGCGGCTCTTCTCTGAGAAATGAAGCCACACCACGATACAGTCAGCAAGAGGAAGCCAGGAATGAGAGATGGCAACAATCCCTGTCCCTGGAACGCTGGCCTCCCTGCACAAGCCACCCTTTAGGAACCCCACCCCTTATGCCTGTGACGGTGGCAAGGTGCTGTATCCTGCCTGGGCTCCGGCCTCTGCTCTGTCCTCCCTCTTGCTCTGCCTCCCCTGTTTCTCAGGGACCTGGATGCCTCTCGCTCTGGCCAAATGCCTTCAACTAAGATGACTTCCCACTCCGTCAGGGAGACACTTCCTGGAGACCCGTGTCGTGATTGTTTGTCTCTCCAAATGTGTTTCTGCTTGATTGGGCAGGTCTCATGGCCCGGGAACACTTGGCTTCCATAGGTGTCTCAGGCAGGTGTCTTCTCCACGTTTCCCCTCATGGGTGGGTGGATTACCTAGAATGAGCGCTAGGCGACCGTGACTGGCCTTGTCTTCCACGACAGGTGGTGTCGCATTTCCTCTGCACTTCCTGTCTCATTCTTGAGGGACATCCTCTCCTCTGCTCCTGGGTGGACTGAACCCCTTGATCTTCTGGCCGAAACGAATGTAAGGGAAACAAAGGGACTGGTCTAGGGCTGGGGGCTGGGGCTGGGGCTCTGTGCAGCCGAAGTTGCGTCAGGGCTGCCAGGGCCTTGGAGGGTTGGGGTTGGGGCGAATTTTGCAGAAACCTCTTTGCTCCTCCGGTAGGCATTCGAAAACGTGGCTTGGGTCAGTCACAGGCCCCCCCCACACCCCTCGGGTCCCAGGTGTTTTCGATTTTCCTTGGCATTGATGGAAATGTCACCTGTTTTCCCCTTCCACCGGCACACGCCTGGACAACACCCTTTGTTTCGCCGTCGCCCCGTATGCCTCCGGTGACACACGTTAACACCAACTGCTGTGGGATAGGCCAGGGCCACGCGTAGTCACATGGTCTCTGCCTCGGGTTTGCTCCTGTTCCTCTTTGCAGGTGTCCTGTAAAGCCCTGTCGGCTTACCGGAGCCCCAGGGCTTTTAGAAGTGGGGCAGGCCACTGCTCTTTCAAAGGAGGAGGGCATTGAAAAACACACCTCCAGGCAATCCCTGAGGCTATGGGGTTCTGCTCTCGATGAGAACGACCCTCGGGCGAGAGAGCAGCCCAGGGGCATGCAGGCCGAACTGTCCTAGAGATCACGGACCGAGGCACGAATTCTGGGGAGACTCACCCCAACCAACACCATCCGGGCAGGCCTGAGGCTGGGTTCCTGTGCTGCTTCCCCCGTCTCCGCTGGGCTTTCCTCATGGTGGTCGGCCCTTTGCGACTCCTGGCATCTGGAGACATTCCCGTCGACCCCGTGAAGTTGTTAGGCCGGAGCCTCAGATCCCCGAAACCCAAGCACGCCAGGGAGGGCTCCTGCTTCGCCAAGCCTCGGAGACTGGTTTCTAAGACAACCGTGGGAACCACTGTGACGGGAGAAGCCGCTCGCGCCTCGCGCATGCGCATTGGGTGAGACGATTTGCGCTCCACTCCTGAGAGATAGGCTGCGTCCCCTTTAAATATCGCCACTGCCGCGCGGCGGCCGCGATGCTCCTGCTGCCGCCGCGGCGGCGGCTGGATCCTGGGTCCTGTTTGGGGTGGCGTGGGAGAGGGGGCCGCGGGTGTCTCGTCCTGTCCCAGGCCCAAACCCCCAGGAGTCCTGTCCTCAGGACCTCCTTGAGCCGACTTCCACTGAGGGAGGGGGAGCTTCAGGACGCCTGCTGTGTTCTCCGGACTCCCGTTGAGATCCGATTTTGGCCCCCTCCCAGTGAGATAGGATGGGCTCACCACATCTGGTGAGGCAGACAGGGCCTCGCTGTAGCACAGAATGATCCCGTAGGTCTCAAGGCCTGGTGTCAGCTGCAAATTCACTGATCCATCAGCCCTCTGCCTCCCTCCTCCTTTGAAAGAGCAGTGGCCTGCCCCGCTTCTAAAAGCCCTGGGGATCCGGAAAGCCGACCGCGCTTTACAGGTCAACTGCAAAGAGGAACAGAGGCGAATCCTAGGTGGAGACCATGTGACCACGCGTGGCACTGGCCTATCCCACAGCAGTTGGTGTTAATGTGTGTCACCGGAGGCATACAGGGCGATGGCGAAACAAAGGGTGCTGTCCAGGCATGTGCAGGTGGAAGGGGGAAACAGGTGACCTTTCCATCAATGCCAAGGAAAATCAAAGAACACCTGTGACCCCGTGGGTCGGGGTGCTGCCTGTGCCTGAGCCAAGCCACGTTTTCAAATGCCTACCGGAGGAGCAAAGAGGTTTCTGCAAAATTCGCAACAACCCCAATCCTCCACCAACCCGGTAGCCCTGACGCAACATCGGCTGCACCCAGCCCCAGCCCCAGTCCCAGCCCCCAGCCCTAGCCCAGTCCCTTTGGTTCCCTGACATTCGTTTTGGCCAGAAGATCAAGGGAGTCAGTCCACCCAGGAGCAGAGGAGAGGATGTCCCTCAAGAATGAGACAGGAAGTGCAGAGGAAATGCGACACCACCTGTCGTGGAAGACAAGGCCAGTCACGGTCGCCTAGAGCTCATTCTAGGCAATCCACCCACCCATGAGGGGAAATGTGGAGAAGAAGGAAGCTTCCCTGCCTGAGACACCTATGGAAGCCAAGAGCTCCCGGGTCATTAGACCTACCCAATCAAGCGGAAATACTTTTTGAAAGAGAAACAATCACGACACGGGTCTCCAGGAAGTGTCTCCCTGACGGAGTGGGAAGTCATCTTTGTTGAAGGCATTTGGCCAGAGCGAGAGGCATCCAGGCCCCTGAGAAACAGGGGAGGCAGAGCAAGAGGGAGGACAGAGCAGAGGCCGGAGCCCAGGCAGGATACAGCACCTTGCCACCGTCACAGGCATAAGGGGTGGGGTTCCTAAAGGGTGGCTTGTGCAGGGAGGCCAGCGTTCCAGGGACAGGGATTGTTGCCATCTCTCATTCCTGGCTTCCTCTTGCTGACTGTATCGTGGTGTGGCTTCATTTCTCAGAGAAGAGCCATGAAAAGACACAAGCATCTTCTCTGACGTGGGTCCGCTGCTCTCCTGTGGGACAAAGAGCTCCTGTTGGGGCTCTTGTCCTCGTCTGCAGTGGGTTCATCTTGATCCTAGAAAAGAGGCCACTCAGGATGGGGATGAGACTTCAATTGCTCCGGGACCGAAGCATCTCCTCACGTGGGCCAGGCTTTCACCCACCCAAAGCAGATCTGCGGGGGCGAAAATGATTGACAACCGGCCTCATGACCCAGGCAGAGACGCAGAAAGAGGCTCAACAAAGACAGGCCGCCATGCGAGAAACCGCTGTGTGGTGCACAGGGCACATTCAGCCAAAGACACACACGCACAAGGGCACACACACACAAACCCACAGAGAGTGGGAAAGAAACACACAGAGACTGAGAGACAGAGAGAGAAGAGAGAATGGGAGACACACACACAGACACACACAGGCTCACACACACACATACACACACAGACTCACACACAGAGTCATCCAGCAGAAGTATTGAAATACACACCCCCAGGTAACCCCTGAGACTGCGGGATTCTACTCTCGACGAGAACGACCCTCGGATGAGAGAGCAGCCCAGGGGCACGCAGGCCGACCTGTCTTAGAGATCACGGATGGCGGCACGACTTTTGGGGAGAGTCAACCCAACCAACACGGTCCGGGCAGGCCTGAGGCTGGGATGCTGTGCTGCTTTTCCCGGACTCCGCCTGGGGTTTCCTCATCCTGTTTGGCGCTTTGCGACTCCTGGCATCTGGAGACGTTCCCGTCGACCCCGTGGAGAGGTCAGGCCGGAGCCTCAGAACCCTGACACCCATGGACTGCCGCGGAGGGCTCCTGCTTTTCTAAGCCTCGGGGACTGGTTTCTAAGACAACCGTGGAACCACTGTGATGGGAAAAGCCACTCGCGCCTCGCCCAGGAGCATTGGCTGGGCGGACTCGCGCTCCGCTCCTGGCAGTCAGGCTGCGTCCCCTTTAAATAATGGCAGCGCTGCGGGGTGGCAGCGAGGCTCCTGCTGCAGCCGCGGAGTCGGCTGCATCCGGGGTCCAATTTGAGGCAGCGTGGGAGAGGGGCCCCGGGTATATTGTCCCAGGGCAAAAGCCCCAGGAGTCCTGTCCTCAGGACCTCCTTGAGCCGACTTCCACCGATGGAGCGGGAGCTTCAGGAGGCTTGCTGTGTTCTCAGGACTCCCCTTCAGATCCATTTTGGCCTGCTGAATGAGATAGGATGGGCTCACTACATCTGGTGAGGCCGTAGGGCCTCGCTGCAGCACAGAATAATCCCATAAGTCTCAAGGCCTAGTGTCAGCTGCACTTTCACTGATCCATCAGCCCTCTGCTTCCTTCCTCCTTTGAAAGAGCAGTGGCCTGCCCCGCTTCTAAAAGCCCTGGGGCTCCGGAAAGCCGACCGCGCTTTATGGGACTGGTAGAAAGAGGATCAGGGGTGAATCCGAGATGGAGACCATGTGACCACGCGTGGCACTGGTGTATCCCACAGCAGATGGTGTGAATGTGTGTCACCGGAGGCATACATTGTGATGGCGAAACCAACAATGGTGTCCAGGAATGTGCCCGGTCGAAGGGGGGAATGAGTGACCTTTCCATCAATGCCAAGGAAAATCAAAGAACACCTGGGAACGAGGAGGGTGCCTGTGCCTTAGTCCAAGCCACATTTTGAAATGCCTGCCAGAGGATTAAAGAGGTTTTGGCAAAATTCACCCCACCCCCAACCCTCCATGGCCCAGGTAGCCCTGACCCAACCTCCCCTGCAACCAGCCGCAGACCCAGCCCCAGCCCCAGCCCAGTCCCTTTGGTTCCTTTCCCCGACATTCGTTATGGTCAAAAGATCCAGAGACTCAGTCCACCCAGGAGCAGAGGAGAGGATGTCTCTCACGAATGAGACATGAAGTGCAGAGGAAATGCGACACCACCTGTCCTAGAAGACAAGGTCTGTCACGGTCGACTAGCGCTCATTCCAGGCAATCCACCCACCCATGAGGTGAAACACGGAGAGGAAGGAAGCTTCCCTGTCTGAGAGAAGTATGGAAGCCAAGAGCTCCAGGGTCGTCTATCCTGCCCCATCAAGCAGAAACAGGTTGAAAGAGATAAACGATCACGACAGGGATCTCCAGTAAGTGTCTACCTGACGGACTGGGTTGTGATCATTGTTGAAGACATTCAGCGAGAGCGAGAGGCATCTAGGCCCCTCAGAAACAGGGGAGACAGAGCAAGAGGCAGGACAAAGCAGAGGCCAAAGCCCAGGCAGGATACAGCACTGTGCCACTGCCACGGCCATGAGGGGAGGGGTACCAAAAAGGTGGCTTTTCCAGAAAGGCCAGCGTTCCAGTGACTATCTGTGAAAATGCTTTGTGATGCGTGGGTTATCCCTCAGAGTTAAACATTTGTTTTGACTTAGCAGTTTGGAAACACTCTTTTTTAAGAATCAATGAAGGGATATTTTGAAGCCCATGGATGAGTATATTGAGAAACTAAATATCCCACCATAGAAACTAGCAAGAAATTATTAGTGAAAATGCTCTGTGATGTGTGGATTCATCTCACAGAGTTAGACTTTTGTTTTTATTCTGCAGGTTTCAAACACTTTTTTGTGGAATCTACAAAGGAACATTTCAGAGCCCACAGAGGCCTATAGTGAAAACTGAATATCTTGTGATAAAAGCTAGAAACAAGCTATCTGTGAAAATGTTTGTGATGTGTGGATTTATCTCATAGAGTTATACCTATGTTTATATACAGCAGGTTGGAAACACTCTTTTAGTAGAATTTAAAATAAGAAATTTCTGAGTCCTTGAGGCCTATTATAAAGAAATGAATATCCCTGATAAAAACTGACAACAAATTATCTGTGAAAATGCTTTGAGATATGTGGATTCATCTCGCAAAGTTAAACCCTTGTTTTGGTTCAGAAGGTTGAAAATACTCTTTTTGTAATATCTATGAAGGGATATTTTGGAGCCCATAGAGGCCTATACTAAAAACCAAATATCCCAGGATAAAAACTAGAAACAAGGTATGTGAGAAAATGTTTTGCAATGTGTAGAATCATCTCACAGAGTTAAACCTTGTTTTGATTGGGCAGGTTGGAAACATTCTTTTTGTAGAATAAAAGAAGGGACATTTTGGAGCTCATTGAGGCCTATAGTGAAAAACCACATATGCCATGATAAAAACTAGAACAAGCTATCTGTAAAAATCTTTTGCAATGTGTGGTTTCATCTCACAGAGTTTAACCTTTATTTTGACTTAGCGCTTTGGAAACACTATTTTTCTAGAATCTGCAAGGGTACATTTCAAACCCAATGAGGCCTGTAGTAAAAAACTGAATATCCCACGATGAAAACTAGAAACTAGCTATCTGTGAAAATGCTTTGAGATGTGTGGATTCATCTAATGGAGTTGAATGTTAGTTTTGATTCAGCAGGTTGGAAACTTAGCAGTTTGGAAACATTCATTTTGTAGAATCAAAGAGGGGACTTTTCTTAGCCCCCTGAGGCCTATAGTGAAAAATCAAATATCCCGTGATAAAAACTAGAAACAAGTTATCTGTAAAAATGCTTTGCAATTTGTGGATTTGTCTCACAATGTTAAACCTTTGTTTTGATTTAGTAGGTTGGAAACTCTCTTTTTGTACAATTGATGAGGAGATATTTCAAAGCCCATTGATTGAGGCTTGTAGTGAAAAACCTAAAATCCTAATAAACACTATAAAGAAGCTGTCTCTGAAAATGCTTTGAGATGTGTGATTTCAACTTATAGAGTTAAATCTTTCTTTTTATTCAGCAGGTTGGAAACATTCTTATTGTAGAATATACGACAGGACATTTCAGAGCAAATTGAGGCCTGTAGTGAAAAACAGAATATATTGTGATAAAAGCTAGAAACAAGGTATCTGTAAAAATGCTTTGTGATGTGTAGTTTTATCATACAAAGTTAAACCCTTGTATTGCATCAGCAGGTTGGAAACTCTCTGCTTGTAGAATATATGAGAGGTCAATTTGGAGCCCATATTGGCAGGTAGTGAAAAACCAATATCCCATGATAAAAACTAGAAAAAAGCTATCTGTGAAAAAGCTTTCTGATGTCTGGATTCATCACACAGAGTTAAATCTTTGTTTTGATTCAGGAGGTTGAAAACACTGTTCCTGGAAAATCTATGGAAGGCGGGTTGGAAATACTTTTTTTTAGTAGAACCTATGAAGAGACACTTTGGAGCCCATTGAGGACTGTAGCAAAAATACAAATGTCCCATGATGAAAACTAGAAAAAGTTTTATGTGAAAATGCTTTGCAATGAGTGGATTCATATCACAAGGTTAAAGCTTTGTTTTGATTTAGCAGATTGGAAGCACTATTTATGGAGAATCTACAAAGGGACATTTTATAGCCCATTGAGGTCTCTTTTAAAAAATCGAATGTCCCACAATGAAAACTAGTTATAAGCTATCTGTGAAAATGCTTTGTGATGTACAGATGCTTCTCCCAGAGTTAAACCTTTGTTTTTATTCTGCAGGTTGCAGACAGTCTAATTCTGGAATGTGTTAAAAGACATTTCAAGGCCCATTGAGAACTACAATAAAAAACAAATATTCCTTGATAAAAACTAGAAAAATCTATCAGTGAAAATCCTTTGTGTTGTGTGGATTCAACTGAGAGTTAAAATTGTTTTGATTCAGCAGGTTGGAAAAACTCTTTTTTAGAATCTATGAAGTGACATTTCACAGCCCATAGAGGCCTATAGTTGTAAAACCAAATATTCTGCTATAAAAACAGGAAACAAGCTATCTGTCACAAAGTTAAACCTTTGTTTTATTACAGCAAGTCGAAAACAATCTTTTTGAAGAACATTCAGAGGAATATTTTGAAGCCAATTGAGGCCTGCAGTGGAAAACCAAATATCTTATCATAAAAACTTGAAAGAAGTTATCTCTGAAAATGCTTTGTGATGTGTTCATTCGTCTGACAGAGATAAACCTTTATTTTGATTCAGCAGGTTGGAAACACTCTTTTTGTAGAATCTGGGAAGGAACATTTCTGAGCCCATTGAGGCCTATAGAGAAAAATCTAATATCCTGTGATAAAATCTAGAAACAAAATATCTGTGAAAATGTTTTATGATGTGGGAATTCATCTATCAGAGATAAAACTTTTTTTGATTCAGCAGGTTGGAAAAACTCTTTGTAGAATCTATAAAGGGATATTTCAGAACCCATTGAGGCCTACTGTGGAAAATTGAATATTCTGCAATAAAATCTAGAAACAAGCTATCTGTGTAAATGCTTTGCCATGTGTGGGTTCATCTTACAGAGTTAAACCTTTGTTTTTATTCAGCAGGTTGAAAACATTCTTTTAATAGAATCTACAAAGGGACGTTTCAAAGTACATTGAAGGTTATACTGAAAAACCTAATACCAGTGATTAAAACTAGAAGCAAGCTATCTGTGAAAATGCTTTCTGATATATGGATTTGTTTCACAAACTTAAACCTTTGTTTTGATTCAGCAGGTTGGCAACACTCTTTTTGTACAACCTATGAAGGGACATTTTGGAGCTCACTGAGGCCTATAGTGAAAAAATGAATATTTCAAAATAAAAACTAGAAACAAGCAATATTTGAAAATGGTTGGTGGTGTGTGGATTCATCTCACAGAGGTAAACCTTTATATTGATTCAGCACACTGGAAACACTCTTTTTAAAGAATCTACAAAGGAACATTTTGGAACCCATTGACAAGTATATTGAAAAAGTGAATATGCCACGATACATACTAGCAACAATCTATTAGTGAAAGTGCTTTGTGATGTGCGGATTCATCTCACAAAGTTTAACCTTTATTATCATTCGGTAGGTTGAGAACACTCTTTATATAGCATATACAAAAAAAAAGATATTTTTGTGAACATTGAGGACTAAAGTAAAACACGAAATATTTCACAGTAAAAACTAAAAACTGTCTATCTGTGAAAATGCTTTGTGAAGTGTGGATTTATCTCACAGAGTTAAACCTTTGTTTTGATTCAACAGGATGAAAACACCTTTTTTGTAGAATCTATGAAGGGACATTTCAGAGCCTATTGTGGACTATACTGAAAAACCTAATATCCCGGCATAAAAACTAAAAAGAAGCTATCTTTGCAAATGATTTGCGATGTGTGGATTCATCTTACAGAGATAAACCTTTTTGTATCAGTTAAACCTTTTTTTTTATTCCCTGCAAGTTGGAGTCCTCCCACCTGACCACAGGGCCATGTTGTGGACAGCTTGTGCAATGAAGGGAATGCAAGGATGGAGTTGGAAGCACTTCCTGTGTCATCTGGCTGCACCTTTTTTTGCAGATGAAGGTGCAGGACCCCATCCACACCTCAGCAGACTGTATGCTCACCCGTATCTGACCTTATTGCTGCTCACAATCCTAGTTCTGGAATGAAATCCCAAGATGTTGGAGGAGTGCTCCTTTCATGACGTGAAGCACCTGCTTGGCTGCAAACCAAATTCGAATTGGATTTAAGCGGCCTGTGGACAGGACTGCTAGGGTCCTGTCCTGGGTTGGCCACAGGACAATGAGGCCCGGACAGGTGTCTTCTCCTGAGAGTGGTGTGCTCCTCTTCTTTCTAGAAGAGTGGCTCCTTTTTATGAGGAGGTGATTTGTACACCTGTGAGTCTCAACCATCCCCCCCAACTCACCGTGGACTCAGGAAGCACAGAAAAACAAAGAACATGCAGCCCCATAGGCCAAGCAGAGCCACACAGACAGGTGCACCAGAAGGTGAAGGGACTCAAAAAAAAAAAAGCGCTGCAGTGCATTAAACATATTCCTTTTAGCAGATGTCCCCCCCCCCACACACAGACACACACAAACACACATACAGCCACACACACACATGCAGACATTCAAACACTCACAACACTCCCACAGAAACACACAGACTGACAGCTCCTGAGGCTGCACGGTTCTGCAGAAAGCCCCTTCTGAGAGAGAGCAGCCCTGGAAAACAGAGGCGGGCTGTACTTAGAAATCACAGGGAGGGAAGTTTCAAAAAGACTCACTCCCACACCGCCTAGGCAGGCCTGACCCATCGTGGGTATCCTTTTGGATCCTTAGGGATTTTGTGGTTTATTCCTGGGGCTCCACTTGATGTGTCTTCAGGCTGGCTCGCCACTGCCCACTCCTAGGATTGTGGGAATATCCCATAGAGCCCTCAAAGTAGACAGGTGATAGTTCAATGCCGACACACAGCCACAGAGGACTCCTTCTCCACCAAGATGAAGGGACTTATCACTAGGCAATGGTGGCATTCACTGTGATGTGAGCCGCTGCTCACCACTGGTGCCTGGTGGCCTGACTGTCACATGCGCATTCACAAAGCAGGCTCAGGCACCTGGCTGTCAGGGCTGTAAGCCTGGCAAAGCTCAGGAAAATGGTACAGCCAGAGCTGGCCTAGTTTCCAGAAAAAGGCTGCCTGCAGCAACCAACTGCTGCATGCTAATAGTCTCCAACATAGGGCCTTCATGAGCCATCTCCGTGGTAGGGTCCCACAGGAGAAGGAGGAGTTTGAAGACTGTGAGGTGGGCTCTGGAGACTGCTCTTCTGACTCCATTCCCAAAAGAGGCTGTGTGCATGAATTCGGTCTCCTGGGGATGGGAATAAAGTCTGGTGAGTTGTTAAGAGGTCTCTGGGTGATGGAATAATATCTGAGATCCAAGAGGCAGGTGTCAGTGGAAGATGGCCAGGCCCTTGAACCCCCTGCCTTTCTTCATCCCGGGCCTCACAGGGGCTCCTGCTTCTCAGCATGGCTCTCTGGTAAAGGCAGGAACCATGACAAAGGCAAGTCCAAGGTGGAGCACTGTTCTCACACCTAAAACAGGCCTCTTGCAGGTGCACATGAGGTTAAGAGAGTGTCTCAGAGGATGTCTGGGGCATTTTGAAACCTGAAAATAACATCCAGGAGTGCTGTTGATGGGCACTGTGGACCCCCCATGAAAGCAAAGAAAAGTCAAGGTTCTCCTGGGAGAATGAGCAGACTTGTGCAGGAGTCCAAGCCATGTTCAAGGTTTCCTGCCAGAGAACTTAAAAGCCTCCTGCAAAGTGTAAACAATGCCAGCCACCATTATGAGACCACTACCCACAACTTGGTGTGTGGCCAGCCTACCCAAAATACCTTTTGCTTTCTGATATACCTGGCAACCAAAATATCCACAATGAGTCAGTCCCACCCACCAACAGCCCAATGAAATACCCCATCCACAATGAGAAAGGAAGTGCAGATGACATGAAACAGAGCCTAGATTGCCAGGTAAAAGCCAGACACAGCTGCCTGTTTCTCATCCTACAGGAGTCATGCAGCTGTCCTTTAGAAGTGGGAGAACAAGTTATCTTGATGGTGGATATAATCGAAATTTATGATTCCAAAAGTATCACAACTGCCCAGTAATTAAAATGTGACAGTGTTTATAAGAAAACACTCATGCGATGGATTCCCATGAGAATTATCCTCCATGAACTGGGAAACTTTTAGTGTGGAAGACTTTGAGCCAGACCCAGAAAAACCCCAGGTTCATGAGGAACATGGAAGTCAGACTGAGCCAGACCTAGGAAACTCTAGGCCCATAAGGAACATGGAAGTCAGGAAAATAGGTTGCCAGTGTGGAGGCCACATCCAACCCAGCATCAGTCCATCTCACTCCAATGTGGCTCTGGGAATGGAAGCTCAATTCTGGAGCTGGCCAGAAGGGCCCCATTTTGCAATCCAACTTTTCCCTGCACGATTGAGTCATCCCACCTGGGCACCAGGCCATGCTGTTGACTGTGCAATGAACGGAATGAGGGGATGCAGTTGGAAGCAACTTCTGTGTCATCTGTCTGAACCTTTTTTGCAGGTGAAGGTGCGAGATCTCATCCACACCTCAACAGACTGTATCCTCACCCCTATCTGACCTTATTGTTGCTCACACTCTGTGTCCCACAATAAAATTCTGAGACAATGGAGGAGTGCCTCCCTGATGACCTGAAGCACCTGCTCAGCTACAAACAAAAATCGAGGTAAATTCAAGAAGCCCTGTGACTGGACTGCTGGGGTCTGGCCCTGGGTTGGCCACAGAACAATAAAGCATGGGGAGTTGTCTGTTTTGGGGTGTGGTGTGCTTCTCTTCTTTGTAGAAATGTGGCTTTTTGGCAAGGGGAGGTGATTTTGAACCTGGCAGTTGTCAGCCATTCTTCCAATTCACTGTGGATTCAGGAGCCATGGAAAAATGAAGAACATGGAGAACTTCAGCCCAAGCAGAACCACAGAGACAGGCCACCGGAAGATGGGGTGACAAAAACAGTGCTGCAGTGTGTTAGCCACATTTCTTTCAGCAGACTCCACTTACCTCCACACACAGACACACACACACACACACACTCACATGACCGCAGCCACACACATATCCACAACTTGAAACACTCCCACAGAAACACACATCCCAGCAGCTTCAGAGGCTGTGTGTTTCTGCAGGAAGCTCCTCTTTGGAGAGAGCAGCCTGGGGAACACAGGCAGACTGTACCTAGATATCACGGAGAGGGGCACATTTCAAAAAGACTCACCCCCACACCCTCCAGGCAGGCCCATTCGGGCCATCTTCATGGTCAGGTCCCGCTGGAGAAGGAGGCACTTGGAGACTGTGATGTGGGGCGCTGGAAACTGTTCCTCTGATTCCATTCCCCAAAGAGGCTGTGTGCAAGAATTGGGTCCCATGGGGGAAGGGAATACAGTCTGCTGAGATGTTAAGGGGTGTCCAGGTGATGAAATCATACCAAAAACCCCAGAGGCAGATGTCAGCAGAAAATGGCAGGGCCCTTGAGCTCACTGCCTCCCTTCATCCTGGGCCTCACAGGGGCTCCTACTACTCAACATGGCTCTCTGGGAAAGGCAGGAACTATGACAAAGGCAAGTTGAAGGTGAAGCAGAAGTCTCACACTTTGAACAGACCTCACGAGTGCAGATGCAGTTCAGAGAGTGTCTCAGTCGCCGTCTGAGGCAATTGCAAGCCAAAAAAAGTGTGTTTAGGAGCGCTGATGAAGAGTAGTATGGACTCCTCATGAAAGCAATGGAAAATCAATTCTTGCCTTGGAGAATGAGAGGGCCTGTGCTAGCGTCCAAGCCATGTTCAAGGATTCCTGCCAGAGGACCCAAAAGCCTCCTGCAAACACCCCAATCCCCCACAGTGAGACCACTACTCACAACCTGGAGTGCAGCCAGCCTACCCGAAGTACTTTTTACTCCCTGAAATCCCTGGCAGCCAAAAGATCTGTAGAGAGAGGCAGTCCCCCGTAGCAACAGATCAATAAAAGATCCCCTCCACAGTGAAAAAGAACATGTAGATGACTGTAACAGAGCCTAGATGACCAGGCAAATCCTGACACCGCTGCCTGCTTCTCATCCTATAGGAATCATGCAGCCCTCTGATAAGAGTGGGAGAACAAGAGTTTCCTTGTTGGCAGATATGGTGAAAATGCTTTGCTATGTGTGGATTTTCTTTTCACAGTTAAAACTTTGTTTTGATTCAGAAGGATAAAGACACTTTTTTTGTGTCCCTATGAGGGAAAATTTCAAAATCCATTGAGGCCTATAGTGGAAACACCAAATATCCCACGATTAAAAACTACAAAGAAACTATGTCTGAAAATGCTTTCCAATGTGTGATTTTATCTCACAGAGTTAAACATTTCTTGTGATTCAGTAGGCTGGAAACTCTCCTTTTCTGGAATCTAAGAGGGGATATTACAGAGCAAATTGAGGCCTATAGTAAGAAACTGACTATCCTGTGATAAAAACTGGAAACAAACTATCAGTGAAATGCTTTGTGATGTCTGGATTTATCTCACAAAGCTAAATCTTTGTTTTAATTCAGCAGTTTAGAAACACTTTCACTGTAGGATCTGCAAAGGGACATTTTGGAGCCCACTGATGCCTATAGAGAAAAATGGAATATCCCGTGATGAAAACTTAATGCAAGCTATCTGTCAAAAGGCTTTGCGAGGCATGGAATTATCTCACAGAGCCAACTTTTTGTTTTGATTCAGCATGTTGGAAACATGTTTTTTTGTAGAATCTAAGATGAGACATTTTGAAGCACATTGAGGCCTGGAGTTTAAAACCAAATATCCTGCGATAAAAACTAGAAACAAGCTATCTGTGAAAATGCTTTGTGATCTGTGAAATAATGTCACACAGTTAAACCTTTGTTTTAATTCAACAATTTGGAAACACTCTTTCTGTAGAATCTACAAAGGGACATTTCGGAGCGCATGGAGGTCTATAGTGAAAAACAGAATATCTCATGATAAAAACTAGGAGTAAGCTATGTGCGAAAATGCTTTAGGATGTGTGGGCTCATCTCAAAGAGTTATACCTTTCTGTTGATTCATCAGGTTGAAAACAGTCTTTTTGTAGTATCTACCAATAAACTTTTCAAAGCCCATTGAGGCCTACAGTGAAAAACAATATCCTGCGGAAAAAAACTAGAAGTTTGCTATCTGTGAACATGCTTTGTGATGTGTCGATTCATCTTACAAATTTAAACCTTTCTTTTGATTCCATAGGTTGGAAACACTCTTTTTGTTGAATCTAAAAAGAAAAAATGTCAGAGCTCATTGGGGCCTATAGTAAAACAAACAAACAAACACAAAAATCAAATATTACACGATGAAAACTAAAAACAAGCTATCAGTGAAAATGTTTTGTGATGTGTGGATTCTTCTCACAGAGTTAAACTTTTTTTATTTAGCATTTTGGAAACACTCTTTTTGTAGAATCTTTGGAGGGACATTTCGGAGCCCTTTGAGGCATACAGTGAAAAACTGAATATCCCATGATAGAAACTAGAAATAAGGTATCAGTGAATATGGTTTGTGATGTGTTGATTCATCTCCTAGAGTTAAATCTTTGATTCAACAGGTTGAAAACACTTTTATTGTAGAATCTATGAAGAGCATTTTCAAAGACCTTTGAGGCCCATAATGAAAAATCAATTATCCTGTGATAAAAACTAGAAAGAAGATATCTGTCCAAATGCTTTGCAATGTTTGGATTCATCTCACATAGTTAAACCACTGTTTTAATTCAGCAATTTGGAAACACTCTTTTTGTTGAATCTACGAATGGGAATTTCTGAGACCTTTGAGGCATATTGTAAAAAAGCGAATATCCCTCACACACAAAACTAGAAAACAGCTATCTGTGAGAACGACTGGCAGTGTCTGGATTCATCTCACAGAGTTAAATATTTGTTATCATTCAGCAGGCTAGAAACACGTTTTTTGTAAATCTAAGGAAAGACATTTTGAACCCCTGAGGCCTATAGTGAGAAACAGAATATCCCGTGATAAAAACTACAAACAAGTTATCTGTGAAAATGCTTTGTGATATGTGAAATAATGTCACATATTTAAAACTTTGTTTTAATTCAGCAGTTTGGAAACACTGTTTTTGTAGATTCTACTTAAAAACATTTCAGAGCCCATTGAGGCCTATAGTGAAAGACCAAATATCCCATGAAAGAAACTAGAAGCAAGCTATCTGTGAAAAAGATTTGCAAAGTGTGGATCCAACTCACAGAGTTAAAACTTTCTTCTGATTCGGCAGAATCAGAACACTCAGTTCAATCAGAATTGAAACACTCCTTTTCTAGAATGTACAAAGAAACATTTCAGAGCCCATTGAAACCTATAGTGAAAACCCTAATATCTCATGATAAAAAATGGAAACAACCTATCTGTAAAAACGCTTTGGGATGTGTGGATTCATCTCAAAGAATTAAACATTGTTTCCATTCAGCAGGTTGGATACACTCTCCTTGTACAATCTACACAAGGACATTTCAAAGTCCATTGAAGCCTGTAGAGAAAAACTTAATGTCCTGTGATAAAAACTACAAAAAAGCTGTGTCTGAAAGTTATATGCGATGTGTGATTTCATCTCACAGAGTTAAATCTTTCTTGTCATTCAGCAGGTTAATGAAAAAATGATTATCCCATGATAACATCCAGAAACAAGTTATCAGTAAAAGTTCTTTGTGATGTGTGGATTCATCTCACAGAGTTAATCATTTTTTGATTAAGCAGATTGGAAACACTCTTTGTGTAGAGTCTACAGAGGGACAGTTTGAAGCCCATTGAGGCCCATAGTGAAATACAAAATATCTCATGATAAAAGTAGAAACAAGCTGTCTTTGAAAACACTTTGCAATGTGTGGGTGCACCTCACAGATTTAAACCTTTGCATTTATTCAGCAGGTTGAAAACTCTATTTTATAGAATACATGAAGGGATATTTCACACCCATTGAGGCCTATATTAAAAAGCAGAATATTTCACAATAAAAACAATAAAAGTCTATAACTGAAAATGCTTTGTGATGTGTGGATTCATCTTCCAGAGTTAAATATTTGTTTTGATTCAGCAGGTTGGGAACACTCTTTATGTAGAATCTATGAAGAGCCATTTCAGAGCCCATTGAGACCTGCAGTGAAAGACCAAATATCTTCCCCCACCCTCCCCCCTAAAAAAAACAAGAAAAAAGCTATCTGTGAAAATGCCTTGCCATTGTGGATTCATGCCACAGAGTTAAACCAGTGTTTTAAATATGCAGTTTGGAAACACTCTTTTTGCAGAATCTACAAAGAAATATTTCAAAGCCCATTGAAGCCTATAGTAAAAAACAAAATATGTGGAGAAAAAAACTACAAACAAGCTATCTGTGAAAATGCTTCCAATGTGTGGATTCATATCATGGAGTTAAAGCTTTCTTTTGATTAAGCAGGTTGAAAGCAGTCTGTTTTTAGAATCTATGAGAAGACATTTTAGTGCCCATTGAGGCCTATGGTGAAAAACTGAAGATCCTGTGATAAAAATGAGAAACAGGCTATCTGTGAAAATGCTTTGCAATATGTAGATTTAACTCACAGAGTTAAACCTTTGTTTTGATTTAGCTGGTTGGAAACACTCTTTTTGTGGAATCAACGAAGGGACAATATGGAACCCCTGGAGAAGTATTTGGAAAAAGTGAGCATCCTACAATGAAAAGTAGAAAGAAGATATCTGTGAAAATGTTTTGCAATGTGTGGATCTATCTCACAGAGTTAAACCTTTGTTTTGATTCAGCAGGCTGGAAACCCTCTTTTTGCAGATTGTACAAAAGGACATTACAAAGCTCATTGAGACCTATAGTGAAAAGTTAAATATCCCACAATGAAAACTAGAAACAAGCTATCTGTGAAAAGGTCTTGTGATTTGGGGAATCATCTCTCAGAGTTAAACATATGTTATTTTTTCAGCATGTAGAAAACACTATTGTTGTAGAATATATGAAGGGACATTTCGGAGCCCATGGACAAGTACATTAAAACACTGAATATCCTGCAATAAAAACTACAAACAAGCTATCTGTGAAAATGCTTTGCGTTGTGTGGATTCCTTTCACAGAGTTAAACATTTGTTTTGATTCAGCAGGTTGGAAACACTCTTTTTGTAGAATCTACTAAGGGCCATTTCAGAGTCCATTGAGGACTACTACAGTGAAAGACCAAATATCCCATGATAAAAACTAGAAACAAGCTATCTGTGAAAATGCTTTGCAGTGTGTGGATTCATCTCAAAGAGTTAAACATCTGTTTTAATTTGGCAGCTTTAAAATCTCTTTTTGCACAATCTACGAAGAAACATTTCAAAACTCATTGAAACCTACAGTGAAAAACAAAATACGAGAAGATATAAACTAGAAATAAGCTATCTGTGAAAATCCTTTGGGATGTGTATATTCATATCACAGAGTTAAACCTTTGTTTTGATTAAGCAAGTTGGAAACAGTCAGTTTGTAGAATCTAGGAGAAGACATTTTGGTGCCCATTGAGGCCTATAGTGAAAAATGAAATATCCCACAATAAAAACAAAACAAACAAACAAAACCAAGCTATCTGTGAAAATATTTTGCTATGTGTGGATTCACCTCACTGAGTTAAATCTTTATTTTGATTCAGCACTTTGAAAACCCTCTTTTTGTACAATCTGTGAGAGTCATTTGGGAGCCTATTGAGGTCTATAGTGAAAAACCAAGTATCTCATGATAAAAGCTAGAAACTAGCAATCTGTGAAAGTGCTTTGCAATGTATGGATATATCTCACAGATTTAAACACTTGTTTTGATTCAGTAGGTCGGAAACACTCTTTTTGTAAAATCTACATAGGGACATTTCAGAGTACATGAAAGACATTAGTGAAAAACTGAAAATCCCATGACAAAAACTAGTAAAAAGCTATCTGTGAAAATATTTTGTGATGTGTCAATTCATATCACAGAGTTAAACCTTGTTTTAATTCAGCAGGTTGAAACACTGTTTTTGTAGAAACTAAAATGACACATTTTAGAGAACATTAATGCCTAAAGTTAAAAACGTTATATCTCAAGATAAAAACTAGAAACAAGCTATATATGAGAATGCTTTGTGATGTGTGGATTCAACTCACAGGGTTAAACCTTTGTTTTTATTCAGCAGGTTGTAAATGCTCTCTTTGTAGGGTCTATGAAGAGACATTTCAGAGCCCATCAAGAAGTATATGAAAAAACTGAACATCCTGCAATGAAAACTAGACACAAGCTATCTGTGAAAATTCCTTCCTATGTGTGGATTCCTCTCACAGTATAAAACCTTTGTTTTTATTCAGCAGGCCAAAATCACTCTTTTTGTAGAATGTACAAAGGGACATTTTGGAGCCCATTGTGCCCTGCCATGAAAAACTGAGTATCGCGTGATAAAAACTAGAAACAAGCCAACTGTGAAAATGTTTTATGATTTGTTATTTTATGTCACAGAGTTAAACCTTTGTTTTTATTCAGCAGGTTGAAAACACTCTTTTTGTAGACTCTATGAGGGGACATTTCAGAGCCTATTGAGGTCTATAGTGAAAAATCAAATATCCCGTGATAAAAACCAGAAACCAGCTATCTGTGAAAATGCTTTGAGATGTGTAGATTTATAGATTTATCTCACAGAATTAAAGGTTTGATTTATCAGGTTGCAACACTCTATTTGTAGAATCTACGAGGGGACATTTCAGAGACCATTGAGGACTACACTGAAAAAATTGAATATCCCATGATAAAAATTAGAAATAAGCTATTAGTAAAAATTCTTTGCAATGTGTGGACTTATCTCACAAAGTTAAACCATTGTTTTGATTTAGCAGGTGAGAAACACTCTTTGTAGAATCTAAGAAGGCACATTTCAGAGCCCATTGAGGTCTAAAGTAAAACATCAAATATCCCACAATAAAAAATAGAAACAAGCTATACTGGAAAATGATTTGTGATGTGTAGATTCATTTCAGAGAATTAAATCTTTGCTTTGATTGAGCGGGATTGAAGCACTCTTTGTAGAATCTACAAAGGGACACTTTGAAGCCCATTGAGGCCTATAGTCAAAAACCAATTATCCCATGATAAAAACTAGAAACAAGCTATCAGTGAAAATGCTTTGTGATGTGTAGATTTCTCACACAGAGTTATACCTTTGTCTTGATTCAGTCAGTTGGATACACTCTTTTCATAGAATCTATGAAGGGACATTTCAGAGCCGATAGAGGAATATATTGAAAAACTGAATATCTCACGACAAAAAGTAAAAACAAGCTACTTGTGAAAATGCTTTGTGATGTGTTGATTCATCTCATAGTGTTAAGCCTTTATTTTTATACAGCATTTTGGAAACACTCTTTTAGTAGAATCTAAGCGGGGACAATTCTGAGCCCATTGAGGTCTATTGTAAAATATCTAATATTCCGTGATCAAAACTAGAAACAAGCTATCTGTGAAAATGCTTGCAATGTGTGGATTCACCTCAAAGAGTTAGTTTTGTTTTGGTTCAGCAGGTTAGAAACATTCTTTTTGTGGAATCTACAAAGGGCATTTCTGAGCCCACTGAAGACTACAGTGAAAAGCCGAATATTCCATGATAAAAACTAGAAAAAAAAAACTGTGAAAATGCTTTGCGATATTTGAATTTATCTCACAACATTAAATATTTGTTTTGATTCAACTGTTTGGAAACTCCTTTTTTTTTTTTGTACAATCTATGAGGATGTATTTCAAAGCCCATTGAGGCTTATAGTGAAAAACCGAATATTCTGAGATAAAAACTATATGAAGCTGTCTCTGAAAATGATTTACGATGGGTGATTTCATCTCACAGAATTAAACCATTCTTTTGATTCAGCAGGATGGAAATACTCTTTTGGTAAAATCTTCAATAGGATATTTCAGAGCAAATTGATGCCTACAGTGAAAAACCGAATATCCAGCAATAATGTGCAGGATTCATCTTACAAAGTTAAACCTTTATTTTGCTTCAGATGCTTGAAAACTCACTGTTTGTAGAATCTATGAGGGTACAATTTGAAGCCAATATCAGCCTGTAGTGAAAAACCAATATCCCACAATAAAAGTAAACAAAGCTATTGGCCAGGCGCGGTGGCTCATGCCTGTAATCTCAGGACTTTGGGAGGCTGAGACAGGTGGATCACAAAGTCAGGAGATCGAGACCATCCTGGCTAACACGGTGAAACCCTGTCTCTATTAAAAACACAAAAAATTAGCCAGGCGTGGTGGCGGGCACCTGTAGTCCCAGCTACTTGGGAGGCTGAGGCAGGAGAATGGTGTGAACCTGGGAAGCCGAGATCACACCACTGCACTCCAGCCTGGGCGACTGAGTGAGACTCCATCTGAAAAAAAAAAAAAAAAAAAAACTATCTGTGAAAATACTTTGTGATGTGCGGATTTATCTCAAAAAGTTAAACATTGTTTTGATTCAGCAGGTCACAACACTCTTTTTGTGGAATCTACACAGGAATCTTTCAAAGCCTATTGAAGCCTATAGTGAAAAATCAATATCCCGAGATAGAAACTAGAAACAAGCTATTGGGGAAAATGCTTTGCAATGTGAAGATTTATCTCACAGAGATAAACCTTTATTTACATACAGCAGGTTGGGGGACACTCTTTTTGTAGAATTAAGAAGTTACAATTAAGACTGCATTGAAGCCTATAGTGAAAAACCCAATATCCAGTGATGAACCCTAGAAAAAAGCTATTTGTGAAAATTCTTTGTGATGTGTGATTTCATATCAAAGAGTTAAACCTTTATTTTTGTTCAGAAAAATGAAAAAACTTTTTTTGTAGAATCTGCAAAGAGACGTTTCTGAGCCCATTGAGGCCAATAGTAAAAAATCAAATGTCTCATCATAAAAGCTAGAAACAAGCTATTTTTGTGCTTTCCAATGTGTAGATTCATTTCACAGAGTTAAACCTTTGCTTTTATACAGGGAGTTGGGAACACACTTTTATAGAACCTATGAATGGACATTTCAAAGTTCATTGAGGCCTATACTGAAAAACCGAATATCCTGCGATAAAAACTAGGAAAAAACTGTCTGTGAGAATGCTTTGCGAGGTTTGGCGTCATCTCACAGATTTAAACGGTTGTTTTGATTCAGCAGGTAGGAAACACTATTTTTGTAAAATCTACTATGAGACATTTCTGAGCCTGATGAGGCATATAGTGAAAAACCGAATATCATGCTTTAAAAACTAGAAACAAGTGATCTGAAAATATGCTTTGTGATGTGTGGATTCCTCTCAAAGAGTTACACATTTGCTTTGATTCAGCACTTTTAAAACACTCTTTTTTTATTATTATTATACTTTAAGTTTTAGGGTACATGTGCACAATGTGCAGTTTAGTTACATATGTATACATGTGACATGCTGGTGCGCTGCACACACTAACTCGTCATCTAGCATTAGGTATATCTCCCAATGCTATCTCTCCCCACTCCCCCCACCCCACAACACTCCCCAGAGTGTGATGTTCCCCTTCCTGTGTCCATGTGTTCTCATTGTTCAATTCCTACCTATGAATGAGAATATGCGGTGTTTGGTTTTTTGTTCTTGTGATAGTTTACCGAGAATGATGATTTCCAATTTCATCCATGTCCCTACAAAGGACATGAACTGGGTATATACCCAAAGGACTATAAATCATGCTGCTATAAAGACACATGCACACGTATATTTATTGCGGCACTATTCACAATAGCAAAGACATGGAACCAACCCAAATATCCAACAGTGATAGACTGGATTAAGAAAATGTGGCACATATACACCATGGAATACTATGCAGCCATAAAACACTCTTGTTATATAATCTACAAAGGGACATTTCGGAGTGCTTGAGGCCTTTATTGAAAAACCAAATATCCCACAACAAAAATTAGAAATAAGCCATCTGTGAATATGCTTTGTGATGCCTGGATTTATCTCACAGAGTTAAACCTTCCTTTTTATTCCATAGGTTGGAAACACTCATTTTGTGCAATCTACAAAGGGACATTTCAGAGCTTGTTGAGGCTAATATTGGAAAATCTAATAGCCTGCGATAAATACTATAAAGAAGCTATTTCTTAAAATACTTTGTGTTGTGTGATTTCATCTCAAAAGTTGAACTTTTCTTTTGATTCATCAGTTTGGAAACTTTTTTTGTAGAATCTACAAGGGGAGTTTCATAACCCATTGAAGCATACAGTGAAAAATCAAATATCTCTTGATAAAAACTCAAAGCAACCTATCTGTAAAAATGCTTTGCAATGGGTAGATTCATCTTACAAAGTTAAACCTGTGTTTTCCTTCAGCAGGTTGGAAACTCTTTGGTTGTTCAATCTACAAGGCAACAATTCATAGTCCATTGAGGCATTTAGTGAAAAACAAATAACCCATGGTAAAAATTAGAAACAAGCTGTGGGTGAAAATGCTTTGTGATGTGTGGGTTCATCTCACAAAGTTAAAACTTTGTTTTGATTCAACAGGTTGGAAACACTCTTTTTGTAGAATCTACAAAGGGACATTTCAGAGCCCATTGATGCTTACAGTGAAAAATCAAATACCCCAGGATAAAAACTAGAAACAGGCTGTCTGTGAAAAAGCTTTGCATATCATCTCACAGAATTGAACATTTCTTTTGATTCAGCAGGTTGGAAATATTCTTTTTGTAGAATCTACAAGGGGAAGTTTTGGAGCAAATTGAGGCCTGTAGCATGAAATTGAATATTCCACAATAAAAACTAGAGAAAATCTATCTATAAAAATGGTTTGTGATGTGTGGGTTCATCTCACAAAGTTAAATCTTTGTTTTCATTCAGCATGTTGGAAACACCTTTTTATAGAACCTATGAGGGGACATTTCATAGCCCATGGAGGCCTGTAGTGAAAAACTGAATATTATACGATAGAAACTATAGAAGCTATATGTGAAAATGCTTTGCAATTTGCGGTTTCATCTCATACAGTTTAAAATTTCTTTTGATTCAGCTAAGTTGGAAACACTCTTTTTGTAGAATGTATGAAGGGACATTTCGGAGCCCATTGAGGCCTACAGTGAAAAGCTGAATAATTCGTGATAAAAACTAGAAGCAAGCTATCTGAGAAATAGCTTTGCAATGTGGGGATTTATTTCACATAGTTAAACTTTTGTTTCTACACAGTAGGTTCAAAACTCTCTTTTAGTAGAAGCTAAGAGGGGACAATTTAGAGCCCTTTGAGGCTTATAGTGAAAAATTCAAAGTTTTGTGATTAAAAACTAGATACAAATTATCTGTAAAAATGTTTGGTGATGTGAAAATTCATCTCACAGTGTTAAACATTTGTTTTGATTCAGTACATTGGCAAAAATTTTTGTAGACTGTACAAAGGGACATTTTGGAGCCCATTGAGACCAATATTGAAACAATGAACATCCTGCTATAAAACTAGAAAAGTTCTTGGTGAAAATGCTTTCTGATGTGTGAATTCATCTTACAGATGTAAACCTTTGTTTTCATTCAGCTTGTTGGAAACATGCTTTTTATAGAGTTCAGGAGGGGATATTTCAGAGCCCATTGAAGCCTCTAGTTGAATACTAAATATTCCTAGTGACATATGGTGTTGAGCATCTTTTCAGAGGTCTAAGAAATGTGCCAGGTATGGTGGCACACGCTTGTGGTCCCAGCTACTCAGTAAGCTGAGGTGGGATGGCTACTTGAGCCCTGGAGGCTGGGGCTGCATTGAGCCACGATTGCACCACTGCACTCCAGCCTGAGTGACAGAGCTAAAACCTGTCTCAAAAAGATAAATAAGACCTGGTGCGATGGCTCATACCAGTAATCCAAGCACTTTGAGAGGGCAAGGTGGGTGGATCATGAGGTCAGCAGATTAAGACCATCCTGGCTAACATGGTGAAACCCCATCTCTACTAAAAATACAAAAAGTCAGCTGGGCATGGTAGCGGGTGCCTGTAATTCCAGCTACTCAGGAGACTGAGGCAGCAGAATCGCTTGAAGCTGGGAGTCAGAGGTTGCAGTAAGCCAAGATCATGCTGTTGCATTCCAGCTTGGGCAACAGAGTGAGACTCCATCTCGAAAAATATATTAGAAAATAATAATTAACAAATAAATAATTGAAAATTTTTAGAACAGTTGTAGGTGTACAGAAAAATAGAGCAGAAGGCATATTGAGCTTAATATCTGCCTCACACCACAGTACACACACTTCTTCTATTATCATCTTGTTAGTGTGGTACATTTGTTATGCTTGATGAGCCAATATTGATATTATTAAGTTCATGGCTTACATTAAGATTCACTCTTTGTGTTCTACCATTTATGGGCTTCAACAAATGCTTAAGCACATATATCCACCACTATAGGGTCACACAGAAAAGTTTCACTGCCCTAAAAATCTTCTGTGTTCCACCTATTCATCCTTCCCTCTGCTCAAGCCCCTGGCAACCACTGAACTTTTTATAATACCATCTGCCTAGTTTTGCCTTTTCTAGTATTCCATATAATTGGAACTCTACACTATGTGGCCTTTTTTCATTGGCTTCTTTCACTTAGAAATACGTGTTTAAGATTCCTCCATGTCTTGTCATGCCTTGGTAGTTCATTTCTTTTTATTCCTGAAGAATATTCCATTGTATGAATGCTTCACAGTTAGTTTATCCATTTCCCTATTGTAGGATATCTTGGTTACTTCCAATCTTTGTTGGTCATGTATAAGCTGCTATAAACATTCATGTGCAGAATTTGAGTGGGTATAAGTTTTCAAGTCATTTGAGTATATACCAAAGAATGCAATTGCCAGATCATATGGTAAGCATATGTTTAGTTTTGCAGGAATTTGCAAAACTGCCTTCCACAGTGGCTTTACCATTTTACATTCCCAGCAGCAATCAATGAGAGTTCCTGTTGCTCCATATCCTCATCAGCATTTGTTGGTGTCAGCGTTTGGATTTGAGCCAGTCTAATAGATGTGTAGTGGTATCTCATCATTGATTTAATTTGAATTCCCTGGTGACATATGGTGTTGAGCAACTTTTCAGATGCTTATTTTTGCTATCTATATAGCAAAGGGCAGATACAGACGGTGGACTGCAGAGAAAGAGCTTGCTATGATGATAGGAAGATGCAGACAGAGATGATCTCAGGGTTAACTGGGCATCAACTGTTCCTTCTCCTGTCACATAAAATGTGATCTACCTGAGTTTTGACTGGAAACACAGAATATCTGATTGTCCATAAATATTTATTACTGAGGCTTGAGGTTTATGTACGTTATGATCAAAAGGTGATATCACCCCAATATATAAGCAGGTTGGGGTACAACAGGGAATGACTGTCGGAGATGTTGAGAGTCTACATTGAATGGATGGTGTCACTGGCTGCCCATATATTTCTCATTATGGACTTTAACTTTTCATTTGCCACATGAAAGGCCACTGAGATAAACTAAATCACATTTTTCTCTTGGGGATCTCTGTTACTGAGAAATTTTTGCATTCTGGGCTACACTGGGTTCATAATCTGACTATATATATATCGTGTGTATGTTTGTTCCTTCCCTAAAATGCTCAGTTCAGCTGCAGGTCTAGAGACAAATACTACTAGGTTTCCATTTTAGAGAGTTGAAGATCTGAGGTCTGGAGAAGTTAGTGTGTAGAAAGTTATATTTAACAAGTGGCAAGACCATGTGGCCAGGTCAGATAAGCTGCCTTCAGATTTTACTCTTGAACTTCTACAGGATAATGTCTTTTTTTAATAGAAAAAAAAAGAGTGAACTTAGATTTTTTTTTTCAAAATCATGGACTGTAAGAGTTCTTTCAAGATATGATGAAAAGCAATAATTGTCCCATTTTACATTACCTATAATTATTGCTCACCAGAAATTGATTATCGATGCAGCAACCTTTTACATTCCTCTCTGCTTTACTATGCATGAGGGGGCTTCACTGTAAATAAGAGGTCCAAGATTCAGAAATATCTTTAACTTGCAATGCTTGGTCACATGTATCCATCTGAAAAATATTTTGCTCATTAGCCATATGGACTCATATGGCAAACTACAACCAGAGACACAAAACATGGAAAGAAGAAAGGGCTATCAGAAGTCCCATGTCTCCTTACATTTTGTATTTCTATTCATACGCATCTAGAATCATAAGGAATTTGAGCAAAAGGGAAATGCAAAGTCCTAATCAAAGCATACCCACATGTCAGTTATCTGCATTATTGCACATTTAAATTTATAATGCATACATAGGATACAATTCAATAGGTATAAAAATGTTAAGTAACCTTTTCTCTCATGCACCCCAGTCACTCAGTAGCTCACTTTAGAGTTGACATTTTAATTTAGTTGTGCATACTTTCATAATTTCTCTCTCTCTCTCTCTCTCTCTCTCTCTATATATATATATATATATATATATTTTTTTTTTTTTTTTTTTTTTTTTTTTTTTTTGAGGTGGAGTCTCAGCCTGTCACCCAGGCTGGAGTGCAATGGTGAGATCTCATCTCACTGCAACATCTGCCTCCTATGCTCAAGCAATTCAACTGCCTGAGTAGCTAAGATTACAGGTGTGTGCCACCACACCCGGCTAATTTTTTGTGTGTGTTTTTAGTGGAGACGGGGTTTCACCATGTTGGCCAGGCTGGTCTCAGACTCCTGACTTTGTGATCCGCCCGCCTCGGCCTCCCAAAGTTTTGGGATTACCATCGTGAACTATCACACCTGGCCAATTTTTTCTCTTTAAAATAAATTTTATTGTGTATATTTAAGGTACACATATGATGTTATAGAATACATATACATAGTAAAAAGGTTACTATAGTGAAGCAAATTACCATATCTATCACAGATACCCACAGTTTTTGGTGTGGCAAGGGAAGGTAAAATCTTATTTAGCAGGAATCCCATATACAGTACAATTTTATTACCTATAGTCCTCATGTTGTATATAGATGTATAGGATTGTTCATCCTACATATCTGCTACTGTGTATCTCTGACCCACATGTCCTTATTTCCTCCCTTCCTCTCTACCTGATAACCACTCTGTTGTTCTCTTTTTTTTTTTTTAGGCAGAGTCTTACTCTGTTACCTCCAAAAGTGCTGAGATTATAGGCGTGAGCCACCACACTTGGCTGCTTTCACCATTTCAGACTGAACCTGGAGAAGAACCTGAGGAAAAATATGACTTTAAAATTTTGATGAATGGAGAAATCTCTTTCCATTCACGTTCCTTTCCTCCATTTCATTCTTATTGTGAAATATGCAAACAAACATATGGATACATCAGTTATTAAATAAACGTCTGTGTGATACCTATCCAGGTGAAGAAATAGAGCACTATCACCACCAAGAAGTCCTCTGTATGCCCCTAACTCATCCTAAAGTCTTCCTTCCCTTATTAGTAACAGATATAACAGATACCCACATTACCTGTGGATATCTGCGTTTCTCTCCTTGGTTCTCTTTATAATTTTATTATGTATTTATTCTTCCTTTTCTTTTTCTTTTTTTTTAGAGATGGAGCCTTGCTCTGTCACCCAGGCTGGAGAGTAGTGGCCTGATTTTGACTCATTGCAAACTCCAACTCCCGGATTCAAGTGATTCTCATACCTCAACCTCGCAAATAGCTGGGATTACAGGCATGGGCTATGTGTCACCATGCCAGTCTAATTTTTGTATTTTTAGTAGAGACGGGGTTTCACATGTTGGTCAGGCTGGTCTCAAACTCCTGACCTCAGTGCCTGGCCTTATTATGCATTTTTTAAAAGCCTAAAGTAAAGTCTGGTTTTGCCTGGTTTTTCTCTTACATAATTGGAGTAAAAGTCTGTATTCTGCTGCATCTGGCTTCTTTTACTCAATATTAAGTATTTAATATTCACATTTAGCATTATTTCTGCATTCTATTAAAACAGTACACAGCCAGGCACGGTGGCTCACGTCTATAATCCCAGCATTTTGGGAGGCCGAGGCAGACAGATCATTTGAGTTCAGGAGTTCCAGACCACCCTAGCCTACATGGTGTAACCCCATCTCTACTAAAACTACAAAAATTAGGCCATGCGGTGGCTAATGCCTGTCATCTCAGCACTTTGAGAGGCTGAGGCCAGTGGATCATGAGGTCAGGAGATCGAGACCATCCTGGCGAACTTGGTGAAACCAAATCTCTACTAAAAATACAAAAAATTAGCTGGACGTGGTGACACGTGCCTGTATTCCCAGCTACTCGGGAGGCTGAGGCAGCAGAATCAGCTGAACTTGGGAGGTGGTGGAGGTTGCAGTGAGCCAAGACTGCACCCTGTACTCCAACCTGGACAACAGAGTGAGACTCAGTCTCAAAAAAAAAAAAAAAAAAAAAAAAAAAGCCAGGCATGGTGGCTCCCACCTGTAATCCCAGCACTTTGGGAGGCTGAGACAGGTGGATTACCTCAGGTCAGGAGTTTGAGACCAGCTTTACCAACAAGGTGAAACCCTGTCTCTACCAATAATACAAAAATTTGCTGGGAGTGGCGGCACCCATCAGTAAGACCAGCTACTTGGGAGGCTGAGGCAGGAGAATTGCTTGAACCTGGGAGGCAGAGATTGCAGTGAGCCGAGATCGCGCCCTGCACTCCAACCTGGGGGACTGAGCAAGACCCCATCTCAAAAATAAAAATAAAAATAAAAATAAAAATAAAAATAAAAATACAGTACACCAGTGTGTATCCCTTCATTGTTGGTGGACATGTGGGTTGTGTTCATTTTTGTCAGTTACAAATGATGCTGTTGTGAACATTTGTGTATTTCTATTTGGTTACCATTAGTGTGTATAGTGTGTATAGTGAACAGTATAAAACAAGAGGTGAAACCATAGGTTACAGGGCAAACATATCTTCCATTTTACTAGCTATTATTGGTTTCATCCCAATGTTAGCACACCAACTGACAGTCTTACAATATCTGATAATTCCCAAATCTTTGCATTCTTGTTGGTACTTAATTTTGTCAAAATTTTAATTTGAGTATTTTGGTGGGTATGTGGCAATGATTGTGATATTAATTTACTGGGCCTTTTCTTCTCTGTAACTAGCCGTGTCAAGATAGATGTGTGATGTGGGAGGGGCAGGAGCCCCTAGAGGTAGCATGGGCTCTGGAATCCTTAATCATTCTATGTGAAAAAGTTGGTGAGGCAGTGATTTTTTTTTTTTTTTTTTTTGAGACAGAGTTTTGCTCCTGTTGCCCAGGCTGGAGTGCAATGGCTCAATCTCTGCTCATTGCAACCTCCACCTCCCAGGTTCAAGTGATTCTCCTGCCTCAGCCTCCCAAGTAGCTGGGATTAGAGGTATGTGCCACCACAACAGGCTACTTTTTTGTATTTAGTAGAGATGGAGTTTCACCATGTTTGTCAGGTTGGTCTTGAACTCCTGACATCAAGTGATCCACCCGCCTCAGCCTCCCAAGGTGGTCATATTACAGGCAGGCACCACTACCCTTGACCTGTTTTCATTTTATTAATTGGCTGATTCATTCAGACACATAATTATCAAGTGAAATCTCACTATTTCCTTAGCATTTATCTTCAGTTTAGCTTAGAAAATCTATTCCTATTTTAAAACATATACAATTATTCTAGTGTGGCAGCACATGTCTGCAATCCCAGCTACTTGGGAGGCTGAGGCAGGAGTATCACTTGAACCTGGGAAACTGAGGTTGCAGTCAGTCAAAATCACCCCACTACACTCCAGCCTGGATGACAGAGTGAGACTCCATCTCAAAAAAACAAAACAAGAAGGTTTTCTCCAGATCATTTTTACATTTAATTATTCAGTCTGTTTTGACTATACCTTAAAGAATTCAGTAAATATAACTTCAATCCTACACACTATTAGTCAATGTACCTAACACGATTTATTGAATAAACCAGTCCATTCCCAACATCATTCTACTGAAAATACAAAAAACATTAGCCAGGTAGGTGGCGGGCACCTGTAGTCCCAGCTACTCAGGACGCTGAGGCAGGAGAATGGTGTGAACCCAGGAGGTGGAGCTTGCAGTGAGCCTAGATCACACCACTGCACTCCAGCCTGGGAGAGAAAGACTCCGTCTCAAAAAAAAAAGTAATTATATTTCCCAACATAAATGAATAGAGCCATTAAGGAAAATAACATGGAGATTCATCAGAAATTAAAAATAGAATTACTGTATGTTCCAGCAATCCCACCTGTGGGTGTATAGCTAAAGGAATTGAAATCAGCATACTGAAGAGATAACTGCACTACCATATTCACTGCAGCAGTATCCATAATAGCTAAGATATGAAAGCAACCTAGGAGGCCAGCATTAGATGAATGGATAAAGAAAATGTGATATATATACACATACACACACAGACATGCACACACATAAAGGAATACTATTTACTCTTTATTTTATTTATTTTATTTTGAGATGTAGTTTCACTCTTGTTGTCCAGGCTGGAGTGCAATGGTGTGATCATGGCTCACCGCAACCTCCACCTCCCGGGTTCAAGTGATTCTTCTACCTCATCCTCCCCAGTAGCTGGGATTACAGGCATGCACCACCTAGCCTGACTAATTTTGTACTTTTAGTAGAGACGGGTTTTCTCCATGTTGGTCAGGCTGGTCTCGAACTCCCGACCTCAGGTGATCCACCCGCCTCAGCCTCCCAAAGTGCTAGGATTACAGGCATGAGCCACCATACCCGATTTTACTATTTACTCTTTTTTTTTTCCTTTGAGATGGAGTTTCCGTCTTTTTGCCCAGGCTGCAGTGCAATGGTGCGATCTCAGCTCACTGCAACCTCCACCTCCTGGGTTCAAATGATTCTACTGTCTCAGCGTCCCAAATAGATGGGATTTCAGGTGCCCACCACCAGGCCCAACTAATTTTTGTATTTTTAGTAAAGAGGGGGTTTCACAATGTTGCTCAGACTTGTCTCGAACTTCTGAGCTTGAGTGATCCACCCGTCTCAGCCTGTGAAAGTGCTGGGATTACAGGCTTGAGCCACAACACCCAGCCAAAAACACAGATTAGTGTATTAATAGTCTGAAGCACTGTAAAATACTGCTGAGAATACAGATCACTAATGTCATCATCATAGAGCACAAAATAAGTTCTGGTATTATTAAGAAAATCATAGCTCTGACTAAAACATACATGGAAAACACATTCTATTAGTAATTAAATTATACTAATACTATTGACAATCACTTTTATAGCTGTCACTGTAAACTTAAAGACAAGAAATAAATTCATCACCAGAAAACATAAAACAAGTACTTAGCCTTACTGCTGAGAAGCCTGTAGTTGCCTTTTACTGAATGACACTTCAGTTCTTGGGATAAAGTTTGAAACAGCAACTGGAAGGACAGCTTTAAGTTTAAAATGGTTTTATTTTTAGGGTTGTCATGTTATAAAAGCTATTCTCACATAGCTAAGCTGTTGGAAAGAGACCAGGTTTTGTGAAGGTTTTTCTTCAGGTGTTTCATGTTATCCTCACTGCAACCTCAAACAATGGCAAATGCTTCGTAAGCCACTGTAATGCTAACTCAGCTGATAAATTAATAAAATTCTGTTTCTTTAGGCCGGACGCAGTGGCTCACACCTATAATCCCAGCATTTTGGGAGGCCGAGGCGGGCGGATCACAAGGTCAGGAGATTGAGACCATCGTGGCTAACACTGTGAAAACCCGTCTCTACTAAAAATCCAAAACATTAGCTGGTCGTGGTGGCACGCGTCTGTAATCCCAGCTACTTGGGATGCTGAGGCAGGAGAATCGCTTGAGCCCGGGAGGCAGAGCTTGCAGTGAGCTGAGATTGCGCGACTGCACTCCAGCCTGGGTGACAGAGAGAGACTCTGTCTCAAAATAATAATAATTATAATGAATAAATAAATAAAATAAAAAATAAAAAGATGGAAGAAACTCAGATTTTCAAAAATTAAGGAACCCATTTTTACCTAAGATATTGGTTTTACTCTTAGGTTCCGTTGATTGACTTAGCCAATAATTTTTTTCTACCTATGTACACAAGAAAAATGAAATGAAGGGGTAGAACGCAAGAATCCCTGTGCATTTCTAAAAGCCAAATTTTACAACCACTGCAATATTACCATTTACTAATATTTTCTTTCTGTCTCAGCCAAAGGTAAGTGGCCTCTAACTGGGACTGGCATGGTGGTTCACGTCTGTAATCCCAGCAATTCGGAGGCCCAGGTGTGTAGATCACTTGAGGTCAGGAGTTCAAGACGAGCCTGGCCAACGTGGTGAAACCACGTCTCAACTAAAAATACAAAAATTAGCTGGGTATGGTGGTGGACACCTGTAATCACAGCTCCTCGGGAGGCTGAGGCAGGAGAATTTCTTGAACCCAGGAGGCAGAGGTTGCAGTGAGCCTAGATCATGCCCCTCTACTCCAGCTTGTGTGACACAGCAAGACTCCATCTCAAAAAAAAAAAAAAAAAAAAGAGAGAGAGAGAGAGGCCTCCAGCTGGATCCAAGTCAGCTAATTACCAGATTTAACCTGAACCTGGACCTAGTTCAGTTTCTGTCCTGACTTTCAAACTGCTTGGATCACAAATTTGTTCAGAGAAACTCAGAGAATTCCAAACACAAATCCATGGAGTTCTGAAATCTGAGAGAACTTACCCATGATCCCCAGCCACTTTGAGAGATCAAGGGACAAAAGTAGGTCCTTGCAGGTACCTTGCTTGTTCACTCAGCAGTCCTGGAGATTGTTAAGGCTCTACTTCAGATCCCACTTCTGACACCATCTGTTAAAAGAAAAACTTCAGCTGAATTAAATTTAAAGAAGTTCAATTCAGCAATCAACAATTCATGAATAGAGCAGTCCCTGAAATCACAGCAGATTCAGAGAGATTTCAGCACAGCCACGTGGTGAAAGAGTTATATACATAAAAAGGGAAATGAGGTACAGAAATTGGAGGTGAGGTACAGAAACAACTAAATTGGTTACAGCTTAGCATTTGCCTTAGTTGAACACAGTTTGAACACTCAGTAGTGTAAGAGTGGTTGAAGTATGGCTACTGGGATTGGCCAACACTCAGCTATTGTTACAGGTGCATACTCTTAAGTTAGGTTTTTCAATCTTGTCTACTTATTAAGTTAGGTTGCAATTTGTCCACAAAGATTCAAATATATAAGTATGGAGTCCTTCTCAGGCCATATTTAGTGTGTTTTAACACTCTAAAATGTATAAAATCAACCTGAACCCCAACCACCTTGGGAACATTTTCTCAGGGTCTCCTGAAGAGGGCTGTCTCACAGGCCATGGTCACTCATATTTCACTCAGAATAAATCTCTCCAAATATTTTACAGAGTTTGACTCTTTTACTCAACACTGTTCAGTAACAAAAGAGAACAAACTATCAAGACACACAGCAACAGAAAAATTTCAAAAACTTTACACTGAGTGAAAGAAGCTAGACCCAAAGATTACATGTGCTATGGTTTCATTTATATGAAGTTCAAGAACTGGCAGAACTAACTTATGGTGACAGAAACCAAATCACCAGTTGCCTTATGTTGCAGCAATACTGACTGGAAAGGGGCATGAGAGAAGTTTATTTGTTTTGTGTTCAGATTAAGATGTGTGTCACATGGGTTTATACCTTTAATATGTGTATATTTCACTCTATACATTTAATTCCTCATAAAATAAAATAAAACTGAAGAGAAGTAAATAAGAGTACAATGTCTTTATCCTACTCTAAAGAGGTTTGCCTCCAAAAGGGAAGCCCGAGAGGTTTGCTTTGAGCTATAACAAAAATAAGGTTTCTGAGGAAAGAAGAGACATCAGACAAAAAGTGGTTTCTCTAGGAATTAAAAAAGAAGCAGAAATAGATAAAGAAAAATTGTTCTTGTGAATTTAGTGCATAGCAAAGTATTATTGTTTTTAGTGCTGAGTCTCTTTTCCCCTAAAACCTGGATATGCTGTATTCTTTAAGCAAATTTCAAGAAAGAAGTGAAAAATCTCATAGGAAGAAAGAAAGGAAAATCACTCTTTGAATATACACTAAAACCTGAATGTGCAAATGGTACCAATGAATGTACTAGGGAAAATGCACAATACACTTAAGTTGTTTAATTTGAATAAAATATAATAAAAGAGCAATTTAAAAGCTGTAGATAGTGTATAGATAAACCAAAAGGGATAATTCTGTATGTACCCTGCAACTGTTACCTTCTCTAGGCCTGAAGGGATGAAGGGAAGTATTAGTTATCGAAACTTGGAGACAAAAATGCCGTGTGGAGATAACCACCTTCAAGACAGTGATCCAGGACATTGGTGAGAGATAAAAGCATATGGCTTAGAGAAGGAAGTTATAGAAAGAAGATTACTAGTGGAGACAAGACAAGGCAGTGGGGAAGGAAAATGTTGAAAACAAAGAGCAGAGAAGAGGACAATAGTATGTATGATGAGGCCAGTCAGGCACTGGGGACAGGGAAGTGGGTGTGATTTTGTTTTATTTAACAACAAAATAGATAGAGAAATGAAAGGCAATGAAATGCACAGGAATAAGCTGGTTTCTACTGTGGGCAGCTAGGGTTCAGTCATGCTGGAGACTGTGAAAGATGTAGAACACACCTTTATAATTGGCCACCTGAAGAATGAAGGAGCCGTGTACATAGTAATTTCCTGATTTTATCTATGGAATAAAGGTTGTATTAATAGCAAAACCCACAGTTAATTTTGCACCATCCTAATACTTTGAGCCCTTAACTTCCTGGCATTTCTTGTCTGCTAGGAATAATACTCAGAGAATAGCCTCAGGCTGAGAGATTTTGAGATAGAAAGCTCTTTAGAATATATGAGAACCATCAACTGAAGTTGCAGGTGATTTCCAGAGCAGCCTTTAGAGATAGGAGTGAAGAATGCATAGCTTCTGTTACAGGTAGTAATCAAGATACACAAACTCTTCTGTGGACTTCCAAGGTGTAGGAGTTGATAACTTCTGAAAGCAAAGAAAAATGGCATAAAAATAAAACAGAATGTGATAAGGAATGACTAGAGGATAGGCTGTAGGAAAGAAGGAGAAAGAAGAAAGGTCAGTTTAGGTTCAGTTATTTAAGAAAATCTCTTTAAGGAGTAGGAACTTGAAACCAGTTCTGCAGAAACCTGGGGGTAGAACATTCCAAACAGAGTAAAATTGAAGAACAAAGACTCAGAGGCAGGCTCAATCTTGGCAATAGGCTCAACAATCAGACAAAAATAGCAGAATAATGAGGGGATACAGAGTGATAGGAGATGAAATGGGAGAGGGGTTCAGATTACATGAATTTTATAGGACTTGGTGATTTAGATTTTATTCCAGTATGTTGAGAATCCACAGATCATTTTAAGCAAAAAAAAAAAAAAAAAAAAGGGCATGATCTTATTTATATTTTAAAATCAGTTGGGTATCTCTGTATAATATGGATTTTTATGGGGCAAGAAGGAAGGGAGTTGTTACAGGTACTTGAGAGGAAAGATGATGTTTGCTTGACTAGGTCGGTAGCAATAGAGGTGGGAAAAAGCAAGCAGATGAGACTCACTTTTGGATCTTTAGTTCACTTAAAGTGTTGATACATTGGAGCATAAAAGATAAATATTTTACTTTTCATCCCTAAAAGGCAGAAAAATATAGGGGCAAAAAATGGAAAGTTGGAAGTTTAGGAAATGTGGTTTTTGACTTGACCTTTAACTCTTGCAACTGTGTATGATCTTAGGGCGATCATGCAGCTGTTTTGGCTGCGGCTTTTTCATTTCTGAAATGGCATTAACAATAACATTCCTGTAGCTGAGGTGTTAAAGATTAAAACTATAGAGGTAAAGCAGTCTTGAAAATTTCAATTTAATACCTAAATTTAAGGTATTATAGGGATGCCCTAAGTTGCTTTTAAAAAATACTATGTTATTACATGCTACTCTTTGATAACCTTTTATTTATGATAATTAATGTAATTAGTGTGCTAATTTTCTACAGTTGCACCCTGGGGCAATCGTGCAACAGTTGTAATTTTAAAAGTTGGGCAAATAAGTAAATGTCAATCTGTAATAAAATCCAAATGAGTCTGTGATGAATGTTGATGGTGACAGGTAATTTACCTGATAAAATATTGTAACTGCCCAGTTACCTTGGAATAGCTGATTTTTCAAAGTAATTACCATGTTCTGCATAGTGAAGTGTCATTAGAGACAATTTTAACACACAGTGATCATTTTTAATTTGGTGATTTAAATATCATATTGATTAATGAAATAGTTGTATTTTACTTCAGACTGTTGAGTTCAAAAGAGAGAGAGACGTTTATCACATACTATAGAGTGCACTGTTGTGTAATAATCTCTCATTTCTTACCTGTTTTTAACTACCGTTTAAAAAATATCATTCCTTCTAATAAAGATAAAATCTTATGGGATTAAAAGTTAAAAAACAATTGGACCCAGTCTCCTACCTAGAACTTTATTGCTGTTAAGTCTAGGACATCTTTAAGAAGCCATCTTTACCTTATTGTTTTCTGAGAGTCGTATGTTATGATTTCATTAGATCTGCAAACAAACAACAGAGGCATACTACTGGGATGGTATTCTAACTTTTGACATGATATTGTTCATCAAATTGCTAACTTTTGGTTAACTGTGTGTTTCTTTGTTTGCTTTGCTTTCCAAGAATATGTTTCATAGATACTATTAGTTCAAGAAAGCTGGGGAAAAGAAAAAAAAATAAAGGTTAAGATCCTGACTAGAGAATGAATTAGAGAAAGTCAAAGTAATTGCCTGGAAAAGACATGTGGGAGGTTGGGTCAAGTTTAAAGTTTCAGAAGTAGACTTCGAGATAAGCATTTTTCTGGATATTTGGAATTATCTCCTAAAGATATTATTCTTTGAAATACGACCAAAAACATACAGCCAAAGATCAATTTTGTTTTGGCAAATCCAGTCCAAGAAAATAAGTTACGTAAGGCTCAGAAGCGCTTTGTCCTAGTTCTTTCTCAGGCTTTTTAATCATTAATCACAACTCTGTACCAATTATTGGTAAGTAATATATATAGATTATCAGAGACTGCAGTTTCTGCCAGTGTGTCTGAATTAACCCTTTCAGTGTTTTGTGAACTTCAGTTGTAAAATATTAGCAGAATATAAAATAATTTTAAATTTTTAAAATTTTAAAGTAGGGAAACATTTGAGCAAACACTTCACCAAAGAAGATATGCAAATGGCCAGTAAGCATAAGAAATGACCAACATTATTATTCACTAGAAAAATGTAAATTAAATTCACAATGAGATGCCCCTACACATATAACTAAATTGGCTAAAATTTAAAAATTATAGACAACTGAAAGTATCAAGTGATAGTGAGGATGTGGACCACAAAACTCTCAATTTGCTAGCGGGGATGCAAAATGATACAGCAACTTTGGAAAACAGTTTGGAAGTTTCTTATCATTTTAAATATTCTCTTACATACAACCCAGAAAGTCCTCTCTTAAAAATTTACCCCCAAAAAAGGGAGCAAGGGAAGTTCATGTAAATCACTATATGCAAATTATTCACAATACCTTAAACCTAGAAACAACTCAAATGTACATCAATCAGCTAGTGATAAACAAAGTTTTCTATATAGAGATAGTAGGTTAATATTAGCAATTTAAAAAGAAGAAACTTAAAATCCATGAAAGAACATAATTTTGCAAAAGACATGAAAGGCAATACACTGTTTCATTCCATTTATATGATATTCTGGTAAAGGCAAAAGTATAGAGACAAATCAGATTAGTGGTTGCCAGGGTATATAAGTAGGGGTTGGAGACTTAATACAAAGGAAATTGAGGGAATTTATGGGGGTGATGGGAGTATTCTGTATATTGATTGCAGTGGTAGTTATATGATTATATACATTAATCAAAAATCATCAAACTGTATATCTAAGAAGGGTAAATTCTAATGAATATAATTTATCCATAATCATCAAACTGGATGTCTAAGAAGAGTAAATTCTAATGAATGTAAATTATACATCAACACGTGATTTTTTTTAAATTTATTTAAGGATATTATGAACAAATTTTGACAACAATTTGAAAATTTAGAAAAAAATGAACAAATTCTAAGAAAAATACTACTTACTAAAGCAGACACTTGAAAAAAACAAAATATGAGTAATCTGATTTACATTAATGAAATTAAATATTTAACATATTCAATTTTGGAATAGTCCATGCCAGGATTTGCCTGCAAATTCTTCTAAAGATTTAATAATGGAATAGTAATTCTTTTATAACACTTAGAGTTCTGTAACACTTAGTTTCTGTAATTGCAGAAACCCTTTCCAACACATTTTATGATGGCCACATTATCTTGATAAGAAATCTTACAGGGCAGTACATGAAAGAAAAACACAATCCAGGCTTCGTATACAAATTGAAGTAAAAATCTTATGTAAATACTTTTTAAACAAATTCAGTAGAATATTTTAAAAGTTTAATGTAGACTAACAAACTTCCTTTAATTCCAGAAATGTAAGGATGTTTTAACGTTAAAAAATCAATGAGTAAACTTTTTTGATTTTGATAATTATACTTTGGTTATAGGGAGATGTCCTTTTTTTAGAAAGTCAAATTGATTCATTTGGGGGTATGTATTAGTCCGTTTTCATGCTGCTGATAAAGATAAACCCAAGACTGGGCAATTTACAAAAGAAAAGAAGTTTAATAGACTCACAGTTTCATGTGGCTAGGGAAGCCTCACAATCACGGCAGAAGGTGAAAGCCGTGTCTCGCATGGTGGCAGACAAGAGAAGAGAGCTTGTGCAGGGAAATTCCCCTGTATAAAATCATCAGATCTTTTGAGACTTCTTTGCTATCATGAGAATAGCATGGGAAGGACGTGCCCCCATGATTCAATTACCTCTTACTGGGTCCCTCCCACACATGTGGGAATTCAAGATGAGATTTGGGTGGGGACACAGCAAAACCCTAACAGGGTAGAAGGGCAAATTTGACATATTAGTCTTAAATAATTAAAAAAAGAGAAGAATGAGAGAGGAGGAAAAATCATAAATAAATGGAGCAAAACATAAACAACTGGTGAATCTGAAAATCTCAGTAAAATACTATGTGGTTTCTTGTACTTTTCTTGCAACTTTCGTGTTTGAAAGGTTATCCTCCTTCTGCTCAAATTTGCCCAAAATATTTAAAAGTCTATTAGTGCAATGTACTACTGAATAAAAAGAAAAATCAGATGATTGTCTAAAATCTCTGATAATAGTATGTTTTAGAATTGAAAACCTCAGCAAACTGTAGCATTTTAATTGATAAACATAATCTTCAAAAAAAGAAAAAATCTGCAGCAAAATCCTTCATAATGTGAAATGTTAAACATTTTGTCTGTAAGATAAAATATGAGGCTAGATTACTTATTATCATTACCCCATCCCACTTTATTCTAATCCATTCATCGCCAGTGCAAGATGGCAAGGAGTAAAGACTAAAGACCAGAAAGGTAAAATGCCACTCCTATTTTCACACTATACATTTGTGTTTATGAAATGTCCAAGATAATTTTCTACTTGATTATTAGAATTAATATCACAGTTTTTTGTGGTTTCTGATATAAGATCAATATTTTAAAAAGTGTATTTCTTTACACAATAAATAGAAGATTAAAGATAAAAAAGATACCCCTTTGAACAGCATCAAAACATCAAATACTTGAGATAAATTTAATTAAATATATGCAAAATCTCTGCAGAACTATATAACTTTATTGGGTAACATTGAATGAAACCTAAATAAATCAAGAGATAGAATGTGTTCATAAATTGAAAACTTAAATTTATAAAGATGTTCATTTTCCTAAATTCATCTGTTGACTACAATATCAATCATAGTTCCAAGAGGCTTCTTTATCTTCAAAAATTGACATGTGAATTCTAGAATTTAGATGACAATGCAAAAAGCTAAGAACAGCTAACATCTCAAAAAAGAACAAAGTACTTACAGTCCCAGATATCAAGGCTATAATATAAACCATAGTAATGAAGAAAGGTAAATATCACAAGCATAGGTAGACCAATATAACAGTATAGAATCTTGTATCAGTATGGAAAAAGAAATCTAGACTTTTACCTCACTTCATTCACCATTTCATTCATGTAGCTCTAAATAGGAATGGAAAAGCAATAATTTTATAAGATAATAAAGAATATCTTCAGGGCCTGGAAAGGCAAAGGTTTCTTAAGCAGGATATGAAAAACATTAATGATTTCAACTGTATTAAAATTAAAAAGTGTTTTCTTCTCTAAAAAGGCACCAATAAGAGAGCAAAAGCAAATGAAACTAGATTATTTGTGGTTTATATAATTGACAAATGGCTTATATGCAGAATACATAAAAATTCAAACAATAAGAAGAGAGTCCACCCAATAAGAATATGGGCGATATTTTGAAAAAGCAGTTTACAAAAGAGATTATACAAATATCTAATAAATGTTTTAAAAGACATCCAACCTCACTTGTCCTTAAATAATAATTAAGTCCATCGGGAGAAATACTATACATTCACCAGAAAAGTTAAAAGATAGAAAATAATTTAAAGTGTTGATGTGGTTTTGAAGCAACCGGAAATCTCTTATGCTATCAGGATGAATTTCGAACAACCACTTTGGAAACAAGTTTCATATTATCTACAACATTTGAACACATGCGTCCTGTATGATCCAAGAATTTCATTTCTGGGTATGCATTCAACAGAATTGTATGCACATATGCAGTAATAGAAACTTATAACAATGTTCACAAATGGATTATTTAGCCACAGAAGGAAAGCAAAGTCTAGCAAGACAGGAAAGAATAAATAGTGGTGTATGAATAGATTGTACTACTTTACATCTATCAAAATGAATATGATAAAGATACACACAATAACATCTGTGAATCTTGATCATAATTTTGAACAAGAGGAACAAATACAAACACATTCTGTATTAGTCTATTTATAGGGGGTAAATTATTCTTTGCCATTTAACATCAGGAGAGTGGTTACACTTTGGGAGAAGGGAGAGGGAAATAATGTGGTTGGGGCATGAGGAGCCTCCTATGTGTCCCTTGAGTGTTTCTTGACCCAGGTTGATAGTTTCATGGGTGTGTTCGCTCTGAACTAATTCCTTGAGCTATACAATTATGATTTGCACAATTCAATTATATTATATTTCAGTGGAAGCTTATGAAAGAGAAACATTGCTGCTAAAATTCATTAAGTGAAGGCTTATGGGGAAGTAGACCTTCATAGCATACCATACTTGCAAAAGGGGCAATCTAACTGAAGGATGACATCAGTATCAGATATCAGATATCATACAAACCAATGATCACTTTTACTGTCTCAACTGTGGGTCGACCTGACATTACAAATTTTCTGATGTAGTACAACATCAGGTACAAAATTTCACCTGTGATTTATTCTAGTCAAGCGTGTTTAGCTGGCAGCCATTAAGGCATTAGGTGTAAATTTAGACACAGAAAGCAATCAAGCAAAGCCTCAAGGTATGCCGTTTTGTAGGTCAATTGGCCTCTTTCCTTCAACAAGTCAGTACCATTTAAAAAGGGGGGTAATTCTGGATTCAAAAAAAAAATTAAGGGGTGGACAATTAGATATAATGTGCAGGACTGCACTGAGACTGGTTTAAAGAAATCAGCCATAAAGAAAAATGTTTAATTAATTAAAGACATCTAAATACAGCATGGACATTATATATAATGAAAATGCATGAAAATAAAAATATGAAAATTATTGACTGAAAAAGAGGTTACAAAGTGTATATCTGATGAAAAATAATATGTAAGGCTAGAGGCAAAGGTACTAACAATGGTGCTTTCTTGTTTATAGGACTATGTCAACACATTTTGCTCCTCTGCATTTAAAAACTTTTCTCTGATGTACATATACTGTTTCTGTAATAATAAAATTATGTTTAAATGATTCAACATTTCTGAATAGCAAATTACTATATATGTATACTTTAAAATAGACAATTTATAGGGCTATACCCAACTTGTGGCTGTGCACTGTCCAGTTACTATACATGTACTTCTTACCCTCCTTTTAATATCTAATTATAAACTTCTGAACTCACTGAGGGCTATTAGCACAGCTACAATTGTTTTTGCTTCTTCTAAGTTTGATATTTGTATGGTATTTTTAAAATTATATATTATGAACTTTTTGTATATATTTGAGTATTTTGATATTTTACCTATAAAAAAGTACAATGTTTACTGAACAAAATAACAGAATAATTATTTTTTAAAATGTAGAAATTAACAATTGCAGGCAATATCACTTCCCAGAAATAATTTCCAGTTTTATTACATTGTCATCATGGACTAAATTATACACTATTTTTACTTTTTGGAATATGCTAAGGTTTTCATTGAGGCCCAATACTTAGTTCACTTTGACTATTATTCCACGAGTATTTGAATAAATATACACATATTAGTTATCCTCCATTAATTGCTTATGTCCTCCTAAATCTCACTTATGTTTTTTCACTTGATCTTTCATCAGCTGAAAAAATAGTATTATAAATTGTATTTTAAAAAATGCTTCTGAAGTTTTTGTTTTCTGAATTTTGCATACATATTTAATAAATATTTATGACAGTTACTTATTTATAGTGACCTTTTTATTGATACAAAGTGCCTTTGTCCTCCTTCATATTTTTTACCAACCATGAATAAAACCTATTTGTTCTAAATATTGTGATCTTTGCTTTTTTTTTTAATTTCTATTTGCCTGTAATTCTTTTGCCCAAAGCTTCACTTTCAAGCTTTTGAGTTAATTTTTATTAGAGTTGTTGCTTGTATGCAATAAATCATTGGCTTTGTTACTGAATGTAATCCTGGAAGGAATCATGATTCCTCTCAGAGTTTCCACTGTCAAGAACCTAAAGAGTCTGTTTATGGAGATGTAGCTAGGGTTAAAAAAAATAAGAGAGAAAGAGAGATGCAGAGGAACAAAGACACCAACCACAGGAAGCCATAAAAGGACAAGAGAAATGATAGCATTACCAGAGCTAAGTGAGTTCTGGAGCTGCAAGGAAAGGTTGCATAGCACGAGTTCTAGTTATGGAGAGATTCAGCCCCTGGCAGAAGCACAGAACCAAAGCAGAGGGAATCGGGGAATAAATAACCCATTCTCCTCTCCACCTAACTTGAACCCTAGAGGAGCCTCCCACTGAGTGCCTTCTGCTGAAATTCAGGCAACAAAGGAATCTGAATGATGTTGACTGCATGGCTCTGCATCCATGAGCACAGAGCAAGTTAGACAAGGGAAGAAAATAAATCCATGAAGTCAATAAAAACTTACCAGAACATTACTCCGACTTCTCATTCATTGTTGCCTCTTGCTTAGATTAAGAAAATTGGATCTCCAGTACAGGGAAACCACAGTTCTAGCATAATTTAAATTGTGGCAGGGTGTCAGCAATTCAGTCTTATTCCCAACTGGATTATAAATGTTAATGTCACCCACTATCGGTACTCTTTATATGAGCTAGCAAGGAGAGTGAGGGGAAAGAAATATTCAGTTAACATAAATATGTAAATTAGCTACTACTGTTTTCACTTTTGGTCATGAGCCTAAATTTTATCATCATAATTTCCTTTTTCTATTATCCATTCCATTTTCAAGCAAATTTTACTACTTCCATAGTACAGGAATTATTGTCTCATGAGATGACCCAAATCTTCATTTCATAGGATCAAAGTCCCTAGTGATACTGTCTTTATTTGGTGGCTCTTTATGGGACATATAAGTGCTAAAAGGCTCCACAGCAGATCTCCTGGATTCCAACTAGGCCTATTTGCCTAATTTTCCTGTGTTAATCAGAATTAATCAATCCATTCAGTATAGTTAAACTCTTTATTGCCAGTTAGGTCAATGGCATTAGGAGCTAAAAATAGCAAGAGTGCAATTTCAGGTCCAAATTTAATGGAAACATAGCTATATTTCTTGAAAGAAATGTTCCTTCCTCGGAAAAGAGAACCTAAAACGCTACTAAATACAAGTTTCCAGGAAGGGAAATAAAATTCTGTAAATCGAATATTAGGTAAAATAATTCTACTTCTAAGTTCCTTATCCTACATATTCTGGCTTTTGGAAATATGGCTTATGTATTGGCTAATAGTTTAATCTGTTAGGCCAGCACCACAATTTCAAACAATATTGTGTCACACCTGGCATTGAAACTGAGCCTTTAGGGAGCCGTTCCATCATTCTATCAGGCCAGCTGCTTACTGGTGATGGGACATGTGGGGAAACATGAATTTCATGGGCATGGATCTTTTGTAACAATTGTTTTGCTATAAAATGAGTTTCCTTGTCAAAGGCAATGTAGTATGGGATGTTATGGCAATGAATAAGGCATTCTATAAGGTGACATATGGTGACACTGGTAGAAGCATTGATGGCAGAGAAGAGAAACCCATTTCTAGAATGTGTATTTGGTTTTATGTGGACAAATGATTGCTTACTCCACAATATAAAGGATTCAATGTAATCACCCTAGCACCAGGTGCCTGGTCGGTGTCCCTATGAAATGGTGCCATATCAGGAACACATTGGCCCTTGGTATTGACAAGTTGGACACTCAGTGATAGTAGACAGATCAGGGTTGCTAAAGGGTAGTCCATTGTGTTGAGTTCATGCATATTTACCATCCATGCAACTATGATTACTTTTTGCATGGTTCCACTAAGTAAGCACCAGTATCACTGGGAGAAAGCTTGATAGACATCCACAGGAAAGATTAGACACCTAATCTACCTGATTGTTGAGCACCTTCTCTTTAGGGGATTCCCCTGGTGAATATGAATGAGAGTTGAGGAAAATTTGATAACTAAGCAAGAATAGCTAATAAAGGTCTGAACCACCTGCTCATTCAATATACTTGTGACTCCCTTTCCTGTTCAGCCTTAATGTCACCCATATCAATTCCATTTTATAATAACCTGCTAATTTTCAAGCACAATTTTAAGATTTGATAACTTGGATAGCACCCAGTTGATTGTGAACCCTTCAAATCACATAGTTACATGGTGACAAGCCAGACTTCTTAAATAGATAAAAATATTTGGCAGAAGGGGACATAGTTTTGTTCCAAAATTATTAGTTAGGTGAACTATGATTGTCTTCTTGGGGTTACTTAGAAGCGTCAAACAGCATTACTCTAAGCCAGATACTTAGATCTACTGAGTCAAAATACCCACGCAGCAGAGGAGCCTACAGCACAGACTGAACCTGCTGCAAAGAGCTCTTTTTTCTAAATGGGTAGACTTGTGAGTTAGCCTGTAATAGGTTTGAATACACACAACTGTAGTCATGTTACTTCCAAAATCCAGAGAAGCCTCTCAGTCACTCTGCTCTTTCTGTGTGGTAGGCAGTACAAGGTATAGCTACCTGTTATTCCCTAAGAAAGAGATATTCTTACATACCCCATTTTGTAATAGCTTCTACATTAATTAGGACCCTTGTATAAAACAGAAATCTGCTTCAGGCTTGGTATGGTGGCTCACACCTCTAATCCCAGCATTTTGGGAGGCCAAGGTGGGAGATCACATGAGCCTGGGAGTTCAAGACCATCCTGGGCAACATAGGGAGACCCCATCACTATTATTAAAAAAGGAAGAAAGAAAAGAAAAAGAAATCTGCTTCAATGGTCCACAATAGAGACTTTGGTGAATGGACTACTTACCTCAGTTAGAGCAGGATTTAAAACCCCAGCAAAGGTTGCTGTAATACTCAGACAACCAGGAACAATGAAACGCTGTTACCATCCCTAGACCTGAAGGGACAAAGTATATAATTTGCATTATTGAAGCCTAGAAAGATCTGGTGCTGTGGAGAAGAGTTATCTGGTAGAAACTACATTCATGCAGAATTAGGAAGAAAGCAGGGTATAGATATCAGGATTTCTCTCTCTCTCTTTCTGCCATCTGACCCACTGCCAGTGCCTTACATTAATCCAATTCAACTAGGAGCTAGCTGGCAGAGGAACCTGAATGATAAAGTCTTGGGAGTTCGCCTCCTGGAGCACAGAACAGAGAACTGAAAGTCAGATAAACGATTTGGGTGGAGCTAACAGAATTATCAACACATTTTTTCTTGTCCAATATAAGTCTTTTGCTTTAATTATTAATTTTATTTCATTACATATAACAGTGAAGATATGTTTAGTTTGAGTTTTGTCATCTTATGTAATGATCTCTGCTTTGAATGTTTTATTTTTTCACATTTTCCTATAATAAGTTCTTTGTGTATATGTTTGCATTTGCCTTTCATAAGATTTTGTATGTTTTTTTGTTCTTGCGATAGTTTACTGAGAATGATGGTTTCCAATTTCATCCATGTCCCTACAAAGGACATGAACTCATCATTTTTTATGGCTGCATAGTATTCCATGGTGTATATGTGCCACATTTTCTTAATCCAGTCTATCATTGTTGGACATTTGGGTTGGTTCCAAGTCTTTGCTATTGTGAATAATGCCGCAATAAACATACGTGTGCATGTGTCTTTATAGCAGCATGATTTATAGTCATTTGGGTATATACCCAGTAATGGGATGGCTGGGTCAAATGGTATTTCTAGTTCTAGATCCCTGAGGAATCGCCACACTGACTTCCACAATGGTTGAACTAGTTTACAGTCCCACCAACAGTGTAAAAGTGTTCCTATTTCTCCACATCCTCTCCAGCACCTGTTGTTTCCTGACTTTTTAATGATTGCCATTCTAACTGGTGTGAGATGATATCTCATAGTGGTTTTGATTTGCATTTCTCTGATGGCCAGTGATGATGAGCATTTTTTCATGTGTTTTTTGGCTGCATAAATGTCTTCTTTTGAGAAGTGTCTGTTCATGTCCTTTGCCCACTTTTTGATGGGGTTGTTTGTTTTTTTCTTGTAAATTTGTTTGAGTTCATTGTAGATTCTGGATATTAGCCCTTTGTCAGATGAGTAGGTTGCGAAAATTTTCTCCCATGTTGTAGGTTGCCTGTTCACTCCGATGGTAGTTTCTTTTGCTGTGCAGAAGCTCTTTAGTTTAATTAGATCCCATTTGTCAATTTTGGCTTTTGTTGCCATTGCTTTTGGTGTTTTGGACATGAAGTCCTTGCCCACGCCTATGTCCTGAATGGTAATGCCTAGGTTTTCTTCTAGGGTTTTTATGGTTTCACCGCATATTCTCACTCATAGGTGGGAATTGAACAATGAGATCACATGGACACAGGAAGGGGAATATCACACTCTGGGGACTGTGGTGGGGTCGGGGGAGGGGGGAGGGATAGCATTGGGAGATATACCTAATGATAGATGACACGTTAGTGGGTGCAGCGCACCAGCATGGCACATGTATACATATGTAACTAACCTGCACAATGTGCACATGTACCCTAAAACTTAAAGTATAATAAAAAAAAAAATTAAAAAAAAAAAGATTTTGTATGTTTGTGTACATGTATCAGTTATGATGATACACAGCAGAAAAAATATTTTAAAATCTGCAAATATATATAAAGTAGAGACGCACCAAATAAATATTTGGCTGAACACTGAAAGGCTGAGTATCAATGTCATTATTCACCTGAAGCTGAATATTACTATTGTAAAATGAATCCAAAGTTTTATGAAATTCAATTTTGATTGCAATATTTGTTACTGAAATTTCAGTAGTCAAAAATTTAAAGCTTGACGTTATTCAAGGACAGTAATTTCTTGGCATTGTCAGCTGCAAGATTGTTCCTGTGATCATCATAGCACGGGCAGATGCTAATTTGTCTACCTTCCTATATCATACATAGGGGGAAGCTCCCACCAAATTATTACGCTGTCTTTCTCTATAATATTAAAAAATAAAGTATATATATGAAGATTGTGGGTCCTGAAAATGTAGTTGATGGTGACTATGCAGCTTCATTGAAGCAATACCCCAGCAACTGCAGCTTTGCACACTGACTATTTTTAGAAGCAGAATTAGAATTGATGCCTTGAAATACATATTTTTATGTTTCTATTTTCCTGCACTTGTTCCATAATCACTTGAGAATATTTCTCTATAAACCTTAACTTTTAAATGTGGCAATGGAAAAGTGAAAATAGCTTTTAAGATAAAGCAATTGTCTCTGAATTTTCAGCTGCATCTAAACTTTCATGATGAAGCTAATTTCAGTACGTTCTCCAGTTTAGGATGACAGGAAGAGCTTTACCACAGGTATCTTATAAGAAATATGTGCACTCTAATGGCATATTGTATGGTGATTTCCTCAACAAATTATAGCAAACAAACTAATTTATCTCTAAGCAACCACTGGATCTTAATAAGTCCTGAGATGAAAGCTGTGCTATTAAGGTTTGTTCAAGCAGCTACTTTAATATGTGACCACTGCCAATTTACCTTGTGTAGGTTCATAGCAAAGCAGTTCCAAAGTTGTATGCCTGTCATGTAGTATATCTTTAGCTGAAGATTTTAAGATTTCACCAAGGTTAATTAACCCTTGAAAGTAAATACTCAGATATTAAAAATAAATCTAAAGGATCATGAGGTCATTGATACCATATAAGCTTAGAGATGCCAGAAATGTGAGTGGATTAGATCAGTTTTCTAATCCGAACTCCCAAAATATGAGGCAAAACTAAAGGTGAATGGAGAATTGGGCTAATCCAGAGGGTAAACATGCACACACGTGAGGGCAAGTGTGTGCTTGCATGAGATATGTACCCTCTGCGGCCCTAAGAAAGTAGTGGCAGAGATAGGCTTCTCAGGGACACCTGGGCACTGCTCCTGCCTTTACACATTTGTCAGGTATATGGGCTCATGGGCTCATACTCTTTATCAGAGAAAGATTACTGGTTTCTGATATAAACAACAAAAGATCAGGTGATATATTATTGAAAGTTCACTGCCTATTATAATCTGAGTAATATAAAATAATAATGGCATATGGATGGTCTGATGGCAATATTAGTTTCTTCTAATAGGTAGGAAAGGAGGTGTCTTTCTCCTTTTGTGAATTTGGGCCTTTGTTGTAAATCGGGAGTTGACATATTTCTGGAACATAAGGGAAAACCACATCCAACCAGAATCTAACCTTTTAATCCATCCAAGAGTTTACTTAATTCACCCAATTAAAATATGGATTCTCTACAATACTTATTCATAATCTCTTTAGTCCATATTTTCTCCATTATGTCCAACTCCCACCATTCAGCTGTTGATTTATGGTGAGAGCTGTTTTTAATATTGTAGAATTAATTACTTAAAATATTTACTCCCTAACTCTACAGACTCATAAAATTCATGTCCACCTCTGCATTCTAGTGATCAGAAAAAATATGGGGCATATTTCCAAATATAACTCCTTCACTGTCTTTTTTCAAAGGACATAACAGAGTGACAGAATTGAAGGAAGAGGGCAGATAATTTAAAAACATTATATAGGGGGCCACGTCTTGAAAAGGAAGTCTAATATCCTACAGGAAGGCTCTGGCCCTAGGTTTTCATCTGTAAATCATAGTTATCTAACTCTTCTAGTTACTAGAGGGAAAATTTTCTTTATTCATCTTGCTGTGTTGTTCATCTTGGAAAGGGAAAGTAAAAGCTTTGTAATAACACCTAAGATTATAATAACCTCACAGATTAGTATGATCATACAGGACAGTATGTTTCATAGTTTTACATTTCTTAAAATCTTGTCCACAAACAGAAAATATTTGATGTAAACAGTAGAAACCAATCTAAGAAGAAGAGCAAAGAAAAGCAACTAAAGATGCTTACCTTGAAAGAAAGAGGACTTAAGGCAACATTAGTTGTTTTCAAATATCTGAGGGCTTGCCAATGAATGACCAAGGGGAAAAATTGTATACAGCCATTAAGGGTGGAGAAAGAAATGGTGGATACAAGTTTTAGGATGGCATATGTAAACTACTCTAAGGAATTAATAATTACTAGCATACATGGATTGCTTTAAGGGATGGGGGACACAAACAGCAGGGTCAAAACAAAGTCTTATGGTCAGGAATACCGTAGAGAAAATACGACCATTGAATGGGGAGTTAGACTAATTAAGCTGTATAGACCTTTTCAATTGTGATTAAAATTGTGTGAGTTATATGAAATTGTATGAGATAGTACTGATATTTAAGGATTATTTTATTATTTTCCTATTTGTCAGGCTAACAAGAGTGAAGGCAATGCATGATAAATGTGGTATAGTGATGATTAGTAGATTTAGAGTTGCAAACACGGAGCTTGAACTCAGAATTCAGTTCTATCACTGACATTAGTAAACTAGAATAAATAACTTATATGAGACTCAATTCATTTATTAAACATAATGATAATTATACTATATACCTCACAAGGTTATTATGTGAGTTAAATTAGGTAGCATGTATTCAGTACAATGAACTCTTAGAAATGGCCTAATATGTGCACTTGTAACTGTGACAAGCTGAGTCACAAAGAGAGGAAGTGGCAGTTGCAGCCTAAAATTTTGCTGGGTTTTTATGACACATACAGAGATAACTAAAATTCAACAGGGTAAATGTTATAACAGAGGTGAATTTAAAAGTATCTTATGAACAAATGAAGTTGAGAAAGGTTGATTTTGGAGATGAATTAGAAAAACATGCAAAAAAGAAGTGCCATAAATCTTGCAAGACAAACAGTATTTAGGAAGTATGTAAAAATATACCAGAAATAGTCAGCATGAGCAAATGCATAGATATTGAATAACAATCTGCCTAAGCTCTCTCTCTGAAAAATAAAATAAAATAAAATGTAAGCCCTTCATGGGGAACAACAAATAGTAAAAGCTGACTTGACTATGTATTTGAACACACCTGGTATGGTACATGGAAGGTAGCAGGTACACAATATGTGCTTTTCAAAAAACAGAGTGCTTGACTTCTGGTTCTGGCCATAATAAAATAATGGATTTCAGACTGAATCTTCTGCTGTAAACAACTATAAAACTAGACAAAATGTACCATGTGCCCATTTTAAAGCATTGTACAACACACAGCATAGAGTCATGATCCTTGAAGTGAACTCCACATTTAAAGCTGGCCTTTTATATAGGGATACTTCCAAACTGCAGGAAAGGAAAGAGGAGCCCAAATAGATCACAGCAATTTTTCTGAATGGAGAAACCTATTATAGGATGCAGCTGAGGTGGCTGGAATTTATGAAGAACATTCCAGAGAAGAAAGAGTCGAACTGAGAAAGAGATCTAAAAATCTACAAATGAGTCTTCTTGAATTTTTTGAGTGAACAACATATTATGCATGTACAGAGTAAGATTTCACAAAGCCACACAGAGAACAGTTTCTAAGGGGCCATGAGCGGAATGAGGATTTCACTGGTTCATCAATGTTGAAAGCCATTAGAGTTTCAACCAGTCAAAGTGAAAAGACTCACTGAGCATCTCCCAGTGTTTAAATAAGAACTCAGAAAAGTCAGCTTCCAAAGTAGGGCTCATCTACTCCTATCAGAAGAAATACTCTTAAATCAGCCTTAAAAACTTAAAAATAAGCACCAACTGGATCAAACTAATGTGCCAGTAAATTAACTGTCTGCTCAAAATAAAATTCAACACACTTCTACCAAAGACGGAAGTCTAGAATCTAAATAATATAGTATGAAAAATGTCAAATATAAAACAAAAACAATTATTAAACATGCAAAAATAGCAGAAACCTATGAGAAAATTAGGAGATAAATAAGCAATAGAAACAGACCTTAGATAGCCAGGATGTTGTTAAGAATAAAAACAAGCATTTTTAAGCTGGTATTAAAATATGTCCAAGGATTTAGAGGAAAATAAGAAAGACAGTGGAGAGATGTAGAATATCAACACAGTCATACAATTAAAATTCATAATTGTAGGTGGGAGAAAAGGCATGTAATAGAAAAGGGAATAATGATAAAAAATACTTCTGACTTCTCATCAGAACAAATATAAGCTAAATGAAAATCTAAAAATTATTTAAAGTATAGAGAATAAATAATAAGTCATTTCAGAATGATATATTCAGTGAAAATAATCTTCAAAAGGCAAAATTAACACTTTAATAAGGTTAAAATAATAGGTGAAAGAGTTTATTACCACCAGAAAAGCACTACAAGGAATGTTAAAGCATGCTCTTCAAGCACAAGAGTAGTGATAAAAAATATAAACTCACATCTACCAAAGATGTGGAGTGCTACTGGGGCACAAGAACAGATAGGTTTTCCTTAATGGACAATGACAACAACAAAAAATCTAATGTTTCAACAGGAAAATATGTAATTGTTCTTATCCTGAGATGATAGTTTTAATATCCCGATTTAGTAATTGTCATATCTGATTATCTTTGTCAGAAAAACTAACATATACAAGTTTTTTAACCCCAAAATATGAAGTCTTTTTATCACTTTATTGAGTCACGAGCTGCTATGGTTACCAAGAGAAAAGATTTTTGGAGCCCAAAGTCTTCTCAGGCTTATTTTTCTTTCCATTTCTTATTTCTATACCTTTAAAGATATTACAAAGGAATTTAAGAGCACCCATTGTAGGGCAAAAGTGAAGAAAAAAATTAACTGTGGGTATGTTATGATAAATTGCTTGTATTAGTTATGAAGCCAGCTATCTATAAGAATGTCCTTATCCAAACAACTGTATCTAGGATAAAAAATCCTGGAAAAGTGCCTTATCAATTCCAAAAACTTATCTCTGCATATATTATATAATGGAATTTGTTTTCCAGTATCTTATATAGCAATGTCATCAAGTTTATAAACTGGAAAATCTGCTAATTATTTTATGAGAATGGCAGAAGTCATTTAAAGTAGCCACATTCAACTCTGAGTGTATATGTGCATATGCCCATCAAAATACAAGCAGGGCTCAATAGGTAGTTTATGTTTGTGGGCAGGTAATCTCAAAAAATATTTACCTAAAAATCAACAGCCCTTCATGCTAAAAACTCTTAATAAATTAGGTATTAATGGGACATATCTCAAAATAATAAGAGCTATTTATGACAAACCCACACCCAATATCATACTGAATGGGCAAACACTGGAAGCATTCCCTTTGAAAACTGGCACAAGACAGGGATGCCCTCTATCACCACTCCTTTTCAACATAGTCTTGGAAGTTCTGGCCAGGGCAATCAGGCAGGAGAAGGAAATAAAGGGTATTCAATTAGGAAAAGAGAAAGTCAAATTGTCCCTGTTTGCAGATGACATGATTGTATATCTAGAAAACCCCATCATCTCAGCCCAAAATCTCCTTAAGCTGATAAGCAACTTCAGCAAAGTCTCAGGATACAAAATCAATGTGCAAAAATCACAAGCATTCTTATACAACAATAACAGTCAGAGAGCCAAATCATGAGTGAACTCCCATTCACAATTGCTTCAAAGAAAATAAAATACTTAGGAATCCAACTTACAAGGGATGTGAAGGACCCTTCAAGGAGAACTATAAACCACTGCTCAGTGAAATAAAAGAGGATACAAACAAATGGAAGAACATTCCATGCTCATGGATAGGAAGAATCAATATCATGAAAATGGCCATACTGCCCAAGGTAATTCATAGATTCAATGCCATCCCCATCATGCTACCAAGGACTTTCTTCACAGAATTGGAAAAAACTACTTCAAAGTTCATATGGAACCAAAAAATAGCCCACATTGCCAAGTCAATCCTAAGCCAAAAGAACAAAGCTGGAGGCATCACGCTACCTGACTTCAAACTGTACTACAAGGCTACAGTAACCAAAACAGCATGGTACTGGTACAAAAACAGAGATATAGACCAACGGAACAGAACAGAGCCCTCAGAAATAATGACACACATCTAAACTATCTGATATTTGACAAATCTGACAAAAACAAGAAATGGGGAAAGGATTCCCTATTTAATAAATGCTGCTGGGAAAACTGGCTAGCCATATGTAGAAAGCTGAAACTGGATCCCTTCCTTATACCTTATACAAAAATTAATTCAAGATGGATTGAAGACTTAAATGTTAGACTAAAACCATAAAAACCCTAGAAGAAAACCTAGGCAATACCATTCAGGACATAGGCATGGGCAAGGACTTCATGTCTAAAACACCAAAAGCAATGGCAACAAAAGCCAAAATTGACAAATGGGATCTAATTGAACAAAAGAGCTTCTGCATAGCAAAAGAAACTACCATCAGAGTGAACAGGCAACCTACAGAATGGGAAAAAAAATTTGGAATCTACTCATCTGACAAAGGGCTTATATCCAGAATCTACAAAGAACTCAAACAAATTTACAAGGAAAAAAAAACTAACAACCCTATCAACAAATGGACAAAGGATATGAACTGACACTTCTCAAAAGAAGACATTTATGCAGCCAAAAGACACATGAAAACATGCTCATCATCACTGGCTATCAGAGAAATTTAAATCAAAACTACAATGAGATACCATCTCACACCAGTTAGAATGGTGATCATTAAAAAGTCATGCAACAACAGGTGCTGGAGAGGATATGGAGAAATAGGAACACTTTTACACTCTTGGTGGAACTGTAAAGTAGTTCAACCATTGTGGAAGTCAGTGTGGCGATTCCTCAGGGATCTAGAACTAGAACTACCATTTGACCCAGCCATCCCATTACTGGGTATATACCCAAAGGATTATAAATCATGCTGCTATAAAGACACACGCACACATATGTTTACTGTGGCACTATTCACAATAGCAAAGACTTGGAACCAAGCCTAATGTCCAATAATGATAGACTGGATTAAGAAAATGTAGCACATATACACCATGGAATACTATGCAGCCATAAAAAATGATAAGTTCATGTCCTTTGTAGGGACATGGATGAAGCTGTAAACCATCATTCTCAGCCAACTATCACAAGGACAAAAAACCAAACACCATATGTTCTCACTCATAGGTGGGAATTGAACAGTGAGAACACTTGGACACAGGAATGGGAACATCACACACCAGGGCTTGTCGTGGGGTAGGGGGGAGGGGGGAGGGATAGCATTAGGAGGTATACCTAATGCAAATGATGAGTTAATGGGTGCAGCACACCAACACGGCACATGTATACATATGTAACAAACCTGCACGTTGTGCACATGTACCCTAAAATTTAAATACAAAAATATATTTACCTAAAAATCAGTAAGACTGCTTAAATAAATAAATTGCAAATTATTCTGAGAATACATGATTATGAAATATTGTCAAGCCTAACAGAAATAAAGATAACAGTATAATCATTCTTGATAACCCCAAACTGAAGAGAACTCAAAGGCCCGCAAAATTTGAAAATGGGTTGTAAAAGCTGTGATATAGTCAAATAATTGAAAATTACTCAAAAATGCTACCAAAAAAGACACCAAAAGTATGTATTATATGATCACATCCATATAAAGTTTCAGAAAGGGCAAGATCAATCTGTAGTGATAGAAACAAGAATAATGGCTGGAGGGTGACGGGAATTGATTGTTAAGTGGCATGAGAAATTTCTGGGGGAATGTCAATGTTCTATGGGCTTTGGGTGGCTCAATCATGTATTTTTATCAAAAGTCATTGAATAATGACTTAAAAATTGTGCATTTCATCTTATCTAAAGTATACCAAAATTAAAAACAAGGAAAAATACTATCAAAAAATATGGAAAAGTAAACTTTCGCACATTAGTCTCAAAAACCAATGATTTCTGATGTTCTTTTTACTCTATCAATGTTTTTCATTTTGAATCATCTAGGTTTTTCTGTATTACTGTGCTTCAGCTCAGAGAGTGAATACTTAACAAAATGCAGAGTATGAATTTCAGTGAATTAATGGCCAAAAATAGGATATAAACAGATTATTGTGAGATTAGTATTTGCGGTATGCACAGTAGCCTCCCAAAGATGTCCACATCCTCATTCCTGGAATCTGTGAATATGGCAAAATGGACTTTGTAGCTGTAACTAAGGTTACAAACCTTAAGATAGGGCAAGCAGCTTTAAGTATCCAGGTGAACCCAATCTAATCATATAAACCTTCAAAAGCAGAGAACATACTTCAGCTGGAGAAAGAGAGGCTTGGCAGAGGGAGAAATTAGAAAGATTCTGCCTGAGAAGTTTCGGAGGCGTCATTGCTGGTTTTGCGATGTAGAGGCTCACATAGGAAGACTGGAGACAGGTTACTAGGAGCTGACACCAGCAACCACCAGTTGACACACGCAAGAAAACAATGACGTACAACTGTACAAGATACTGGGAATGGTGATACAACTGCAAACAACTAAATTCTGACAACAACCTTAATAAATCTGGAAATGTACTTTTACCAGAGCTTCCCAATAAGATCCCTGTTGATTGTCACCTTCGTTTGGACCTTGCCGGATGTTGAACAGGGGAGCTGGTTGAGCCCACTGAGACTTCAGACCTGCAGAAGTGTGAGATAATAATTTATGTTGCTGAAGCCATTAATTTAGTTGAAATTGTCATGGTGCCAATATAAAACAAATACTTTATTTTATAATGAGACTGGATAACGAAGGGCTTGTGTTGATTTTCAAGGAGATTGAAAAATATATCTCATAAATCTAGTGAAAACATGAAAGTTCTGGGGAGGATGAAATTGATAATATCTTTTCTATTTGTATGAATCCGTTTTTGCACTGCTGTCAAGAACTGCCTGAGACTGGATAGTTTATAATGGAAAGAGGTTTAATTGACTCACAGCTCTGCATGTCTGGGGTGGCCTCAGGAAGCTGACAATCATGGCGGAAGGTGAAGAGGAAGCAGGCACCTTCTTCACAAGGTGACAGAAGAGAGGGAAGTAGGAGCACAGGAAAAAACTGCCTCTTTTAAAACCAAAAGATTTCGTGAGACTCGCTATCACGAGAACAGCATGGGAGAAACCACCCACCCCCCCATAATCCTATCACTTCCCTCCCTCAACACGTGATAATGGGTGGGGACACAGAACCAAAGCATAGCAGCATTTATGTTAATTCTGCTACATCATTCCTGTTAGACCATCTCTCTCCGTTTTGTTTTCCTAGGATAGCCCATTGCTTGTATTAAAATCATTTCTAGGTATAAACTTTATTCTCAGTAAAACCTTGAAAATGTGAATATACTTGGCATTTTTACTTCATCAATATGTAGGAAAATTCTGTACAAAGCCAAAATTCTTCTTTTGATTACCCTCATAATATAGGAAAAAAAGATGGAAATGTAAATATTTTATATGAAAACTAAAATTTTCTGATATGGCCTCAAGGCATGTTGGTCAGCCTCATCCCTTTCACAAACTGGCATCAGTGACTGTTACTCTCAGTTTCCTTCCTTGTTTCCTCACATATACTCTCCCTATTCCTCCCCCAAAATCATTACTTCTAGTTAAAATAGATCTTTCTTTCCATTTTTCATTCTTGTCACCATTTTCAGGAAAGAGCTATTACCCCTTTCTTTGATCAAAGGCAACTCCCCAAGTACAATGTTTTTTTCTTGCCTGAGGAAGGTTATTTTTTCATGTTGGAAAGAAATGAAAGATTAGAAACCAAACCGCACACAATCTTGCACACTACAGTCACCAAGGAGGTAATTTTCCACCATTACTTCAGACAAATGCGTGTGTGCGTTTTTAATCTAGTCTGACCTCAGAGCCTCTAAATAGATGAAGAAATACTTGTGTAATTGAAAAAAAAAAACTGTTCTCTCAGCCATTATTCAAAGGACACTAACTCAAATAACAAATCTTAAAACTCTTTAAAATGTAAAAACATTTTCTTGGTGACCTGAATTTATTGGCTTTAATTAAGCGTGTTTGTTCTAAACTGATGTAATTTAGGCACCATCCATAGAAAAGAAAATATATTGTATATTCAGTACTGATTTGCCTGTCCATATTAGAATATTTACAGTCTAGTGAAAATTAGCCTGATGTTACATACAGAAAAGTATAAAACCTCTAATAACATTATTTTTTTCATTTAAAGGCAAAGGTTTAAAATAAACTTTATATATTATAAAGTCAGCTAAAGTTATTTTTATTTCTCTTAACTAAATACATTGAGATTTTAGAAGCAAAAATATAAATTTCTGAAATTGTATACATTATCAAAACAATTTCACTGAATAATGGGGTTTCGATCAGGAATCAGAGTGTTTCTAAGAAGCCTATTGATTACTTTCCTCCACATATTATAAGTAAATAATAAACTATTTTTGCTACGTTTGAAATATTAAACTAATATTAAACATAACTGAACCAACTCAATGGATGAACTCTAGCATTGAGGTAGGTCTATGTAACATATTTGTGATTATAGCAATAAAAGAAATGCATTTCAATTTTTTTTTAGTTTCTACTATATACTAGCTATGGATTAGCTTTGTAGTAGTAAGTTGAAGAATGGGAAGCAGAAATAGAGTTGAAAAGATAAATGAGATTTATTAAGTCCATGCTGTGGACTAGGTGTATGATGGACTTTCTGTACATATTTATTTATACAAGAATCTTATAAATTAAAAATTATCCTCACTTAATATATAAGAAAATTGAGACTCAGACAAGTAAAATAACTCATTCAAGGTTACATAAGTGGGTTTTCAATCCTTATTTGTCTAGTTCCAGTGCCCATGACCTGGCTCTCTGGAATGGAAACAAACTGAGGAAGAGAAAAAGTAAAATAAGCAGTGAAGGCAGAAATTGCTAAACTCCGTAGTGCTATCAGGGGCACATGGGCATCTTCCTGGAACTAGCACTACGAGAGTGTATCCCTCTCCCTACATCAACACCATTTCTTCGTGGTGAGCTATAGAGAAATTTAGAAGGCAAGACCTCAACTGCCTAAGTGGACATAAATGTAAAATTTTTAGGTCTTGTGCAGGTCCTGACTCAGAGTGAAGAACATGATGCCCTTTCTGCCTCAGGTGAGGAAACTAAATGGATGTCAAATAAACTCAGTAATCAAGGTAAATGATAATGTAATATTTTATTAAATCAAAATTAATGCAGGAAATCCATGATGAACAACATATTAACATTTTAAATAAAGACAAAATATTACTGAGGTTTTCTTTTGCTTCATGCTTCCATGTGGCTTGGCAATGGTTCTGTGTTGTTACTGATCCTATCAGACCACTGAGCATCTGCTAGAGATGATAACAATAGAGTCAAAGGGTGAGTCAAAGAGTGCATGCATTTAAAATTCAGATAATAATCATATTTAATGACTACAGCTTGAGGTTTTAAAATTTCTTCATATCTGTAGGTGTAGTATCTTTATCTCTTTTAAAAATTTTCTTCTTTCTTTCTACTTTTCTTGGAAATTGTCAAAAGTGTATTGTATTAGCCTTTTCAGATATCATACTTTGAAAATATTTATCATGTACTCCTATTTTTTGTTTTTATTTAATAATTTTATGCTCATCAATTCCACCTATATCTTTCTGCTAGTCTACACATTAGTTTTCAACTAGAAGTCATTTTTTAAACGTCCAAGTCCTATCACATTTTGTATGCATATTATAGTTTTTCATATTCTATTTGTGTTGAAAATTCTTATTCCAAGAGCCTTTACTCAGTACTACTGGATGATGGATAAATTGTGTTGTCGGTGTTCCCATGGATTTTCTTTTGCATATGTGAGTTCCCTATTCCTCTGGGGGGAGTGTAGCTATGTATGTTAATAAACAAAAATGATTCAAGTCATTATAAACAAGATAATACGTGAAGAGTGCAGGCAATGATATCTTGAAAAAGAATAATTGGCACTGACATTGATAACTCAAATTGGAATAAAAGAGAATTAAACGTTCACTATCATGTAGTGATTCCTTAAATTAAGGAAGGATTTGGATGTAGATTTATAGGGGAAATATGTTACCAGGAAATTCTTAAGAAAATAAAAGAATGGCTGAAAAAATTATGTAAAACCTGAAGGGTCATTCAAGCAACAAATAGACATAAGAGATCTCAGATAACATCACCCCAAAAATCTAGCCAAAGAATGAGCCAAAATAAGGAGAAAGTAAAAAGAGACATTTTATGAAATGACAGATGAACAATAAGTCCTATAAATACAGCACATAGATTAAGCAACTAAAGAAAACTTCTTGCAGACTATAGAAAAAAAGGCATAAATTTTACTAAAACAAGAATAATGCAAGTTACAAAACTCCAGAGGTTGCAGAAGAGAATTAAAAAAAAAAACTGTCCTCACATGATCTCTTATAAAAAGATGTAGACTGGAGCAGTCTAAAAGTAAAATCTGAAGGTAAAATAGAAACCACAGGAACTTCTACCAGTAACTGCAGATTTGTAATTGATATCAACTCTCCCATGGAACTCAACAACAAAATTTTCTTCGAGACACTAAGTGTTAACAAAGCAATGGAAAATTGCAAAGCCCAGATCCAAGAGATGAGATTGGCATTGAGCATCACTTTTCAGCTCAAGATTTTTACTGATTCTAGGAAGTTAAAAAATAGATTGCAAAACTAAGGAATACTTTTGGCAGTGAAATGCATGTAACTGTGAGTGTGCAAGGGACTGTGGTGGGAAGAATTGGAGCACAGTACCCTCCAGGCTTTGAGTTGGGGGCAAGGACTACACTCGATAAAGAGCAGCCCACTCAAGGACATAAACCCAGTGTCTGATTATCTGTACACTTATGGATGCATTAAAGTAACCTGCTAGTGTCCTTAGCTTACTGCAAAGAGCAAATGTAATTCCTCTCTAGAGAATGTTAACATTTCCAGGGCCTCAAATTACTCTGTTTTTCATATATAATGCCTAGTACTCAATTTAAAAATACATGTAAATAAATACATGACGAGATATGATGAAGAAATTATTGAAAAAAATGAGGATGATGTGGTTTGGCACTGTGTCCCTGCCCAAATCCCATCTTTAATTGTAATCTCCACGTGTTGAAGGAGGGACTTGGTGGGAGGTAATTGGATCATGGGGGTGGTTTCCTCCATGCTATCCGTGATAGTGAGGGAGTTGTCATGAGATCTGATGGTTTTAAAAGTGGCAGTTTTGTCCAGCGCAATGGATCACACCTGTAATCCCAGCACTTAGGGAGGCTGAGGTGGGTGGATCACTTCAGATCAGGAGTTCAAAACCAGCTGGCCCACATGGCAAAACCCCATCTCTACTAAAAATACAAAAAAAATTAGCTGAGTATAGTGGCACACACCTGTAATCTCAGCTACTCAGGAGGTTAAGACAGGGGAATCACTTGAACCTGGGAGGTGGAGGTTGCAGGGAGCCAAGATCACACCACTGCACTCCAGTCTGGGCTGCACAGCAAGACTCTGTCTTAAAAAAAAAAAAAAGTGGCAGTTTTTCCTGCTCTCTCTCCTGCTGCTGTGTAAGATGTGCATTGCTTCTCCTTTACCTTTGGTCATGATTGTATGTTTCCTGAGGCCTCCCCAGCCATGCAGAACTGTGAATCAAGTAAATCATTTTTATTTATAAATTACCCAGTCTCAGGTAGTATCTTTATAGTAATTTGAAAACTGACTAATACAACACACATATAAGAGAAAAAATCAACAAAGAAAAGTTTTGCCTGGAAAAAAATAATGAACCTCTTTATAATTGCATAATTAGAGTACAGGTGTTCCTCACCTTATGATAGGGTTACATCCTGATAAGCCCAATATAATTGAAAATATCATAAGTGGAAAATGCATTTAATATACCTAACCTGCCAAACATCATCGCTTAGCCTAACCTACCTTAAACATGCTCAGTGCACTAACATTAGCCTAAAATTGGGCAAAATTATCTAACAGAAAGCCTACTTTATCAGAAAGTGTTGAACGTCTCATGTAATGTATTGAATATGGTACATTATGTTGAAATTGTGATTGTTTTACAGTATTGTAAAGTCGAAAAATTGTAAGACAAACCATCATTAAGTCAAGGACTATCCGTATATTTAAATTCTTTTATACAGACACACACACATGCATACATACACACGGAGAAAGAGGGGAAGAGAGTGACAGAAAGATAAACAGTGAGACAGAAAGAAAGACCAGAAATTACCAGTGTGAGAAATTAATAAAGGAGAGGACATCGCTACAGTTTCTATAGACATCAAAACAAGTATAAAAGATTTATAGTGGCCCCAGCTAGTGGGATACGGCAATTAAAAGAAGTTAAATTTGTAAATATTGAAAAGGAAAGGTAAATGCTAATTTGGAGATGGCATGGTTATGTACAAATGTCAACAATTATCTACAAACAATTAGAAATAAAAGCCAGTTTGGTAAGGTGACTGGATTTATAACAAATGCACAAAAAGCAAAAATCAATTGTATACCTGTTACACTTTTTGTTTGATAAAGTAGAAATAATTCATCACAAACAAGGACAGAAAGGAAAGGGATTAAACATGTCCTTAAATTGTGTACCCTAGATGCCTCTCTTGCTTCACCCAAGGCTCAGTCCAGATGAAAATGGCTCATTATTTGTTAGAGAAATTTAAATTAAAACTGTAGTGACATACCATTCTACACATACTAGTTTGTCTAACATTAAAAGACTAACAATAACTATTACAAATGAAGATACAGTACAAGGGAAATTCTCATAGACTGTTGGAGAAAAAGTAAATGGATGCAGCTACCCACTTACATATTTATACCACAAGATACAAGCAAGGATGTACATAGCAGCATTATTTGTTTAAAAAAAGATGAATTTTTAAAATTGCCTATTGAATATTATTCAGCAATGAAAATGAACAAATTAGAACTACATGTAACAACATAGGTCAAACTCACAATGCATAATGTTATGCAATAAAAGAAAATAAATGAGTGTGTATTTGTTTTCTGGGGCTGTTGTAACAACTTATCACAAACTTAGTGATTTTAAACAAGATAAATTTATTCTCTCTCAGTTAGAGAGACCAGAAGTACATTTGTTTCACTGACCTAAAGTCAAGATGGTAGAAGGGCTAAATTCTCCATGAAGACTCCAAAAGATAATCCATTCATGGCCTCTTCCATCCTGTGGGCCTTCCTCTATTTTCAAAGCCAGCATCACAGCATCTTCAAACTTCTCCGTTTCTATTGTCCCATTGCCTTCTGCTCCCTCTGTCTCCTTTTTACAAGGACACTTGTGATGGCATTTAGGGCTCACTCAGATAACCCAGGATGATCTCCTCTCAAATTTCTTTTTTCTTTCTTCTTTTATTTTTTGTTTTGTTTTGCTTTTTTGAGACAGAGTCTTGCTCTGCCACCCAGGCTGGAGTGCAATGGTGCAATCTTGGCTTACTGCAACCTCCGCCTCCTGTGTTCAAGTGATTCTCCCTGCCTCTGGCTCTCGAGTAGCTGGGATTACAGGTGCCGCCACCACCACACACAGCTAACGTTTGTATTTTTGGTAGATACGGGCTTTTCACCATGTTGGCCAGGCTGGTCTCGAACTCCTGACCTCAGGTGAATACACCTGCCTCAGCCTTTCAAAGTGCTGGGATTACAGACATGAGCCACTGTGCCCGGCCTCAAATATCTTAAATACATCTGCAAATGCCCTACTTCAAATAAAGTCAGGCTCCATGGATTAAGACATGGACATGCCTTTCAGAGGCATTATTGGCCTACCACAGAGTGGGTATATAAATATCAAAACTTTAAGAAAAGTAAACTCCAAATAGTAGGTATCTTTCAAGACAAATGAAGGAGTAGTAATCTATTTTGCAAAAAAATGTTATTCTGAGTGTTAGTTATGGAGGTGTTTGTTTTGTGATAATTCCTTAAGGTGTATACATTTTCTTAGGATTTGACATTACATGTATATGTTTATGCATAAATTATTCATAGATATACATATAATTAAAATTTAAGAAATAAATTATAATGATGCAATCTTCTAATATTTTTTAATTTTTTTAAAAAAATGTGACCTTTTAGGAAATAATGCAGTCACATAGATAAATTTAATACTTCCAATTAAAAAAGCAGATATAGTATTCTTTTATTATAAAATTATTTTTTATCTATTCTGCTAGCTCTCTCTCTCTCACTATACATATAGTTATGTATCTTCCATCTATATCCAAACTTTTTGGAGTATGAAATTTGAAACACATATAACTATTTTACAGCTATTATAATAATTGTATGTGCTTATTCCTTTTAAACTTGAAAAATACCAAAAAGTGCAAAGAAGAAACAAAAAAAATCACCCAAATGAATTCCACCAACTGTTAATATTGGTTGTTTCTGAAAATTTGGGGTGATTTATTTTGTTTTCTTTGTACTCTTTGGCATGAAGTATTTTTATAAAATAAGCAAAGTCATTACTATAAAAATCACTGAAATAAAACCTATGTAGAAATTGTAATAATGAAGATAACAAAGAGAGGAATCACTGCTTACATAGCCATTTATTTAGTGCTTCCCATCTACTATGCATTATTCCGTGTGTATTACGTTTCGTTTTTCATCATCACAATAATTTTGCAAGATATATACATATATATAAAACAAAATATTGTATCTGTATTTATTACAGATGACAAAACAGAGGAGTTTTGTGAGTTTAAGTGACAGCCAGCAAACAATATTGCTGGGTTATGGTACCCAAGAGTTCTGGCTTCAGTGTGAAAAAAATATTCAATGTTTTCCACCGCAGCTCAGAATGATTCTAATTCAATTATCACTAAATCAGATGGATGTACTGACAATTCAGAAGTGCAGATTATTCAATGAAACCATGTACATGTGCATGTTTGTTTTCTCCTCAAATCTTGCTCCCCTTCCTCATTCTTTCAACCAACACCTAACACCTCCCTCAAAACACACAACACACACAAACACAACTAATGCCTTGAGAGCTGAGGCCATAGCTGACACATATTTCAACACCAGAGTCTAGCACAGAATCTAGCACTAAAAGTCTCCCCCAGAGTGTTTACTATAAATAAAGTAGTGATAAGACTGTAGCTTAAATCCATGACTCTGCTCTTAAATCCATGACTCTTAAATCCAACTCTGCTGCCACACTTCCAAGCAAGAGTTAGGTCCGTCATTGAAGCTATGTAGTTGTGATTTATGCAGAAGCTTTGTAAAGAAAACCAGAGCTTGGGTAGTGGGTAGCAGTAATCTCTTCTCAATTTCCCCTATGAAGAGATAAACTCATTGCAGTCTATAGCTACCAAACACAGAGGTCACAAGATTTCTGTGACAAGAACTCCCACTGCTATGGTCTTCCACAAATAATGCTAATGGAAACAGAGAGGAAAAACAATTATCAAACAATCAAATAAAGGTCTGACTGTAAGCTCTTTTTCAAGATTTTGCATCTGAAGATATCAGAAAGGAAAGCAATTCAGAGGTGCAAATTGCCTAAAGTGCAAATCAATAACATGCTGATCTAATGCTCGATTTCATGAGATTGCTGTTATATAAATGTAGGGAAAAGCAAATAATCAGGAGCTAAAATTGTCTCTTATCAGAGAAAGTTCATAATTAGTTTGCATTTTCACAGAGTTCCAAATAGTACTGATTAATTAAGCCAATATGTATTCCAAGCAGCAACAGCTACGAATAGTCAGCCTGTGTGGGGAGAAGCACAAATCCAGTGAATTCAAATTTAATACCCCTAATTGTACCAAAGTAAGTAACAGTCAATGACTGAGCATGCAGCCCTTTCCCTAGACAACCTCTAAAATAGTTTTTAACTGAATTTTGTGAACAGTATGTAGAGAAAATCTAAGGAAAAGAACACAGTGAAGGCAAGAATTCCCAAAATGCAAATCAGAAAACATTAAAATAATACTATGAAAGTTTGGTTTTCACAATTAGGGTATTTTTCAAGTTCAATTCACTTTCTCATTGTTGTATTTTTCTTTTAATTTTTCAATTTCTAGACATATTTATGCAATTATTTGTAAATCTGTCTAAATTCTAGAAAAAATTTTGCCCATTTGAATGTCATAGAAACAGAAATATAAAAGCAATTCTAAGGTATAAATATTCTTGAGGATTTATAACAAAATATTTTTATTCCTTATTCAACTAAAACTATTCCCTCATATCTGTGCCCCAATTAAAATAAAATTGAATAAAATGAATATTTTAAGATACTGGTTTTCAGCACTTTCTTACTTTTTTTGTAAATCGTACAAAACTAAGTAACCAGTTCTCCTTTGCATAAAGAACTGCTCACCACTCTCCAAGAACAGCTGTTTAATTCAGACAAAGAAGAAAATAATACAGATACACCTTTCTCTCCTCCAGAACAAAGCAAAGAGAAAGAGATCCAATTGGCAGAGAGTGGGAAGAGAGATGATTTGTTTTTGAAGACAGACATGAAAGGTCAAGATAAGAATTTTAGATAGTGTAAGAACTTGACAAGTGAAAAAATAATCAACTTTGTGATCGAGGTCAGGAGATCGCGACCATCCTGGCTAATACGGTGAAACCCCGTCTCTACTGAAAAATAGAAAAAAAATAGCCAGGCGTGGTGGCGGGCGCCTGTAGTCCCAGCTACTCGGGAGGCTGAGGCAGGAGAATGGCGTGAAGCCTGGAGGCGGAGCTTGCAGTGAGGATCGTGCCACTACACTCCAGCCTGGGTGACAGAGCGAGACTCCCTCTCAAAAAAAAAAAAAAAAAAAGAAAAAAAAACTTTGTGATCTGTTATATACTTGTAATGTCAGAAAAAATAAGATATTATGCTTCAACTTCAAATCGTCGACTATAGTACTGTAGTTGATGCAAGGGATGTAGATTTTAGGAAGAACAAAGAGACCATGAGCTAGACTTGAGTGCCCTTCCTCCAGGAGTTTTTTTGTCATCTTAATCAAACTAAGGCTCCTGTATATTTGGGATTCATTGCTAGAAGTTTAATCTGCCCCATTGTTGCCTTTCGTCTGCTTCTTTGTTGCCTGAGCAGTAGATTGATTTATTGATTTTGATTTTTAAGTTCAAGAAGGATATTTTAGTGCCAGGCAAAAGTACCTAATTTATAAGGTGCTGAAAATGGGTGAAGACGCCACCTCTCCACTGAGTTTCTAAAAAACTTAATTGGCCTACTAAAATAATAGGCTTGATTTTGAGGCCTGACTGCCAGGTTACAAAGTGCTAGCTGGCTCATCTGTCCCTTTCAAGCTTAATGAACAGTCTTTGTTCAACTTCCAAACATTCCATGTGGTTAGTTCTTGATGGAACACAATATTTTCACCAAGAAAGAGAAGTTCAATACATTTACTCATAACTGCTAACTGAATAGCCTATAAGAGTCAAAATTTAGCCTATGTGTCTCTAATTTTTCTAATTAATTATATATATAGATTATATATATATGGAGAAGTTCTATGTTCATATATATATATATATATATATATATATATATTTTTTTTTTTTTTTTGGAGAAGTTCTATGTTCACTAGCTACTCTACTCTGGGGAACTTATATAAAATGGGCTGCCAGAACATGCATGATGGATTTGGTTTTGTCGCTGATACCCACAAAATCTTGATTTCCCTTGACTTTCTACTCAGCAAGCTAGTAAATAAATTTATTAGTGGCAATATCATAGCACTTTTCTCTGATGAGCTCAAAGTATTTTCCAAGCATCTCCTCATTAATCCTTACAATATTTCTATGAAGTTAAGTAGCAGAAATATATCTATTTTAAGGTAGAGATCAAATTGTTTTATGGATAGGTGAGTTGTCCAGAATTGTATAGATTATTACTGGGGAAGAAGGAAGAAAATTAGGTTTCCCATATCTCAGATAACCATATAATTTATTCTGCAAACCAGGAAACTTGTGAAAGTGATAGGGACACTATTAATAATGATGCCAGGAGAACACTGACAAACTGAGAATACAAACATGCCACCTGTATCCTACTGAATGGAATAGTAAGAAAATCACAATACCTAGTTGAAAGTTGTAAGCCAGAGGATTTGTTTCATTATTTTGAGTTGTTGTAAAATAAAATTCTACTATGAATAGTTTGTTGCATTTACTTCCATTATTTTTATATGTAATTTTTCAAACATACTTGGAATTATAACTTACATGTAATTTTGTATTCAGGATTTTTAATTTGACACTTCAAATTGTTTTGCTAATATACAAGAATGCTTTATAAACATTTACAAATTACCACATTATGTTAACAAACATATATGGATTTACCATAATCAACATAACCGTAGTTATTATTTACAATTATTTAGATTTATGAATAGTGCTCCAATGAGATTTTTAGCATACATTTTTCATATAGCTTTAACAATCTCCTTAGGATATATATGTTTTTGATTGTCTCCAGTTATATTTTTAATCTTTATTTACAATTTATTCTAATTTTTAGGCTTTAAGTTTACCTTTTGGGGGAATTTATTCTTTAATCTTGTTAGAACTTGTTTTGGTGACTGGTAGATGGGAACAATCATGAATGGTGTCATTATTTGTCTTAGTCTGCTCGAACTGTCATCACAAAATACCACAGACTGAGTGGTTTAAACAGAAATGTATTTTCTTACACATCTGGAGGCTGGAATGTCCAAGATCAGGATCTGTGAATGTTTGCTATCTGGTGAGCGTTCTCTTGCAGACAGTCAAGTTCTCTCACTCTGTCCTCACATTGCAGGGAAAGAGAGCAAGCTCTCTGGTGTCTATGTTATAAGGAAACTAATTCCATCATGAGAACCCTGCCCTCATGACATCATCTAAACCTTGTTACTTCCCAAAGGCCCTGTACCCAAACACCATCACATAAATTCTGAATTTTGGATTAAATTGCATCTATCTCATTATAATACTATTCTATTAATATTATTTAGTTGGTAATATATGTTGAAGTTTCTGGAGATTATTGTTTTTCTATTAACATGATAAATTATAGTAAACTATTTCCTAATAGTCATCCATTCTTGCTTACTAACATGAACACTACTTGATTATGAAGTATGGTTTTAATGGGATTGCAACTTTTAAGTGTAAAGTACAGCTTTAGAATATTTGCAGTAATATTTATTAGTGGAATAGGCCTGTATTTTATTTTGTGTAGTGTATATGAGAGAGACGAAGGGAAAGGGATGGGAAGAGAGCACATGTGTTCAGCTTTGGTCCAGTTTAGTATAAATACAATATTTATTCATAAATATATTTGGAAGTATTTTTATTTTCTTTACATGGAAACATTTAAAGCTATGGATTTCTCCTCTCCCTCTCACTGTCACTCTCACTCTGTTTGTGTGTGCACGCACATGTGTGTGCATGCATCATTTAGCCCTGCTGACTGATATGCCTACTTATTTATGATCAAGAGCCAGACATTGACCTAAGAGAAAAAGTCTTTAGATGGGATCTCCCTCCAAAGAAATTGTAGTTTTCTTCTGGCTTAGAGGTAGATCCTCTTGGTCCAATCAGGCTGAAATGCCTTGAGGCTAGATTTCAGTTTTTGTGGCAGCTGGTGCATTTCTAGTTTGCCTTTTCAGCTAGGGATTAGCTTTTTAGGGGTCTCAATGCCTAGGGAGATTTCTAGGTCCTCTGTTCCTTGTTGAACTCCAATTTTGTCTATCCTTTTGCTGAGAGGTCTGCTTAACTTCCTTTTAGTCAGGTAGCTCCATTTTATGCTAAGCTTCTTAGTTGCTCACCTTCTGCAACTAAAGAATCAGAAAATGCTGTGAAGGAAAAACAAAATGAAATTGTTTTGTTTCTACTGGCCCTTTATCAAGCCCTGGCCACCATGATAGTTATGAATTCCAATTTTTGTCTATGCAGGCCTATCAGATTTCTAACATCTCTGAGCTACCATTTTCTTCTTAGCTATCTGCTCAGCAAATGTATCCAAATGAAAGGTTGTGGAGAATGTTGAAATCAATTCAATGTGTTTCTCTTCTTTCTGAGAGCTTACACACTCAAGTTCTGGATGCTTTGATTGCTATCAGAAGCCCTTAAATAGCTACTTATTTTTAATTAATTTTATCCAGCTTTCATAATTGTTCTCGCCAGGTGGGATGGCCTAATACAAATTAATTTGTCATAGCTAGAATTAGAAGAAGAAAACTTTAAACAGCATTGAGTTATCAGTACTTTCATGTCTTGATACATTTCTTCTTGAAAATGTTCATGCCTGCTGATTTGTCTGTTTTTTTTTTCTGACAAACTCATCTTTTATTTTTGATGGGTGTGTGTGTTTTTTTTTTTAACAGGGATTTGGGGAATTATTTGAGAAAGCAAAACAAAACAATAACAATAGAAAAACTTCTAATGGTGATGACAGCCTCTTCTTCAGTAATTTCTCACTTCTTGGTACTCCTGTCCTGAAAGATATTTCAAGATAGAAAGAGGACAGCTGTTGGTGGTTGCTGGATCCACTGGAGCAGGCAAGGTAGTCTCTTTTATTCTTCATTATTAAGAACTTAATTTGGTATCCATGTCTCTTTTTTCTTCTAGTTTGTAGTGCTGGAAGGTATTTTTGGAGAAATTCTTACATGAGCATTAGGAGAATATTTGGGTGTAGTGTCTTGTATAATAGAAATTATTCCACTGATAATTTACTCTAGTTTTTTGTTTCCTCATATTATTTTCAGTGGCTTTTTCTTCCACATCTTTATATTTTGCACCACATTCAACACTGTATCTTGCACATGGCGAGCATTCAATAACTTTATTGAATAAATAAATCATCCATTTTACCCAGTCTTAACCAGAGAAGACATTTTTTCAGAGCTGGTCCAGGAAAATCATGACTTACATTTTGCCTTAGTAACCACATAAGCAAATGATCCCGATTTTTTTTTCTTTAAAAGTTTTTACTTATTTATTATTATTATACTTTAAGTTTTAGGGTACATGTGCACAATGTGCAGGTTAGTTACATATGTATACATGTGCCATGCCAGTGCGCTTTCTGTTGTGGGGTGAGGGGAGGGGGGATGGATAGCATTGGGAGATATACCTAATGCTAGATGACGAGTTGGTGTCTGTTTGTTGAGAGGAGAATGTTCAGAATTTTATATCCTCAACATCTTTTTCTGCATTAATAAGATACTGAGATTTTATAACTTGTCATTTTGGTCACTTATATTTTCATATGGAAAAAATCATATAATCCAGGGTTTCCAATATATTTGTGTAAAATTAAGAAAATGATCTTATCTAATTACTTGATCAATATCTGTGATTATATTTTCATTGCCTTCCAATTTTAATATTTGTTCTCTATTCCTTCTTAATCTGGATTGAGGTTCTGATTAATTATTTTAATGTTGCAAATTGTTTTCACTTTTTCCATAAAATGAGTTCTTGAGTTTATTTCTTTACTGCATCATTCTATTTTCAAGTCATGAACTTCTGCCTCAATTAAAAAAAAAACCTCACCATTTCTATGAAATTGTTGTGTTCATATTTTATTTTTTATTTACTGTATAGTTCAGTATAGAACATATAATATTATAAAATATGTAATAATAGGATAAAAAATAAGATACAAAAAGTAAGGGGTGTGAGTTTGGAAAATTATACTTGCTGATATGGTGAAATAACTCTGACCAAATTAACCTTCCAGCAATAAAAACAAAATTGGAAAACTGGATAAAATATACATGGTAACATGTTAGGTCAGCTTTGTCTGTCTTCAAACAAATATAAATATTGTTCTACCCTTGTTACCTATTTATTCTTTTCCATTTTGTTTTGCTCGATTTTTTTCTTATACCCATTTATTTGAGTAAATTTTGAAAATATCTATTCTTCATTTTTGCTGTTTCTAGTGTGGTATATATTTCTCAGATAAAAGGTATTTTCCCTTTTATCTTTCCCTAAACTCACACTACATATATTGCATTTATCTTATATCTGCTTTAAAACCTATTTATGTCCTTTTAGGTCACTTACATCAGAGGAGTTGTATTGGTGCGGGAAGGGGAATTTGATTTAATGAAACAATGCATTAAAAATTTGTACTCACTTTGTGATTCAATGATAGTCAATGTGGCATATAATTTTTTTCTGTCTTTTAATATTATATTGTCTTTGTTGCTTTTCTCTAACATGAAATATATGTTACACAGGCACAGTGCTGGTGTCTTTTCTATTATTATCTTTGAATGGGACTCATTACTGTCTGAGCTATTTATTAAAATGGTGAAGGAAAAGATCAGTAAGGTAAATTATGTCAATAGGCAGTATCAATTTAGGTCTATTTTCCATGAATATTTTCTCAGCAACTGTGGTGTTATGATGTATATTGGTTTTCATCCACAGTTCCTGGCTTATAACTCCCCTAGCACTTGTTACAATCTTTTGTTATAATATTGGATGTGTTAGGTCTCAGGAGCAGGCCTCTCACCTTCTCATGGCCTTTTTTCATTTTTATGTTCCTGCCTTTCTGGTTGTGGGTCTTAAGACCATCTCAGGAGAGAGTCCCACCCTATACCCTGGAGGGAGGAATGCTGATATCATGAAACTTCCATGAAAATCCAGGAGGACAGGGTTCAGTGAGCTTCTGGGCAGTTGAACACATGGATGTTCCTGGAGGGTGGCCCACCCAGGGATGACATGGAAGCTCTGCTCCCTTCCCCCATGCATTGCTCTAAATGTCTCTTCATCTATGTCCTTTGCAATATCCTTTATAATACACCAGGAAATGTAAGTGTTTCCCTGAGTTCCGTGAGCCACTCCAACAAATTAATCAAACCCAAAGAGGGGGTCATGAGAACCCAACTTGAAGCCAGTAGGTCAGAAGTTCAGAGGCCTGGGCTTGTGGCTGGTAGGTTGAGGGTGGGCAGTCTTGGGGACTGACCTGTGAGACCTGACACTATCTCCAGGTAGACAGTGTAGTGTCAGAACTGAATTAGAGGACACTCAGCTGGTGTCTGCTCCTTGGTATATGTATGGAGGAAAAAACGCACACATTTGGTCACAGAAGTCTTCTGTGTTGCTGATTGATCTTTGTGGTGTGAGAGTAGAGGAAAAACATAGAGTGTTTTCTCTACACAGCAACTATATAATCTGTGGGAATATCTCCTTTTACACCTAGCCCTACATCTGTCTGGCTACAGTCATTTATCTGGCCTTGGGAAATGTGACCACAGAATCAGATATACACGAGATTAAATAATACACGTGTATGTCATTTAAATATCCAGAAAAGTTATGACTTCACCAGGTATGAAGAATATAAAAAGAACTCTGTCAAGAATCATACAGTAAATAGATTTTTGAATTTAATCTAGTACCTAAACAATCAGAGTAGGGAGGTTAGATATTAAAATCAGGCTAAAGATATAGGCAACATGGATCTAGAAAACATGGATTGCATGGCCATTTCACTTAGAGTTCATGGGCTTGGAATCTCTATTAACATAACTTTTACAACGTTAGAATTTTTTCCCATATTAATGAGGGAAAAACAAACAATTACCCTGAGTATCTGAAGCTCCAGATCTCATTTTCCAGTCAAAATCTCTGATAGGTAAACAACCTGAAAAAATAGCCACAACTCACTGAGGTGATAACCCCATTTGCTTAAGATAATATAATTGTTTTTATGAAATTTTTTATCCCAGGAAAACATTGAAAAAAAGTTTAGAGATGATGAAGTATATGAAAACTATAATATTTATACTTTAGAGATGTGATATTTATTTATAATTGTATTAGTATTTAAATATAGATTAGCATTTTACATTCCAATTTTAAATGTGTAACAGTGTATTTTAGATATTGGGTTTTTTTTTTTAGTTTAAATTATAAGCGGCTTTACCGAGTTGCCAGTAATGGTTTAACATTGAAGATAATTTAAGATTCATGATTTTGTGGGTTTAATTTATTAGCTCTGTAAGGGTTGTTTAAGTACTCTGAAGGCTTTATTTGTTAGTCCGATAATTAAAATGTTCACAAAGATAATTGAACATATTAAATGTATAAATGTAGTTTAAAATCTTTAAGGGAGTTTAATTAACTAAGTTGTAAATGGACCAAACATTAATCAAAGTTCCCCTTAAAAATAATTTTTAATGTACTGGTTTTATAAATAGAACAATAAAATTTCTAATTTAAACTCAAAAATTTTTTAAATTCGTTAACAATTTAATATAATATGCTGCACATTAATTCAGAATATGAAATCTTATAAGCAGTCCTTTTTACATTCAAGAATCACATTGATAAACATCACAAAATGCCCACTGGCAACCACTATGAAACTCTTTAAACGACAGGTCCTGTATGAATTTTACTCCTCATGATTTGAAGATTATGCATAAATTCCTTCTTCTTGTTATTTTGTTTCCAATTTAGTCTTTACATAGACAAAACTCCTATAACAGAAAAACTGAAAACAAAGAGAGTGCATTCCTTCGCTTGCTTTCTGAGGATGCCCTACTCTAAAAGGCAGTAGCTTTCAATAAACTATGTCTTCTTCTCACTGTACTCTGTGACTCACCTTGAATTCTTTCCTGTGTGAGGCCCAAGAACCCTCTCTTGAAGTGTGGATCAGGACCCCTTTTTGCAGTAACACTAGTACTGTTATAATTAGGTAAATGTTACTCACACCTGAAACATGGAGCATAAATGATTGAATTTCATTTCTACACGATATTTTTTTTCCCTTAAACTGACAATTTTTTAAAATTTTTGTTTTTTTCGTTTTTCTATGTATGTATCAAAGTACCAACTCCAAACCCTACCCCAGTTTTCTAATGAGTCTCATAATACATTCAGAAGCATTAGACATTTTATCAGATTTATCTTTTTGAATTTTTTTTCTAGATAGCTCTAATTTACACAGGTTGCTGTGTACATATACCACACATCTAACAACCAGGAGATTCCCTGTACTTTATACCCTACCCTGTCTTCATTTACTTCCTCATTTTAGTGAAACTCTTCTCCAGTAAATTCCTGAGATAGGATGTATTGGATGTAGAGTTTTAGAATCTTGCCGTGCTGTAAATGCTTATTATTGTTTTCCTCCTATCTGATTTACAGTTTGGTTGGAGATACTATTCTGCATTAGAAATAATTTGTTTTTCAATTTATAAGGCTTTGCTTGTCTTCTAGTGACCACTTTTATTTCTCTTCTCTGGAAATTTGAAGTGTCTTCTTTTTTTTTTCCTGGAGTGTGCTGATTTGTGTGTGTGTGTCTGTGTGTGTGTGTTGGTCTAGGTCTATTTTCACCACTGATTTGAATTCTGGTGGACACATTCAATCTGAAATTCATACACTTTAACTCTTACCCATTTCAAAAAATAATTTATATATATCATACTTCATTGTATTTTTTTCTTTTCCCAAATGCCTGTATTTTGTTGCTGGCCCTGTAGGACCAATTATTTAATTCATTAAACTTTCCATTTCTTATTCCCAACTCTGTTTACACTAACTTTTCTGGAGATGCAGTTAGCTTTACCTTCCAAATCTTCCATTAAGTTATATATTTCTGCAATAAATTTCTTAATTTTTAAGAATTCTATTTTTTTGAATATCCATTTTATATCACATCTTGTTCTTGTTGTATCATCTTATCATCTTCCCTCTCTGAGGAAATTAATAATTACTTTTTTCCCACACTGTATAGATTCTGTTTACTTTCAGTTGTTTTGTTTATTTTTTGATTCCGTGTTTGTTATTGGCTGTACCTAGAATCTCTTGATTGTTGGTTATCTGTTTGTGTTCAAGAGCAATACAATAAACGTTTACGGTAAGCTCCAGGTTCTTAGGTAATAATTGTCAACTGTGGCTTCCAGCCAGGGCAATCAGGTCGAGAAGTTTTCCCAGAAAAGCCCCTCATGACATATCCACTGGACTATTACTTTGGGCTGATCATGATCTTCCAACTAGAGTCTTCCAGTCTTCTCTGAGGGTATAAGACTAATAGACTGTTATGTTTGAATCTAGATAGAGGTGAAAATTGGGGAGATCTAGCTTTCAGTAGTTTCTGTTCATTTTGCCCCCCTAATTTATGTATGACCAATGAAGATTATATTGCCAGTACTAAGATTCCCTGTTACCTCTCTAGACAGCAAATGTCTACTTTTCCACCAGCAGAACCTAGAGGCATTTAAGAGGCTTGATGGAGTGGGCATTGGAAACAGTCTTTCAACCAATCTTCCTGGGTTTTAGCCCTACCTTTACTTCTACTTTCAGAGGTGTCCTGTGCAACCAATTTATGAACATTTTGTAGAATCAGATTTCCCCGCTACTTACAATTTTGCACTTTTTGGTAAGCTAAGTCAGTTACCAGCCATTTATGGACATCCTATTTTCAAAAATGTTGCTGTTTTCTTTTTATATCACTTGAATGAGCCATTTGCCATCATGTTATAGCTTCAGGTGGGAAAATAAGTCTCTCTATGTGTTTAACATGCCATATTTGCTCAGGTGTCTGCATCTACTCTCACCATTTTTTGAAGAAAGGCTAAATTGTTATGGCACTGACAACTAGTCTTCATAGTTTGGTTTATAATTTTTAATGGTGTTTATTTTTAACAAAATTGGTGGAGTTTTTTTCTTTGTACGTTGATTTTCTTTTGGTTTTCAGTTGTTTTAAGAAATAAATGGAGGGAGAGATATGCTTCCTTTGCTCCCATTAACCAAAAGAATAGTTTGAACAACACAGGAATTAACTTTTCCATTAAGTTTAAGAGGACCTGCTTGAGACACAGCTGGGCCTTGAGCTTTTAAAGGTGCTATAACTTTATACCAGTTTCATTTTTTTCTATTGTTGGTATCTTCAAATGTTCTTATTTTTCTAGATTTATTTTTATAGTTAAATTCTCCCTAAAAAATTAACCTCTTTATATATATTTTCAAATATAATGACCAAAAGGTACATATTAGATTCTTTTGAAATTTTCAGTTATCCAGTTTTCCATTTTTCTTGTTATATTTTAATAGGCTCTCTCTTTTTTGTCATCTAATTTATTTGTCTTTTCAAAGAAATATTTTTTTGGATTTATTGAAAAATTCCATTGTTGTTGGGATGGGAGAAGATTAAATCCTTCAAATAATAGGCCAGGCATGGTGGCTCACACCTGTAATCCCAGCACTTTGGGAGGCCGAGGTGGAAGGATCACTTGAGGACAGGGGTTCAAGGCCAGCCTGGCCGATATAGTGAAACCCCTTCTCTACTAAAAACACAAAAATACAAAAATTAGCTGGGCATGGTGACACATGCCTGTAGTCTCAGCTACTTGTGAAACTGAGGCACAAGAAATCACTCAAACCCGGGAGGTGGAGGTTGTATTGAGCCAAGATTGTGCCACTGAACTCCAGCCTGGGTGACAGAGCAAGACTCTGTCTCAAAACAATAAACAAACAAACAAAAACAAAACAAAACAAAAAAGAACTTTAAATAATAGTATATTGTTTTGCAGATTATAAGATGAATAGATATTTATTGTAAAATGCACAAATAGTGCAACATTTCTTAAAGTAGACAGTGAAATACTTCATGTTGCCATGTTTCTCCAAGAGGTACTACAGGACTGTTTGTCTCAATGCACTGTTTGGCCCAGTGCATGCTGCATGTGATCTCTACCCTTTACTTGTAAGTGCTCTTCATGTCTCCGTCACTGATACAACCAAAAATAACCTACATTTCCAAAATCACTCCAAAGGAATGGTCCTGAGAAAGAGTTGAAAATTCTCAACTCCTCAGATTAGATCTCTATTAAATAATTGAACAAGTGTGCTAACTAATATTTGCAAAGCTGTTCATTATACAAGTGTATAAAAAATGCAAAGATGGTAATGACAAATTTTCAATAGACATGTTTTATAAAAATATTGGTAAAAATTAACAATTTACAGTCATTTTAAATGATGGCAAGATATCCAATGTATTTTTGAATGAAATATGAGGTCACTACAAATCATAATTAGCATAATCCCATTTTTTAAATAGTACACATATGCCTTTTTTGAGTGAAAGTATTTGAGTTCTAATTAAATTGTTGTCGGTGGATTTCTAAGGAATAGAGGAAATGATGAGGCATGTGGGATTGTAGAGAGAGGGAGATTTCAATTTACATTTAATTCACTCCTGGAGTGTTTGAGTTTTTGTAATAAAACATTGTAAAACGTTATATCATTTACACTACAATCACTTATAAACTTTCATTTCAATTAAAAGGAAATTTTTAAAAAGAGGACTACCAAATAACTACTGCAGCCATTGTAGTTTCGTAAATGACTTTTTCCTTCCTTCATGTTGTGTTAATGTGTGCCTGCTAGGTCAAGACCCAGATTTGACACTGTGTGCAGTCAGGCTATAAGTATCAAAACAGAAGATTACCTATCTGGGTACCCAGCTTCCCCATTCCTGATCAAGTTGGGAAGCCATAGGGTCCAACTCTCTCAATATGTACTAATGAAACAGAGATTCTTTTGCCAAAGGATATTCTTCTTGATGGTAAAAATATTAGCTAACATTTGTTAGCTGAGAAAAATGAAGTATATTAAATATGCTAAGGGAAACTGTGGTTCAAGTGATAGAGATTTTTAATTCTTTTTGAGATCATGTTATTATACCCATGACAAGGTAAGTTTGATTCAGAATAATTTCTGCCAAAATAAAGGATGCTGTTGATGGCCTGCTTGTCCCCTGCCTATTGACTATTATTCTCAAACTCAAGCAAAATTAATTTTTAAATAACAGGATAAGAAATATAAGTAAGCTCTGCCTTTTGTGGGGCAGGTTGAAAGTATGGAAGAAATTCAGAAAGGACATAGTCGGGAATAGATAAGAAAAGAAAAATATATACTGGCCATTGATATGGTTTTGCTCTGTGTCCCCACCTGAATCTCATCTCGAATTGTAATCCCCACATGTAAAGGAAGGAACCTGGTGGGAGGTGATTGGATCATGGCAGCAGCTTCCCCCATGCTGTTCTCATGATAATGAGTTAAGTTCTCAAGAGATCTGATGGGTTTATAAGTGTTTGACAGTTCCTCCTTCACATGCTTACTTTCTTCCTTGCCTGCCACCATAGAAGACATGTCTGCTTTCCTCCCACCATCATGGTAAGTTTCCTGAAGCCTCTCCAGCATGCAGAACTGTGAGTCAATTAAACCTTTTTTCCTTTATAAATTACTCAGTCTCAGGAAAGTCTTTTATGACAGTGTGAAAACGGACTAATACAGCCATGAAAAATGAATATTGGTTAAATGGTAGGAATAAGAAAGAACATTCTTGGCCTAGAGAGTACAAAAGGAAAGCCATGGGGTTGGACCTAAAAAGAATACAAAGGAAGAGGAGAGAAGAGTACTCATTGTGCTATGGAGTTGAATTGGGAAATTTTTTACAAAACCAAGAAATACCAAACTTAGTGAACTATTGTGGGACCAGTGAATAAAGAAATATTAAAGCAATGGAAAATAATTTAAGTAAATATGAGAAGAAAAATTAAGAATATCTGTATATTTTTGATCAAAGGATGTAATGATTAAAGTTACATTATAAATTATTCTATCTATGGAATTAATTATGGATTAAAAGAATAAAAGTCAGACAAACTATAAACTTCTCTCATTCTTTATTTTGGAACTTAAAGAACTTATGTATCTAAGTTAATCAGATATTTTTATGTTATTTTTACAAAAATAATTTACAAAATTAATTTTACAAAATTAATTTAGAAATATTTTTATTGTCTGTTTTCTATAAAAATAAAGTGTAAGATTTTACTACTTCAGATATCTTTTGCTATAAGTCAATCTATGTCTTCCAAGAAAATCTCTTGGTCAGGGCTCATACTTCTCCACCATGTTTCAGATTTGATTTCTTTTCAGTGAGCTAAGATTTGTTACTGTGTCCCCTTAAATTGAAACAGACATAATTAATGTGGCTATAGTGAGATTCATCTTCAATATAGTAATTGTATTCTGAAACATTCATCTTAAAATGAAATATTTTCTCCTCTAACTGGAGTCTTTCATTTACAATTAACTTAAACTTTTAATCTTTACACTGGAAACTCTTCTTTAAAGAAGATATGACTATTTTGTTCTCATAAAAGCTAGACTCTTGCAGAAGACAGAAACTGCAACGGCAGGAAGATTAATGTGGATCCTGGAATCTAGAAAGTTGTCTACAGACTATTTAAAATGGTTACTGTAAGAAAGCTCAAAAGGAGAATAATCATTCAGAATAGGAAGAGATAGAAACCCTTAAACAATTAAAATAACATTACCAGGTGTGTATAGTCAGAGGGAGAGAATTTGCCTATATTATTCTGGGGAAAAAATAAAATATTTCTGTATAACATCATAGAACTGTAAATGGAGATGTTAAACTTCTCTGATGGGTAGTTTGAGAAAAATTTTAAAAATTGAAAAGTTTTTTTTTTTTGAGACGGAGTCTCGCTGTGTCATCCAGGCTGGAGTGCAGTGGCGTCACCTCGTCTCACTGCGAGCTCAGCCTCCCGGGATCATGCCATTCTCCTGCCTCAGCCTCTTGAGTGGCGGGACTACAGGTGCCCGCCACCACGCCCGGCTAATTTTTTTTTTGTATTTTTAGTAGAGACGGGGTTTCACCGTGTTAGCCAGGATGATCTCAATCTTCTGACCTCGTGATCCGCCTGCCTCGACCTCCCAAAGTGCTGGGAATACAGGTACAAGCCACCGTGCAGGGCCAAGATTATTGTTTTAAAGTGTAAAAATTAATATTGAATTCTTGTGTTTATATAATATGATGTCCTATAATTTCTGTTTGGAATATAAAATCAGCAACTAATATGTATTTTCAAAGCATTATAAATACAGAGTGCTAAGTTACTTCACTGTGAAATGTAGTCATATAAAGAATATAATAATTATACTGGATTCTTTTTAAATGGGCTGTCTAACATTATATTAAAAGGTTTCCCCAGTAACTCATTATATCCAAATGCTCTTGGCCGGGTGTTGTGGCTTACACCATAATCCCAGCACTTTGGGAGTTCGAGGTGGGCGGATCCCTTGAGGTGGGGAGTTGGAGACCAGCCTGACCAACATGGTGAAATCCCATCTCTAATAAAATAAAACAAAAAATTAGCTGGGTGTGGTGGTGGGCAACTGTAATCTCAGCTAATCAGGAGGCTGAGACAGGAGAATTGCTTGAACTTGGAAGGAAGAGGTTGCAGTGTGCCAAGATCACACCACCCCACTTCAGCCTGGGTGATAGAGCAAGACTCAGTCTCAAGGAAAAAAAAAAGCTCGAAAAATGTTTGCTTATTTTGGTAAAATTATTCATTGACTATGCTCAGAAATCAAGCAAACTGTCCATATTTCATTTTTAGAAATTACATATTAAAGATCTGAAACAAAGGATAAAATATATGCAAAAATATTTGTATGTCTGGATAAATTAGTTTCCTGAGTTAACTCCTTGACTGTTGACATTGAATCTATTTTAAATTAAACAAGGTGCTGATAAAACAAAAGACAAAGAAAGAAATTCAAAATAAAATTGAAGGATGAAATCAGAGCTTACCAGAGGTAAAATTTCTTCTGACAGTGTAAAAGAGATCTTCATACAAAAAGCAGAATTTATATAGTCTCTTTCCAAAAGACCATAAAACCAATCAGTTAATAGTTGATTTTTATGTGAAAAAGGAGAGTGTAAAAGAAAAAATAATGACACCAAAATCCCTTTTAAATTCAGTCATAAAGTTTCAAAAATGTAATTCAGATAAGAAATTAATGTCAGCCACATTCCACCACAGTAAAGGTTTGCATCAACTTTTCACCTAATATTTTTAGCATTCATTAGGAAACTTGTTTCAACCATTATTTTACTAGGTGTTATAAGAGGGTACTACATTCTTTCATTTTTTTCTTCATTTATTAGCTAGAATAATTTCTAAGAGAACATTTCCTCCCAAATGTGTATTGATTACACCAAAACACAGTTTGGACAGGAAAACAAGATAAGTAGACAAATGCTTGATTTTTATTCCCCTCCCCATTTTTCACAGTAATGAAGTAGTGCTTCAACAAACTTTAGTAGTGATTGAAAACTTATTTCCCATAATAAAAATTTTAAATATTTGTAAGTAAATGATAAATAATAATTTATCCAGTATTTCATGAGTACTTATAATCAGCCAGGATCCATTCTCCCACACTGCGGGGAAAGGAGCCCAGTTTAAAATTCCTGTCAGGACACCAGCAAGATGATGAAATAGAAAGCCTCAAAGCCCCTCCACACTCCTCTCCAAGGAGACACCAGCTCGATAATAATACACAGATAAATCCCGTTTGTGAAAAGTACAGAGGCGAATTTAAAGACTCTGGATTCCCTGGTAGGCTTCAAGCCAGGCACATCTAAACCAGCAGGTAAATTTGTTGCACTCACTCATCCTCCCTCAGGAGTACAACGCAATGGAGAGAAAGCTCCAAACTCCCAGCTCATCTCTAGGGAGAGAAAGAAAATTCTAGACCATATGTCCAACATTTTGACTTTTTGGGAAGGCACTAGAACCTATCTACCCTGAATCTAAGTGCTAACAGGAAAGGATGCCAGATTGCATGCCTGCTGATAAAGCCACAGTTTGGACTGTCACTCAATCACCATCATTCCTCCTGTGACTCAGTATAACAAGATTGGGAGAATACTCTACAGTTCCTGATTCCCCCACAGAAGTGAAAGAGAATACAGAGGCACACATTCAGTGTTCAGACTTCAGGGGAGTTGCCAAGTGATTGTTTTCTGTCTTGCCTGAATTTAAGTGCTAACAGGAAAGCTTTCCAGGTTGTGGATATTAAGAACAAATGAGTTGAGGCAGTTTGGGTTAGCATACATTCACTTATCATACTATCCTTCCCTGGATCAATATGCAATGAGTGGGAGAAAACCCTCAACTCCTGGCTTCCCCTTGGAGAAGGAAAAAGCTGGAGTGTGCATCCAGAATTCCAACTTTTCCCAGTCAGCCTGATGGACTGTTTTCTGTCTGACCGAATACTCTTGATGTCTGAGGACTGCTGAGAACAAAAGAGAGCTAGGGGGTTATAGCAACTCCAGATAATCTACAGTACTACAGATAGATAACAAAGAGAGCAAGAGATTACACGCTCCTGAAGAAAGACCTGCAAATTTTTCTAAGAATTTACACACAATTCCAGAGACAATACATTCACGGAAAGATTTGACACACTTCAGAATCTCTAGCTGGGCTGACTGGTGAAAGGATTTCCCAGTGCAAAACCAGTCTGTAAAGACAGAGAGAAGTGGTTATTTTTTTCAAATCCTAGAATCGCAGCACAAAATTAAAAGGTACAAAAGGAAACAGGGGAAAATGGCCCAATAAAAGGAACAAAATAAGTTTCAAATATCAACCCTTCAAAAATGGAGGTATATAAATTATCTGGCAAAGTGACATATCCTGACATATTCTCCAGGATAGATCACATGTTAGGTCACAAAACAAATTTTAACAAATTTAAGACAAAGGAAATCAAGAACCTGTTTTGACCAAAAGTAGGATGAAGCAAAAATTCAATAGTAGAAGGAAAACTGAAACATTTACAAATATATGGAAATTAAACAACATACAATTGAACAACCAATGAGTCAAAGAAGAAATCAAAAAGAATATTAGAAAACAAGCTGACAAAAAAAAAATAAAAAACACAACATAACAAAACTTAGAAATGCAGCAAAGGCAGGACTAAAGAGGGAAATTTATAGCAATAAATGCCTACCTTAAGAAAGAAGAAGGATCTCAAATAAACAACCTAACTTTACAACTCAAGGAACTAAAAAAGGAGAACTAAGCCCAAACCCAGCAAAAGGAAGGAAATAATAAAGATTAATGCAAATAAAGGATATTTTCACACACATATTTTCATTATAACCAGAAAGTAGAACCAATGCAAGTGAATAGATTTTAAAAAACTGTGGTATTACTATACAATGGAATATGGCAATTAAAAAGAAAAAAGACTCAACCAAATAAAATAAAAAATGAAAAAGTAGACATTGCAATTGATACCACAGAAATAAGAAAAGATTATAAGAGACTGCTGTGAATGATTATGGTAGTAACTGGATAACCTAGAAAAAAATCAAATTACTGGAAATATACAACCCACAACACTGAATCAAGAAGAAATAAAAATATGAACAAATCTGTAGCTAGTAAGGTGTTTAAATTAGTAATCAAAAATCTTCCAGCAAAGAAAATCTCAGGCACAGGTGACTTTACTAGAGAATTCTGTCAACATTTAAGGAAGAATTAATGCCAATATTTCTCAAACATTCCTAAAAAATTAAAGAAGAAAGAACAATTCTAAACTCCTGCTGTGAAGCTAGCACAACCCTAATATCAAAGCCAGACAATGGCGCTACAAGAAAAAAAAGTTAAATATTCCTAATGAATGTAGATGCAAAATCCTCAACAAATACCAGCAAATTGAATTCAACAGCACTATAAAGTATCATCCACCATAATTATGATGGATTTATTCCTGGAATGCAAGAAGGGTTCAACATGTGCAAATCAATATAATATGCCACATTAACAAAACAATTAAAATAACATGTTCATCTCTGTAGATGGAGAAAGAGCATTTGACAAAATTCAACATTCTGTCGTTAGAAAAACACTTGAAAAAATAGGAATAGAAGGAAATTATTCCAACAGAATAAAGGCCATATGTAAAAACCCACAGCTCACATCATATTAATGAAGAAAAACTGAAATCTCTTCTTCTAAGATCAGGATCAGGAACAAGGCAAGGATGACTTTATGAAGTACATAAAGTCCTAGCTAAAATAATTAAGCAAGAAAAAGATATAAAAGGCATCCAAATTGGAAAGGAAGAAGTAAAATTTTCTCTATTCACAGAAAACATCATCTTATATATAAAAAAACCCCTAAAGATTCAACAAAAAGCTCTTAGAACTAATAAAATGAATTCAACAAAGTTGCAGGATTCAAAGTAAAGATTCAAAAAAACACAAAGAGCAAACATTCTGAAAAGGAAATTAAGAAAACAATCCATTTGCCATGGCATCAAAATGAATAAAATACTTAGGAATAAACTTAGCTGGTGGGGGAAAGACTTGTACACTGAATACTGCAAAATATTGCTGAAAGAAATTAAGGAAGACACAAGTAAATGGAAAGCCATCTAATTTTCATGAATTGAAAGAATATTTACAAATTCTAATACTAGCCAAAGCAATTTACAGATTTGATGTAATCCCTATAAAAATTCCAATGCTAATTTTAGAGAAATAGAAAGGACAATTTTAAAATCCATATGGAACCACAACGGACCCTGAATATCCAAAACAATCATAAGAAAGAAAAACAAAGTTAGAGGCCTCACATTTTCTGACTTTGAAATATACTACAAAGCTACAGCAATCCCAATAGTGTGATATTAATGTAAAACTAATCATATAGATGAATGGAAGATAATGGATTAGTGGAACAGAATAGAAAGCCCATTGGAAGGCCAAGGCGGGGGGATGATTTAAGATCAGGAGTTCAAGACCAGCCTGGCTAACATGGTGAAACCCCGTCTCTATGGAAAAATACAAAAATTAGCTGGGCATGGTTATGGGCACCTGTAATTCCAGCTACTCGGGAGGCTGAGGTAGGAGAATCACTTGAACCCAGGAGGAAGAGGTTGCAGTGAGCCAAGATCACAACACTGCACTCCCACCTGGGTTACAGAGCAAGACTCCATCTCAAAAAAGAAAGAAAGAAAGAAAGCCCAGAAATAAACCCACTTGCATATAGTCAAATGATCTTTGACGAGGGTGCCAAAACTTTACAATGCAGAAAGGATAATTTCTTCAACAAATATTGTTGGGAAAACTGGATATCCATATGCAAAAGAATGAAAGTGAACCCTTATCTTACACTGTTCACAAATGTTAACTCCAAATGGATTGAACACTTAAATGTAAGAACTAAAGCTGTAAAGCTCCTACAAGAAAACATAAAGAAAGGCTTTATCACTTTGGTCGTGGCAATAATTCCTTGGATTTGACACCAAAAGCACAGGCAACCAAAGCAAAAATAGGTTAGGGTGATTACATCAAGATAAAATGCTTCTGTGCAAAAAAGGAAACAATGGAGTGAACAGGCAGCCTACAGAATTGGAGAAAATATTTGAAAACTGTATATGTGCTAAGGGCTTAATATCCAAAATATATAAGAAACACCTATAACTCAAAAGCAAATAAACACATAACCCAATTTAAAAATGGCTAAATTCTTAAATAGATATTTTTCAGGAAGACATGCAAATGACCAACAGGGATATAAAAAGATACTCAACATCATTAATCATCAGGGAAATGCTAATTAAAATCACAAAAGGATTTATCACCTCATAACTGTATGACCATTTTTTAAAAAAGGAAAATAGCAAGTGTTGATGAAGATGTGGAGAAATTGAATTAGAACCCTATGTACTGTCAGTAGGAATGTAAAATGGTAGAGCCACTATGGAAAACAGTATGGAGGGCCCTCAAAACATTAAAAAAATAGACCTACCATATGATACAGCAATCCCACTTGTGGGCATTTTTCCAAAATAATTGAATAATTCCAAAATAATTGAAAACAAGATCTTGAAGTGATATTTGCATTCCCATATTCATTATAGAATTACTCACAACAGCCAAAAAGTAGAAACAATCTAAAAGTCCATCATCAAATGAACAGATGAAGAAAATATGGTATATATATATATATATATATATATATATATATATATATATATATGTATACGTATGATATATATACATGTATGATATATATAGTATGGTATATATATATGTATGGTATATATATATATGTGTGTGTATATATATATATATATATATACACACACACACACAATGGAATATTATTCAGCCTTGAAAAGGGAAATTCTGTCATATTTCAACATGTGTCAATCTTAAGGATATTGTGCTAAGTGAAATAAGCCAGACACAAAGACACATATATCGTGATTCCATTTATACGAGGTATTGAAAGTAGCCAAACACATGGAAACAGAAGATAAAATGGTAGTTGTCAGGGCCTGGAGGAAACAGGAAATCTGGAGTTGCTGTTCACCAGGTGTGGAGTTTCAGTCAAGCAAGATAAAAACATTCTAGATTTCTGCTGTACAACAACGTGTATATCATTAACAAAATGTTCTGCAAACTTAAAATTTTGTTAAGATGGTAGATTTTTTTGTTATGTGTTCTTTAATTACAAAAATTTCTGTCTGTATTTAGTTTACATTTTAGTAAGGAAAGACAAATAAGCTAATAAGTGGTAATGATAAATGCTGTAAGGATATCTAGAGCAATAAAAGAAGTTATGGATATGGGAGTATAATTTTAGATAGTGAAGATTTCTGTATTCAAATGCCACATGGAAAAAGGACTAAGGGGAATGAGGAGATGAGTCATATGGAATGCCCAATACATAGAAGAAGGCAGGCAGAGAAAATAACAAGGATAAAGACACTGAAGTAAAATCATGCTTTCTATATTTCAAAACAGCAGCAAGGACACTGGTGTGACAGAGAAGGAGTGATCAATGGGAGGTTGCAGATTTTGTCAGAGATATTGTCAAGGCTCAGGATCATACAGGGACTTGTAAACCTGGAAAGCACTTTGAATTTTATTCAGAATGAGATGAGAAGCCATTGAAAAGTTTTTAAGCAGATAAGTAAAATAATCTACCTTGTATTTTAAGAGGAGCATTCTACTTTCTCTGTGGGATAGAGAGGTGGAAGGGCAAAGCTTGAAGCAGAGAGAGCAGTGAAGAGTGTACTGTATATTCTTATGTGAGAAATAGTGGAGGGAATGAGAGGTGGTCAGCCTTAAACTGCCATTTGCTCTCTGTATCAGGGCTCAGGGACTTTCAGACTCTCCAGGGATTCCTGACGGTTTTTACATTCGTTTCTCAGTTGCAAACATAATTTCTTCACTCTATGAGAACTCTAGATCTGAATCCTTGTTATGAGTCAGGAGTCCACTCTAGTTTACTCTGTTGTCAGTAACTAGACTTGAAATGTTTTGATATTAATTGATGTAGTAATACGATTGGTTAGAGAAATAGCAAAGAGCGAGCGTCCCCATCCTATGACCATATCAGCACCAGAAGAGAAAAACACATCTACACAGTTTTTCCCTTGGCATAGGCCCTGGTATTCTGTTAGGGAACAGGTTATAAAGGAAATACAAAGGGTCTTTGTACTTACTTTCAGAATGTATTTTCTTTAACATGAAAAGAATCCAAGGCCTTATTGCTTCTAATTGCTTTTTGTATATCTACTACCATCCCTTGCTAAATTATTGATACTTTTCCTCAAATCTCGGCATGATGTCCTACATTCCAAATTTTCAATAGCTGAGAATTTCACCTTTTCAGTACCTTCATGTTTATCTTAGTAAAAATTTGAGAAAGACTGTAATAGAGTTATTTAATCAGATTTTTTATCTACCATAATTTTTGAATAAGGAAAAACATCAACACTTTTTCTCCTTATTTGGCAAATAATTTCCATAGAGAGGAAAAAAACAATCAAAACAGGTACAAAATGTAACAAAACCAAAGGACCATGTGAGTTGAAATTTAAAATGAGAAAAATGTCCACATTACTTTGGGCAATGCAACTCCTGGGAAATAGTAACTCAGAACCTGAGAGCTAAATCATTCTATAGGACTAAATATATATTCTGGTACCCAAGGGGAAAATGACATCATAGAGAGGTTAGGTCTATTAAAACATATTTGTAGATGAGTAGGTATAAAAATGCTTTTAGAGATGGGAAGAGAAAAAACTCATTTATTTAACAAGTTCTGTTGGGTGCTTTTAACTAAAAGTGAAACATCACATGTTTATAACACTGAGGATGTAAATTGCAGTACATTTCAAATTACATGAGAAAATAAAGAAAATATCTGTTTCAAGTCACTGAATAATTCATCCTTATTTAGTGTTTGTCCCTAATTTCTGTGATTTTATGAATAATTCAGAGCAATGATTTTACCTTTCTCTACAGCTGTATTTGGCAAAGGTCCACATTATTTTTGTTGCAAAGATGCAGCCAAGTTTCTTAGAATAGGAACAATGTTTAGAATGTATTTTTTCCGTAATGAAAAATATTATGAAAGGGGCAACTAACATATAGCTTACAGGGTTCTCTATTGTGATAACTAAAACAGACTTAGCCTCAAGTAAAATTGACATCTTGCTAACTGTTGGTGGTGAAGGAGAAAGAAGACAACATTGAACCAGACTGGGGAAAGATGAATTCAAATTAGTTAGAGATTTGTCACCCAAAGCAAAACAAATTCAAACTTGAACTGAGTTGACATTGATAGTTATTATGAACTGCAAATCCCTCAAATTCATACGTTGAAATCCTAACTCTCAATGTATTGGCATTAGGAGGTAAACCTTTGGGAGGTAATTAGGTCATGAAGAGGAAACCCTCATCAAAGGAAAGTAGTGCCCTTCTAAGAAGATATACGAGAGAGATTTTTCTCTCCTCCATGTGAGGATAAAATAAGAGAGCCATCTGTAAGTCAGGAAGACAGCCTTCACCAAGAACCCAACCATGCTGACTCCCTGATTTCAGATTTACAGCCTACAGATCTGTGAAAAACAAATGTTTGTTGTTTTAGCCACTCAATCTGTGTTTTCTGTTATAGCAGCCCACATTGACTAAGAAAATACTAAAACCTTTATTTGATAGATGAAGATAGTATCAGACAAGGTATCATATGAGTAAAAACCTAAGATTTATGTGTGATCATTTTACATTGGAGCAGCTACTGAAACTTAAGACCAAAACCACTAGCTAACATCAGTATGTCAACCCAAAACATTTGGGACAGTAATGAAGTTACAGCAAATGAATTGTTTAAATATATAATCCAGGCAAAGTTATCAGCAGAAATATAGGAAAAAAATCCACTAAATTTCGTTTATGAGAAATTCATGATTCATTGTATACCTTGATACTGGGCTTAAAGCAGCAATCCTAATTCCAGATCTACCTTCAAGTCTGGGTCAGTGTTCTCAAATGCTGCCAGTTTCATGTCAGGACCGGCTTAATATTGAAGGTAACTGAGAATTGCTAATGTCTGACTGGAGCTGAAAGAGGCCAAAAGCAGGGTTATAACTTTCAGAAAACTGACCTGGTGTTAACTTCCATCCCTTCCATTTCAAACGGGAAGGTATCGCAATTAGAAACTATTAGCAGTCTTATCTAATAACTTGTGGATAATTCTTTTTTTTTTTCTTTTTTTAAGAGTCAGGGTCTCACTCTGTCACCTAGGCTGGAGTGCAGTGGTGCAATTGTTATGGAATCTTTGGGGTGTCGATTTTCTTGTTGGAAAACTGTGGTTGGTGGCATCTTTGCCCGAGTTCTTGTCCTGCATCCAGGAAGAATGGTGTAGGTAGACAAGTGAAGGGTTAAAGGAGAGGAGATTTATTAAGTGCCAGAACAGCTCAGAGGAGACCCATAGTGGGTAGCTCCTCTCTAGGTTGTTCTGTCAAGTGTTCAGCTCTCAGCAGAAAGGGAAGCCCTGGAGAGGGTTGCTTCCATCTGCAGCTGTTAGTTCCCAGACATCTCTGTAGGTCTCTGAAGCATTCCGCAGAGAAAGTAGCTGGCCCTCCCATTGTCTCCAGCTATCAGCAGAAAGGATAACTCCTTCCTGCCTCTAGTCTTCCCTCCTCTGTCTTCTGCCCTGTTCTGGCTCAGTCCTGGGCTTTTATGGATGTCAGAGGGGAGGAAGTGTATGCCCATTGGTCCATGGGCAGCCATGGGCGGGCCCAGGAAAAAGCACCATGAGTTTTGCCTCCAATCTGCAGGACTGGCAGCCTAGCCTGCAGGTGGGGCTTCACTGGGGACCCATTCCCTTCCACCCAGGAGCCTGTCTGCCTCCCACAGCCATCCATGGCACCCAGGCTTCTGGCATCAAAGGGCACTTGCAGGCCAGTGCCCAGCCACCCTCGGACCCCCTCAGCTTCCCCTCCCATGTTCCTGCTCCTCGGTGTCCAAAGTCCAGAGGGGGCTGAGGTGGCAGGGGACTGGCATGTCAGCACTGCTTCCAATGTGTGCACACCTGGCTGGGCTGTGACAGCACCCTGCTGGGTCCCAAACCCACTCTGAGATCAGAGCACAGAGCCAGGAGGTGGGAGAGACCAGGCAGCAGGAGGAGGAGCCTCCAAGCCTGCAAGGGGCAAGGGGGTCATTCCCAGCCTCCCCAAGAGTGCAGGGTTGCCTGAGTCTGCAGCATTGGTTTGGTTGGCTGGGTGGTGGGCTGGGGTGGGGACAGAGTAGGGGAGTTGGATAAACTCCTGTCTGCTCCATGGAGTGGGAGGTCCAGCTCTACAGCTACAGCTGCAGTTTGGGCAGCTGCAGCAGCACCCAGGGAGCTCCCATTCCAACTCAGAAAGGGCAGGGCTCCCACTTGTCCCCATCCTGCCAACTCCAGGGAGCATACAACCCCGGCCACACCTCTCCCCTGCAGCTGGCGTGTTGGCAGCAGCCGCTGCCATCACAATCATAGCTTACTGTAGCCTCAAACTCCTGGTCCCAAGTGATCTTTTTACCACAGTCTCCCCAATAGCTGGGGCCACAGGCATGTGCCACAATGCCCATCTAATTGTTTTTTATTTTTTGTAGAGAAGGTGGTCTGGCTATATTGCCCAGGTTAATCTCTAATTCCTGGACTTAAGCAGTCTTCCTGCCTCATCCTCCTACATGGCTGGGATTACAGGCATGAGCGACTGTGCCCAGCTCCTGATAAATCCTTTCTTAATCAAAGTCTTCATCAGCAGCCTTACTTACCACAGTCTTCCCAGATGATCTCAGGTATCCAAATAAATTAAAAGTAGCTACTGCTGACAAAACTGTTGGGTTCTCTGATATTGTGCAAGAATAAAATTATGCTAGGTCTTCCGTTAGCTAGCTCTTCTTCTGTAACAGTCTCTTTCTATGTATTAATCAAAACTGATGCAACTTTTTAAAGAACTATTCCTAGAAACTTTCTTCCTTCCCAGTCAGATTTAATGTATTATTTATCCATTTAAAGGACTATATAAGTAGGACATGGTTTGGGTATATAACAGCACTTACGGCCATTTACTTTGTGGTTCAGTGATTTCTGTGTGCTTCTGACTTGTATATACTTTCAGCCCTTGTAGATGTAGTGGTGGTAGTTTTCCCAACTTAAATTTATCTTTATCATCCACCTTTATCCACAGTCCTCCTCATGATTAGCACATTGTCAATAAATATTTACTAAGCTGAACTGAAAGTTTTTATTATGCATAAATACTAAGATGTACATGTCCATGGTCATGCAGGACAGCAGAAGTCCTATTTTTTTTTACAAGTGTATCTATTGCTAACAATTGCTTCAAGGTCAGGAGCCAACTCATGTATTAGACATGTAAATCTTGTGAAAATATTCATATTGGAAACAGCATGTAGCAAGTGCAAACAGAAGTAAATATATCCTTAAATTTATCACAGTCCCTTCAAAGTATGAATTCTTCTTCTAGCATTACATCAAATTTGATAAAATCCAAAAATATTTTATCTCAATGTTTCAAAAGTGTTGACGCTGTATACATTGAGTTGTTGTACAATTGAATGGAACCCACATTCAAAGTTTTTCCTCAATGTTAAAATTAGATGGTTCTCTCTGTGATTCTTTCTGTTTGCAGTTCTTCTCATTTCATTGTTAGAATTTGCCTCTACTAATGTAATTCATTTGACGTTGCAGACATTCTGATCTTTTCAAATGTGTATTTTGACAGGTGCCTCAAACATTCATCCTTTGTTTGTGCTGTGGGCTGAAAGTTTAAATCTCTCCAAATTTCATGTATTGAAATCTAATTCCCAATATGTTGGTGTTAAGATGTGAGGCCAGGCTGGACACAGTGGCTCACACCTGTAATCCCAGCACTTTAGGAGGCCAAAGTGGACAGATCATGAGGTCAGGAGTTCAAGACCAGCCTGGCCAACATGGTAAAACACCATCTCTACTAAAAATACAAAAATTAACCAGGTGTGGTGGCACATGACTGTAATCCCAGCTACTCAGGAGGCTGAGGCAGGAGAATTGCTTGAAGCTGGGAAGCAGAAGTTGCAGTGAGCTGAGATTGTGCCACTGCACTCCAGCCTGGGCAACACAGCAAGACTCCATCTCAAAAAATAAATAAATAAATAAATAAATAAATAAATAAATAAATAAATAAAGAGGGGAGGTCTTTGGGATGTGAGTAGGTTAAGGGGGTTGGGGAGCCATCATGAATGGCTTAGTCCCCTTATAAAAGAACCCATAGGGAGCTACTTTGCCCCTTTTGCCCTTATGCCATGTGAAGATGTAGCAGTAAGTTTGAGAAACAAACCTCACCAGGTAACAACTCTGCAGGCACCTAGATCTTGGACTTCCCAACGCCCAGAACTGAGAATAATAAATTTGGTTTATAAGTTACCCAGTCTAAGGTAATTTATTACAGCAGTCCAAATGGACTCAAACAGGTTGTAAACAGTTGAAAAATGAGTATCTGTATTGAATCGCATATTTTAGCCAAAGTTTGCTTGTAGGAATACAGCCTATGACCAAAGAATTAATAGCTGACTCTCATTTGAATGGCCAAGATTTGCTCTCTATTTCCAGTATTTTATTTTTTTGCCTGTATGTTGGATATAGGCAAATTTTTACACAACAAACCAGAAAAGTTCAATAGTCTTTCATTCTCTGCTTTCACTAACTTCTTTTAAGTATATTTCAACAATTATCTTAATAATGTCACCAGTATATTAAGCATACCATTATAAACACTCTATTTCTATTTATTCAAAACTTGAATTGAGCTAGTCGCTAATAACATTTTTTAATTAGCATTGCAACCATATTCACCTACCATATTTTTCCCTCTCCTTTGATTTCTGGGTCATTACTCACTTTCACAATTTGTGTGTGACTCACCATTCTATACCCACTTTTGCCTTACCGTAAAATATTTTTCGATTTAATACATTTACATTTTTTCTCCTTTTGCTTTTAGAATTGTATTACTATCATGGAGAGTTTTCTTTTCCTTTTTCAAGAGTTTCTCAAAATTCTTGACTAAAGCCCTATCCCCTGAAGTGAGTAATATTCTTCACTATATTACCGCATCACATGTTTACATCTGGCTAAAGTAAGAAACACTACTCGTGTTCTGTAGCTAATTGATAATTGTTAAAATAAACTTAACAATTGATAACAAATTATAGAAAATGATTATTTTAAGGTTCTTTATACTTGTAATATTTGTAAATAATATGAGTTATCACCTCTTTCTGTAGCTAATTGTATGGGGAGCACATGCAGTTAGTAGCATGTTTCTTAACACATTTCTCATATCAAGAATAACAAATACAATGCAGTGGGGAGTGGAGAAAAGAAATTAAATGTGGCTACATCTGTAAGTAACAATTGCAGCCACTTTGTCAAGGGTAAAACAATCGTCCATGAGCTATACAGATTTTGTCACCAGAATAACTGAATCAAGAGGTTCCAACTCATTAATTTGTTTCATTCCCATATACCTGAACATCTGGGACATGAAGAAATAGTGTGTATGTGTTAATAGGCAAAGCTGTAGTAATGACTTCTACCTACTAGAAGCAGTTATCTATTTTCCTGTTACTATCTAATTTTTACACAAAAATACTTGAGATGAATATTGACAGAAACTCAGAAAGAAGTATGGCATAAATTAATATGAAGGTAATGTAGTAATGGCAGAAATTTACAGCTTAAAAGTTTTTACAGTGGGAAGATTATTGTAATAGTGAGAGCCATGTATAAGTTTGTTTTGAAATGATAATGTACAGCTAAAGAGTACAATGCTCAAATTTTTGTATATGTAGTTTTTGTAATTCAACAAGTAGGGTTAAGAGACACTAAGAATTATACAGAATGTTGGATTTTATTTCACGTCTGTTCCTCTTGTGAGACATTGCCATCTTTCCCATGTTTCATCAGGTGTTCAGTAAGTTAACAACATTCACTCTGTGAAAAGTACCACATGATTTATTGTATAAATATAGTTGGAAATACACTGTGGTTCCTCATATCCTCAAGCTTATAATTCAGTTTGGAGACTACACTATATAAATGTAGAAATGCCATAATTATGCTTATAAATTGACTTTTTAAAACATGCAAATTAATATGGTAGAAACTGAATACATAAGTATGGGGGTGCCATATAAAATAATGATCAATGCCAGTGGGATTAATCAAGGAAAGTTTCTTGGGGAAGTGAATTCTAAACAGAATTTGGTATATTTGTTTGTTTAGCACTCATTTTATGTTTTCTGATTATAAATACAATGTATTCTCATATTCTCAAGGTAATAAATTTGCAAATTTTAAATTAGTAGGAAGAGTAAAAGGAACTAAGATCCCACTGTCCAAAGGTAATCATTATTCAGGTTCTGCTCTTTTCCTTCCATTTGATTCTCTGATATTTTCTTCATGGTTGCCATTATATCACATATTCAATATTATAACCCACTTTGTGTTTCAGTCAGTGTCTATACATACAACTTTGAATGATACAAATGTCTCATAGAAACTAAGTTTAATCAAATCAAGAAACTAAGTTTAATGCCAGTCTATATCAATGTACCGTTTCCTTCTAGCTAAATATTTAGGCTTTTCCAAATTTTGTTAACATAAATAACTCCAAAGATATTTTTGTTAACATTTTCTCTTAGTGTTATTTTCCTAAGGTAGACTTTAACAATTTACTATAATAAATTATAGAAAATGATCATTTTAAGGTTCCTTTTACTTGTAATATTTGTAAATAATATGTTATCACCTCTTTCAAATTAATTATTTCTGCTTGATATTTTATTGCATTGATCAGAATTCCCAGAATTGTAATATAATGCTAATTATTAAATCTTACATTCCTTCTCATGTTAATAGTTATTATTTTGTAAATATGATGCTATTAGCAAATTTTAGATTGACATCCTTAATATATTAGTTAGATGTTAGTAATTCTACTTTTCCTTATAACTGTATTTTTCTTTTTAATCAGAAATCAATCTTGAGTTTTGTTCAATAATTTTATGATATTTATTCTGATTTTCATATTACTTCCTATTAACATATTGGTAAGTTTTTCTAAGATTTTCCATGTTTATCTGAAAGAAGTTCTGTAATTTTCTTCACTGTTGCCATTATCAGATTATATATCCGATTTACAAAAGTTTTGTTAAAAATTTGGATCCCCCCATTTTTGTATGTCATTGAACATTTTGTTGACGTTTCACATTTCTTGATTATTGAAGGAAATCTGTAAGTCCATTGCTTGCAAAAGTTTTTTTGGAGAAAAGTTACTCTTTTTTAGTATATACTACTTTGTTATTGCTATGTTCACCTATTAAAGTTAAATTATCTACTTTATTAAGACTTAAAATATTAATATATCATAGTATCAACTTTAAATATCTTCACGTCTGTTGTCATATGCTTTATTTCTAATTTTTAAATGTGTACTTTATCTTGATTAAATTTTATTGAAACATCTATTTTCTTATTGTTTCTTTTTTAAACAATCCAGTCAGGATTTTGCAATTATATTTTTTATGATTTATGATTTTATTGTTATTGTTACCCTCATATATCTTGCTTTTTAAAATAAATTTGTATAACTTCTTAAATTTGATGCTGTTTATTTTCTTTTTTTTAAGTAGACCTTTACCTATTCTTTCTTCACCCACTTACGTTTGAGTCACCTGCAATGTGTCAGCTTCTACTTTCCCTGATCTTCCTTGTTGCTTTCCCTTATTTCTTCCTATAATCCAGGTATGATGATCTTCCAATTGGCTCTCATGGCACCCTACACTTCTGTTATCACAGCACATGCTATTCCATTGTGCAAATGGATGGGCAACTAAGAGCACTTTCAGGACTTTATCATAATGTTTCAAAGTCATATTTTTTTTTAAGAGACAGGGTTGTGTTCTATCACCTAGCCTGGGGGAGTACAGTGGTGTAATCATGGTTCCCTACAGCCTTGAACTCCTGGATTCAAACAATCCTCCCACCTCAGCCTCTAGAACAGCTTGGACTAAAAGGGTGTACAGCCACACCCAGCTAATTTTTTGCTTTTCATTTTTGTAGAGATGGGGTCTCACTCTGTTAACCAGGCTGGTCTTGACCTCCTGGCCTCAAGTGATCTTCCCACCTTAGCCTCCCAAAGTACTGAAATTATAGGCATGAGCCACCACAACTGATCTGAAAATTCTTAAATCCACTCATGGGCTATCTTCTAACTGTTCCCTTCCTCTATTTATGTCTCCAGTAAATTTCAACTCGTTCTTCAAATCTGGCTTCTGAGTGACCTTTTCAGAGATTCTCCAATGTATTCAAGTAAATAAAATAACTGACTTCTATGTTTTTTCATTTTATTTTATGATTAAATATCAAAATATTGAAATAAGCAATATGTCCTAAGTAGGTTTTCTTTCTATTTCAAGTTCTAGATTTTGAGGCCTTTAAAGATAGAAACAACGGAATCAGGTCCTTGAACACAGGAGTTAATCAGTAAGCACTTGTTGAATAAACAATAACAGGACATCTTTCCAATTTCCTAAAACTCATCAAAGAATTCTTACTCATTCTAATCCATCTTCCTTTATGATGAGACCAAACCACTCACTGTGGTCAACGGCATTAAAAAATAAAAAGTGGGGAATTTCCAGAGGTTAAAAAATGTGGACAAAACTATTTGAAATATTCATGTACTTATGAACTGATTCATTAAAAAATTTTCACTATTAATATTTGTTAAATGCCTACACATCATTAGGGACCATAAGTATAACAGGGAACAAAACAGAAAAATTTTCTGGCCACATGAAATCTATATTCTAGAGGACAGAAGAAATGGTCTGATAAGAATCAGGAAAGAACAAGATACGTCCAGATTAAATCATAACCTTTTTGCAGAATAAGAGTGAAATCACTGTAAGCTATGTTGATATTTGACCAGGCTACTTGAACACTTTTAGATAAGTGCTTTAAAGCTATTGGTGGCTTTTGAACAAGGAACTACTGTGGTCATTGAATTTCATGAAAGAGTGCAATAGAAGTGGAAAATGTACATATAAATATTCTCAGGCCACAATGTGCCATATCATGGAAACTTTGCAATTTTCCAGATGACAGAGAATAGAAATATGAGACATGACAATGGAAATGATAGTGAAAGGATGAATGTTAAATACACTGCAGAGGAGTAAGAACTGGCAAGAATTGACAAATGATGAGTTAAGCAAGGAAAATGAAAAAATGAGGAGTCAGGTGAGTAAGAAGGGAGGCGGAATAAAATCATGCATCGCTTAATAACAGAGATACTTTCTGAAAAATGCGTTGTTAGGCAATTTCATTTTCCTGCAAACATCATAGAGTGTACTTACACTAACCTAAATTGCAGCCCACTACTGCACAACTAGGCAATATGGTATAGCCTATTGCTCCTAGGCTTCAAAACTTTATAGCATGTTACTTTACTCAATACTGTAGGCAATTGTAACACAATGGTAGATATTTGTGTTTCTAAACAAGCAACAACATAGAAAAGGTACAGTAAAATACAATAAGATAGTCTTATGGGTCTACCATCTTATATACAAGTCTGTCCTTGACCAAACATTGTTATGGGGCGCATGACTGTAATATGGTATCATGTTGAGCAGAAACTCTCAACCTTCCCTGTTGAGGTACACTGATAAAAACTATAATAAGAAATGTATTACTGATTGCAAAATCTCATAATTATGAGCAATTTGTTCTTTCATAAATTTAAGAGAATTTCTCCAGAATAACAACACTCACTTTCATTGCTGTATGCTTGTCTTTAAAAGTAGAAGGAAAAGTTGATGAAAGTATGGCTAAAGTTGGAACTTCTCTCTCTTCTACCCTGGCTGCAGCATTAGTGAATAAGTATAATTTTTATGACTGTAACAATGAAATATTTCTCTTTCTGGACTTTATTTTCCAGAAAGAGAATCTTTGGAGGAAAAGCTGATCTGTGAGGCAGTAAAGGAAAAGTGTTAATGTTAATGCCATATGAACCTTTAGAAGAAAGTCATTTTTTGATGGAAGCTTGCTTGTATCAATACATGCATGCATGGAAACAAATACTCTCTTCTTCCCCATGTCTTTTGTATGCTATCCTATTCCACTAGTCCTGAATTAGTACTTATGCTCTGCAGCGAACTCTCTCAAGTTCGTCTTTCTGAAGTCCGAATCTCTCTCTTGAATGTTTCTGGCCTTAGTACCTACCCTGTAAACGGACTAAACCTGATCCATTTACAGACTAGATAGTTTTATCCAAAAGATAATTCATGGAATTTCCCTAATAAATGTGTATTAATTTATATTACTTTAACAATTGATTTTCATTGATCCTGATGAGGATTGGCTATTAGTTGATTACTATGTGTATTTTGTAAAGATATACATGGCTGTCAGAAAAGAAGCTATTTTATGCCATAAAATATTATGAGACCATTTTTTAAAAATAAGACTATGTTTTTCCTGAAACAAGCTATTTCTACAAACATATGCTTTCATGAAATTTTATTTCTCATGTTACCTTTATGATTACCTTGTTGTATGCTGACTATATTAATAAAGTTAGAGATTCTATGAAGTTTTAAGAGATTTTCTCTCTTTTGTTTTTTTTTTTTCTTTAAGTTCTGGGACAGAACATGTACAGAACATGCAGGTTTGTTACGTAGGTACACATTTGCCGTGGTGGTTTGCTGCTCCTATCAACCTATGATCTAGGTTTTAAGCTGCACATGCATTAGGTATTTATTCTAATGCTCTCCCTCCTCTTGCTCCACACCCCACAACAGGCCCTGGTGTGTGATCTTCCCCTCCATGTGTCTATGTGTTCTCATTGTTCAACTCCCATTTATGAATGAGAAAATGCAGTGTTTGGTTTTCTGTTCCTGTGTTAGTTTGCTGAGAATGGTGGCTTCCAACTTCATCCATGTCCCTGCAAAAGACGTGAACTCATTCTTTTTATGGTTGCATAGTATTCCATGGTGTATACATGCCACATTTTCTTTATCCAGTCTATCATTGATGGGCATTTGGATTGGTTCCAAGTATTTGCTATTGTAAATAGTGCTGCACTAAACATATGCGTGCATGTGTCTTTATAGGAAGAATGACTTATAATCTATTGGGTATATACCCTGTAATGAGATGGCTGGGTCAAATAGTATTTCTGGCTCTAGATCATTGAGGAATTGCCACACTGTCTTCCACAATGGTGGAACTAATTTACACTCTCACCAACATGTAAAAGCATTCCTATTTCTCCACAGCCTTGCCAGAATCTGTTGTTTCCTGACATTTTAATAATCATCATTCTAACTGGCATGAGATGGTATCTCACTGTGGTTTTGATTTGTATTTCTCTAATGACCAGTGATGATGAGCGTTTTTTCATATGTTTATTGGCTGCATAAATGCCCTTTTCTTTTTTTTGAGTCAGATTTTCGCTCTTGTTGCCCAAGCTGGAGTAGTTAACAGCACGATCTCGGCTCACTGCAACCTCCGCCTCCTGGGTTCAAGTGATTCTCCTGCCTCAGCCTCCCAAGTAGCTGGGATTACAGGCATACATCACCATGCCCAGCTAATTTTTTGTAGTTTTAGTTGAAACGGTGTTTCACCATGTTAACCAGGCTGGTCTTGAACTCTTGACCTCGGGTAATCCACCCACCCCGGCCTCCCAAAGTGCTGGGATTACAGGTGTGAGTCACCATGCCCAGCCCTCAATGTCTTCTTTTGAGAAGTGTCTGCTTATATCCTTCACCCACTTTTTGATAGGGTTGTTTTTTTCTTGTAAATTTGTTTAATTTCCTTGTAGATTCTGGATATTAGACCTTTGTCCAGTGGGTAGATCACAAAAATGTTCTCCCATTCTTTAGGTTGCCAGTTCACACTGATGATAGTTTCTTTTGCTGTGCAGAAGCTTTTTAGTTTAATTAGATTCCATTTGTCAATTTTGGCTTTTGTTGCAATTGCTTTTGGTGTTTTAGTCATGAAGTCTGCTCATCCCTACGTCCTGAATGGTATTGGCTAGGCTTTCTTCTAGGGTTTTTGTGGTTTTAAGTTTTTAGTCTGTCTCGAGTTAATTTTTGTATGAGGTTTAAGGAAGGGGCCCAGTTTCTGTTTTCTGCATATGGCTAGCCAGTTTTATCAGCACCATTTATGAAATAGGGAATCCTTTCCCTGTTGCTTGTTTTTATCAGGTTTGTCGAAGACCAGATGGTTGTAGATGTGTGGTATTATTTTTGAGGTCTCTGTTCTGTTCCATTGGTCTATATATTTGTTAGGGACCAAAACCATGCTGTTTTGGTTACCATAGCCTTGTAGTATGGTTTGAAGTCATGTAGCGTGATGCCTCCAACTTTGTTCTTTTTGCTTAGGATTATCTTGGCTACATGGACCCTTTTTTGGTTCCATATGGAATTTAAAGTGGTTTTTTTTCTAATTCTGTGAAGAAAGTCAATAGTAGCTTGATAGGAATAGCATTGAATCTATAAATTACATTGAGCAGTATGGCCATTTTCATTATATTGATTCTTCCTATCCATGAGTATGGACTTTTTTTTTTTCCATTTGTTTCTGTCCTGTGTTATTTTCTTGAGCAGTGGTTTGTAGTTCTCCTTGAAGAGGTCCTTCATGTCCCTTGTAAGATCTATTCCTTGGTAGTTTATTCTTTGTAGCAATTGTGAATGGGAAATGACTCATTATTTGGCTCTCTTCTTGGCTATTATTGGTGTACATGAATACTTGTGATTTTTTCACATAGATTTTGCATCCTGATACTTTGCTGACATTGCAGCTTAAAGAGTTTTGGGGCTGAGACAATGGGGTTTTCTACATATGCAGTCATGTCATCTGCAAACAGAGGCAGTTTGACTTCCCCTCTTCCTATTGGATACCTTTTATTTCTTTCTCTTGCATGATTGCCCTGGCTAGAACTTCCAATCCTATGCTGAATAGGAGTCGTGAGAGAGGGCATCCTTGTCTTGTGCCAGTTTTCAAAGGGAATGCTTCCGCTTTTGCAATAAGTGTTTATTGTGTTGAAGTTTTGTGAAAATAGTAGATTAGGTTTTTCTACCAGTTGGGTACCTTAAAAAATCCTTTAGTACTCAGTTTTTAAGTTTTAAGTAAAAAAGATCACAAGTGACTAATTAAAATAATAATGAGAGTACTGTAAGTATTCCAAAATAGTTGTTGCTAGTGGTGATATTTAGGGTGTATATTTGGTTCGGATTTTGTGCATATGTATTTCTAAGTTACCTACAGTGAATACATTTGTGGACATCAAACACTCTATGTTTCTTTTTTTGTGATAGCTTGTGCCTGACCTAATTCTACATTAGCGAACAGATTGAAGAAGTGAGGAGACATCAGATAGATGTAGACACTTCACCAAGGAGTCCCCCTGCAGTGCCACAGGGGCAGTAGGCTCACTTATTCCATATCCTTGGCATTTGCAGGGATAGACATACACAGGGAGGCACGGGGAGCTCCTGAGGAGCAAGGGCAGATGGTCAATGATGGGAAAAAGTTGCAGTGCCATAGACCATCTTTCTTTTAATGGAAACTCAGGGATGGATGGTCTGGCCATAAACTATTAATAGTACCTCTGGGAAATAATAATACTCAATACAGGGCCCATCAAAACTGTTTCTCAAATTTAAAAGAGCCACAGGGTTGCAGAACAGGGACTTAGAAATAGTAGAGACAATTATATTTAAAATGGATGGTCACAAAACCATGATTCTGGGTTAGTATGGTTTGCCTCCTCAGTAATAAGACAAGCAATCTTAACAGTAAAAGTACTTTGAGTCTGGCATTTTACACATAGAAATGTGAATCCATTTTTACATTTAAAAAATGCAAATCAATAGAAAATATGTGGTTTTATACATAGGATTTTTGTTTAAGGACTATATTTTAGTGCACAGTCTTCTACTTAACAAAATATATCTGCATTCAAAATAAATTATTTGCTATGAAGCAGAGAGTGAAATTTATCAGGATCTTAATATTATAAGTTAAATTTTATATTTTGAGGTTATTAACCTGGTTTGGATTTTGTACATTTACACAACACCTTACAGAAGAGGTTTTCAAACCACATTCCACAGAATGTCCCTTTTTAAGGCTAAGTAATATTCCACTGTATATCTGTACCACATTTTGTTTATCCATTCTTCTGTCAATGAATGCTTCCACCTTTTGGCTATCATGAATAAAATTGCTATGCACCTGAATTTGCAAATATCTGTTGAAGTCCCTGCTTTCAATTTTTGTGGGTTTAAACCCAGAAGTGGACTTGGTGACTGATATAGTAATTCTATGTTTCATTTTTATTTATTTATTTATTTATTTATTTATTTATTTATTTATTTATTTATTTTTGAGATGGAGTCTGACTCTCTTGGATCACTGCAACTTCCACCTCCAAGATTCAAGTGATTCTGCTGTCTCAGCCTCCTGAGTAGCTGGGATTACAGGCACTCAGCACCACGCCCAGTTAATTTTTGTATTTTTAGTTGAGACAGGTTTTCACCATGTTGGTCAGGCTGGTCTTGAACTCCTGACTTAGTAATCTGGCCACCTCGGTGCCCTAAAGTGCTGGGATAACAGGCATGAGCCACTGAGTCCAGCCTATGTTCCATTTATTTTTAATTTTGGAAGCACTGTACTCTTTTCCACCATGACTATACCACTGTAGAGTCCACTGCCAATGTACAAGAGTTTCGATTTGGCTACATCCTCACCAACACTTGTTATTCCCTGCTTTTTTGATGATTGCCATCTTAATGTGTATGAAGTGCTATCTTACTATGGTTTTGATGTGCATTTCCTTAGTAATCAGTGATGTTGAGCATCTTTCATGTGCTTGATGGCCACTTGTATATCTTTTTTGGGAAATTTTCTATGTAAGTCCTTTGCCTACTTTTTAATAGGGTTGTTTATTTATTGTTGTGTTGCAGGAATTCTTTATATATTCTGCATATTGATCCCTTATCAAATATATTATTTGAAATATTTTCTTCCATTCTGCCAGTTGTTCTCTGATTGTACAAAAGTTTTAAATTTTGGTGAAGTCCAATTTACTTGTTTTTTTCCCTTGTTACTTATGCTTTTGGTGTCAGAAAGCTTTTAGTTTATAATTTTAACTATATCATGTCTCCTGCCTCATATGTACCACTGGACAAGATATCTTTTATGTGCTCTGCTTCTGTCAGAGGTAAATGTATTTTGAAGTGGAGAACGAAGATAATTGCAAAATTGGCCTGGAGAACTAAGGTAATTATGAAAGTTCTAGATACAAGGAAAGAGGGCTTAATATGCCAGCAGTTCTCTACCAATCCATCCTAGCGGTCTTCTTTTAGGATTGCCTAAATAATGCAGGGGATGGGTGCAAGACACACAAGTGTTCCAGAAGCATGTAAACAAGGTACAGAGAAAAGGATAAGATAAAATAAGATGAGCTAAGAATATTAGGAAAGCCCTGTTCAGAAGATTGCCTACAGAGGCAAAAGGGACAGTTTCATTTTGCTGAGGGAAAGAGGGTGGAAAGAAGCCTCGTGGGGAAGATCCGCGCTTACGCTGTTACAGAGAGGTGTAAAATAACATAATGGGAGAGCATTAGGCTGAGATAGCTCCCATGGCCAGGGTTCCTACGTAGACAAAATGAAACAAGCTTAGCCCACCAACAAGTGGACCGCTGAGTATTAGCTGTGTAATGAGAGACCTACCACCAGGATAGTTCCAATAATGCAACTGCCCAAATTTTTGCCAAACAAATAATTTCTCTACTCTACTTCTACATTCACCCTATAAAAGCCTTCCCTACAAATGCCTCCAGTAGATCCTCCAACCACTTTCAGTTTGGAGCTGGCTGATCCATGAATCTCTGTTTGCTTAAACTCTTTAAAATGTTAATATGCTTACGTTTATCTATTTTTTTCTCATTTTTAAAAATTGAGATGGGATCTTCCTATGTTGTCCAGGCTGGTCTTAAACTCCTGAACTCAAGGGATCCTCCTGCCTCAGCCTCCTGAGTAGCTGGAATTATAGACGGGTGCCTCCACACCCAGCTTACATTTATCTTTAAACAAGGGTTTGACCCCTTTCTGAAATGTATTTGTGTTAAGACCTGTACCCTAAGTGATATGGCAGACTCATTTTAGACCATTGGACACTTTTGTCTCTGGACCACAATTTGCCCTTTGTGACCTGCTCTCCTAAGAAATTCAAGTGTAATTCAAGTTAGTTTACCCTCTGCTGATCAGGGGAGATTGCTCTGGGTGCAAACTCAAGACAGGCACTCACACCTTCATTCACACCCCAAATCTCAACATCACACAATACACCCATGTAATAAACCTGCACAGGTACCCTCCAGAATCTAAAATGAAAATTGAAATTCCCTAAAATTTTAATTTCATCTTACTAAAAAACAAAGATAAATTTACTTCTTTCCAATTTTTATATACATTATACTGACATACACACTATATTCTATGGTGAATTATGTTGATTGAATTTCACATTTTAAACTAACACTGAGTTACTTTGAAAAACTCTATTGGGTCATAATATATTATGTTTTTAATATATTTTAATACAATTTGCAAATATTCTGTTTTAAAATTACATCTATGTTCCATAAATAAAGAAATATGTAAAAATAATAAATGTTTATATTATTCAAGTGAAGATTACAGCAATCTTTTTGAATATCTACTTAACCTCAGCTGGCTTTAAATTCAGAAGTAGCAACTCCATAGAAATTCAACTTATTTCTACCTTATTACTCATAGTTGTCTCCTTGAAGAAGCTTCATTGCTATCATCCAGTTTAGACTGGGATGTCACAGATCTCTAGACTGAGTAGTATAATACTCACTGTTCAAATAAAATCAAATTATTATAACGTTATGACACCTCCAAATACAAAAAATGAAGCCCATGGATGTTAGGTTAAGGTATAGAGACAAGTATTCCTACTTACTATCTTTTAGGGCAGACATATCCCAGCTAAGGTGATTGCAAAATGAAATGGAAACCATATTGTGGAAGGGGACTTGAGACTCAGATTGGATTTTCATTCCAACTCTTATATACACAAGCTGCATGACTCTGGGTAAATTGCATATTCTCTTAGAGTTTCAATTTCTTCATCTGTACAATGGAGGTTAATGCCTATGGGTTACGGCTGATGTGGGGATAAAAGAACCAACAGGGATGCACGTGCAGGACCTGGTCCATAAAGCAGCTGGCATCAACCAATGGAAGCCCCCTTCCCATCTTGTCTTTGCATGCACTACAAAATCTGGAATATGTGGGTATAAAAAATACTCTTATAAGAGACAGAATTGGAAACTTTTGCAAAAAGAGATTGGAAAGGTGTCACATCTTGTGGCATGAGGAGTTGTGGGCATACACTTGAATTTTGCGCTGTGAGATACCCACAGAACTTCATAGCTTAAGAGAACAGTTTAGATGTCATCTTATTCATCTACCATAGAACTTCCTCTTCTTTTCCGAGACTTCTAGACAGTAACTTTTACAGCTCTAATAATACAGTTCTCTCCCAATTGTTTGGACTATTCTAATAGATGCCAAGCAGTATTTCACCAGCAGATGCTACTGCAGTTCATATGATGATTTCAAACTGAAAATCCATTTACAGTTATGCAATACATATTTTTTGGAAATAGGGTGAAAGTACTTTAAGATTAAAATTCTATGAAATAGGTTTACAGTAAATAATTATTTGTTGCAATGTCTATCTTACTATCTTATATTCACATGTATCGGTGTCCTAATAAATATATGTGGTGAGTGAAAGTTACTTGAAGGCAGAGACTGTGCCATATGTTCTCTGCACCGCTGATGCCTATATCAGCACGTGATATACAGTAGATGCTCAGTAAATACTTTAACTTAAAAAACGCACTAAGAATAAATCTTAGAAGATATCAAAGTACATATGATTACAATCTAGGGACATGGTCAGGAGCTCAAAATTCAATCTTATTTATTTATTTATTTATTTATTGACAGAGTCTCACTCTGTCGCCCAGGCTGGAGTGCAGTGGCACGATCTCGGCTTACTGCAACCTTCCTCTCCCAGGTTCAAGTGATTCTCTTGCCTCAGCCTCCAGAGTAGCTGGGTTTACAGGTGCACACTAACACGCCCGGCTAATTTTTTTTTATTTTTAATAGACACAGGGTTTCACCAAGTTGGCCAGGCTGGTCTCAAACTCCTGAGCTCAGGCGATCTGCCCACTTTGGTCTCCCAAAATGCTGGGATTATAAGCATCAGCCACCGCGCACGACCACAAAATGTTTTAATGTAGCTTCAAAACCCCTTTGCAAATAGGCGTATTCATAACAAGATGAAAACAAGGAAACATTGAGCTTCATATAACAGAAGGGTTCTGCCTGGATTTGCATGTGGTCCCATCATTTGTTTGCTGTTGGGCCATGGTCAGGTTACTTAGCTGCTCTCTGCCTCCACACAGGCTTTATGCCTGTGCATCCCTCATCTACAAAATGGGAATAATAAGAATATCTAACAGTTAGAAGTGGAGAAAACATATATAAAGGCCTTTGAAAAGATCTTGTCAAAGCTCAATAATTGTCCTCAATAATTGCTCTCAATAATTGTCAGCTATTATTCAATAATAATTATAATCATGAAAATGTATGACTCAAAGAAAAATTCCTACTTCATATCCAGCTTGCCAAAAGAATATCAGACATTGGACCTGTGAAAGGAATGACATTGAGATTTATTTTCACATCGCTAAGTTGGTTTTTTCTTTGCCATTCAATTTCTGCAGTCCCCACTCTAAGTCCATGGTCCACCTTTTTATTTTTCCTTCTAAGATGTCTTCCCTTCTTGTAAGATTTTCTTTGCCTTAAGAAGGGCCCTTTTCATCCACCCACTCTTTTACCCTTCCTAGAAGTTGGTTAATGGGCACAAAAATACAGTTAGATGGAAGGAACAGAAGAAGTTCTAGTGTTCAATAGCACAATAGGGTGATGATCATCAACAACAACTTATTATACATTTCAAAATGGCTAGAGGAAAGATGTGGAATTTTCCTAACACAAATAAATGATAAATATTTGAGGTGATGGATATGCAAATTATCTTGATTTGATCAGTGCACATTGTATACATGTATCAAAATATCACATGTACCCTAGAAATAATTATAATTGTCATGTATCAATAAAAACAAAAAGGGCTTATTTCTCTTTCCTTCCTCCCAGCATTCCCTCCTATCCCAGATATGTGTTGCTCCTGGGGCTCTCCTTCTCCACGTTCAGTCAGCACTGAGCCAGCAGGAAGGATTTCACAGGTCATATCCTGAGATCAACCCTCCACCCCTTCAGGTAATGATCCTCCTGCTCTTAGTCATTTATATCCTTTGCTTCATAGATATTTTGAGTCAAGTGCCTTCTAACCGCTGAGCTACATAATATCCCTTGGTTTTTAAAGATAATACAAAGTGGATTTTAGCAATAATCTTGAGTCTTCACAGAAGCTAATGAAGTTGGGGATTCCATGAAGCCATCCAAGCACATAAAGCCCATTTCCTGGGTCCCTTTTCCCTATCTCAAGGCCACAAAAATCAGAACATGAATTCCAGCCCATATTTGCATTATGTCTAAATAATTATGAATTATAAATGAAGCTAAAAAATAGCTAAATATGTTCTATTCTTCTACTTCAATAACTATACCGCCATAATATCCCACAAGGTCAAAGTCCAGTGTAGAATTCTCTGAGTTCTTGGTGCTCTGCATGGGAATGTGGTAGTAAAGGGAGAGCTTATCCTCAGCCCCAGGCTAAATTTTTTTCTTTCATCATAGCTAGCCCTGTCCTTACTTGAGAAGCCTTGCTTTCTCCTGTGTGGGGGACTCCCTAGGCCCCATGCAAGCTCCATCCACAATTCTCACCCCTTCAGACAGTAGAGCCTTGGGCACCATTTGGACAAGCATAGTTTTCACTTTGAAATAGACCCAGGGAAGAGGCCATGCAGGCTCAGGTACATTTGGCCAGGGGCCTGAGTGCCCAGCGTATGCCCTAGAAGAGAGGGTGAGAGCTCTGGGTGGACCGGGGTACAGTCAGTGGAGGGCCAGAGAGACACCTTCTCAAGCGCGGGATTCAGGGCGGGGGTCCTCTTGCCAAGATCGATGGCTATGATTCCTCCGTGCAATGACGACTGCGTCACGTCTTCTCAGCGCACCTTTCTTTCAGTCTCAGCCACCGTGAGGAGTTCCATGGAAGCACATGCTTCCCTTGTGCTGCCAGCAAACTCAAGCTACACTTTCCGCCCCGGGACATCTCCACTATTGCAGGGTTTTGCCTAAGCACAAATACAGCCCAGAAACACTTGCAGGTTAACAGCCTCAGGGGAAGACCTCAACCAGTGTGGGACAGGTGGGCAAATGCTCGAGGCTCATGTTTCAGGTGGACAGTCCTGGATAACTTTCCAGAACCTCTCGGGAGGTCCCACATAAAAAAAGTCCATGGGAGCAGCCTCAATGGCATTCTATTATTTTGGCTTTTTTTTCTTGCCTGGCTCACTCTTCCCACATCTCACTCTTGCTTCTTGGAATCACTTCCCAAATAAATCATCCACACCCAAGTCTTTACTCCAGCTCTGCTTTCAGGGGTACAGGCACACCTTGGAGATATTGCATGTTTGGTTCTAGGTCACCACAATAAGGCGAATATCACAATAGAGCATGTCACATGAAATTTTTTGCGAGTCACAAGAAATTGTTTGCTTTCTGGCGCATATAAAAGTTATGTTTCCGGGCATGGTGGCTCATGCCTGTAATCCCAGCACATTGGGAGGCTGAGGCGGGTGGATCACCAGAGGTCAGAAGTTCGAGACCAGCCTGGCCAACATGGGGAAACCCTGTGAAAATACAAAAATGGTGGTGAGCGCCTGTATTCATAGCTACTCAAGAGGCTGAGGCAGGAGAATTGTTTCAACCTGGGCAGCGGAGTTTGCGGTGAGACAAGATCACACCACTGTACTCCAACCTGGGCAACAGAGTAAGACTCCATCTCAAAAAAGAAAGTTGTGTTTAAACTACTGTAGTCAATTAAGTGTGCAATAGCATTATGTCTAAAATATAATGTATATACCTTACTTTGAAAATACTTGATTGCCAAAAAATGCTAACCATCATCTGGGCCTTCAGCAAGTCATAATCATTTTGCTGGTGGATGGTCTCGTCTCAGTGTTGATAGCTACTGACTGATCAGGGTGATGGTTGCTGAGGGCTGGAGAAGGTGTGGCAATTTCTTAAAATAACATGACAGGGAAGTTTGCCGGGTTGACTGACTCTTGCTTTCACAAAAGATTTCACTGTAGCATGCTACGCAGTTTCGTAGCATTTTACCCACAGTAGAATTTATATCAAAACTGGAAGCAATCTTCTCAAACCCTGCCACTCCTCTGTCAACTAAGTTTATGGAATATTCTAAGTCCTTTGTCGTTCTTTCCACAATGTTCACGGCATCTTCACCAGGAGTAGATTCCATCCCAAGAAACCACTTTCTTTGCTCATTCATAATAAGCAACTCCTCATCCATTAAGATTGCAGCAATCTGGCCAGGTGTGGTGGCTCATGCCTGTAATCCCAGCACTTTTGTAGGCTGAAATGGGTGGATCATCTGACGTTGGAAGTTCGAGACCAGCCTGAACAATATGGTGAAACTCCTTCTGTACTAAAAATGCAAAATTAGCCGGGTGTTGTGGCACATGCCTACAATACCAGCTACTCGGGAGGCTGAGGCAGGAGAATCGCTTGAACCCAGGAGGTGGAGGTTGCAGTGAGCTGAGATCGCACCATTGCACTCCAGCCTGGGCAACAAGAGCAAAACTCCATCTCGAAAAAAAAAAAAAAAAAAGATTGCAACAATTCACTCACATCTTCACGCTCCACTTTTCATACTAGTCCTCTTGCTATCTTCACCACATCTGTGGTTACTTCCTCTGCTATGGTCTCAAACCCCTCAAAGTCATTTATGGGAGTTAGAATCAACTTCTTCCAAACTCCCATTAATGCTGCTATTTTTACCTCCTCTGGTGAATCATGAATGTTCTTAGTGGCATCTACAATAGTGAATCCATTTATAGAGCACGGGTAGAGTAGATTTAGCATAATTCTTAAGAGGTTCCCTAGGATTTATGGAATGGCAAATGAGCATTGGCTTGTAATAAGAGAGTCAGTCTGTCCTTTAAATCATTTTTTTTTTTCTTGAGATAAGGTCTCACTCTGTTGCCCAGGCTGGATTGCAGTGGCATGATCTTGGCCCACTTCAGACTTGACCTCCTTGACTCAAGCAATCCTCCCACCTCAGACTCCTGAGTAGCTGGACTAGTAGCATGCACCACCATACATGGCTTTTTTTTTTTTATTCATTTATTTTTGGTTAAAGACAGGGTTTCACCATGTTGCCCAGGCTGGCCTCAAACTCCTAAGCTCAAGCTATTCTCCCACTTCAGTCTCCCAGAGACATGAGCCACCCTGCCTGGCCTCTAAATTCGTGTTATGTAGACTGACTTTCATGGTTAAAATGTCCTGAATTGACTGTGGCCTGTTGGGAGGTGGGATGGAGGAAACTACTTATGGAAATTGAAGAAGAAAGGGAAGCACACCAGGAGCAAGAAAGTGTCATTCAATTTTTACATCAAGGACTCCATGGTAAAGAGAAAGAACAGGTAGCCTGTTTTTGTGGCTGACCATTGGACTGCAGACTGCACCTGCATCTACCAGGTTCTTCTGGATAGTCCCAGTTTTAAATTTTTGACCTGGCATTCATGAACACAGTGCTACTGGTCAGACCTTTGTCCAGGTTTAAGCTTCAGAAAATAAGGTCTTCACGCAGTGGGAGGCCTGGTTAGGGTTATGATTCTGCCCTGGGGCATCTGACCCTTCTGACCTGGAGGTAAACTTGGCATCTACAATTTACCTCCACATTTGAACAGCCAAGGATGGGCTGAGCACAAAGGCTCGCATCTGTAACTCCAACACTTTGGGAGGCCAAGGTGGGAGTATTGCTTGAGGCCAGGAGTTGTAGACCAGCCTGGGCAATATAGTGAGACCTTGTCTCTATAAAAACAAACAAACAAACAAACAAACAAACAAACAAACAAAACCAAGGATGCGTGGGTGGCAGGGAGCAGTTCAACATGGGAAACCATTAATCTGAGAGCTGGAAGGACCCTTAGACCAGCCCCCTATTAACAGATGAGACTGCCCTGGGATTATAGCCTAAGGTAATTCATTGAACTTTTCTAGAGATTTGAAAATCAACATTCCTAAAACCCCCAAGCATACTGCTACTGTTTGCTATTGAATAGTGTTTTCTGGTCCAGGTGTGGTGGGTCATGCCTGTAATCCCAACACTTTGGAAGGTTGAGGCAAGTGGATCACCTGAGGTCAGGAGTTCGACACCAGCCTGGCCAACATGGTGAAACCCTGTCTCTACTAAAAATACAAAAAATTAGCACGCCATGGTGGTGCATGCCTGTAATCCCAGCTGCTTGGGAGGCTGAGGTAGGAGAATACTTTGATCCTGGGAGGCAGAAGTTGCAGTGAGCTGAGATTGGACCATTGCACTCCAGCCTGGGCTACAAGACTCAAATTCCGTCTCGAAAATACTAATGATAATAATAATGTTTTCCACAAGCAAGGGGTTACTTTTTTCTGGGAACTGGTGTGAAGGGATCCACCATGTGTCAGCTTTTGGATTGATGACAGTTATTTCCAGATCATGGAAGTGGGAATGCTTGTTGATCATCTTCTATGTTCTTTGTTATATTGATTGATTTTTTAAAAAAGCTAGCATTTTTATAACAATAAAGTCATAAAAATAAGTAACTAAAATAAAGTAAAATAATCTAAAAAGGCCAAGCGCGGTGGCTCAGACCTGTAATCCCATCACTTTGGGAGGCCAAGGTGGGTGGATCACGTGAGGTCAGGAGTTCAGGACCAGCCTGGCCAACATGGTGAAACCCCATCTCTACTGAAAATACAAAAATTAGCCAGGCATGGTGGCAGGCACCTGTAATCCCAGCTACTCAGGAAGTTGAGGCAAGAGAATTGCTTGAACCTGGGAGAAGATGCTTGCAGTGATCTGAGATTGCACCATTGCATTCCAGCCTGGGTGACAAGAGCTAAATTCTGTCTCAAAACAAAACAAAACAAAAATCTAAATGTAATTGAGTTGAATATTTAAACTTTTAATTGACATTTCAAATTAGGTTCTAATTCCATTTAAAAGAGCATCTTATAGAAGCAAATGTACTCATTTATGTTAACTCTGTGGTTTCATTTAAGCAATTTGTTTTGTGAAGGGACACAAAGCCAACCAGATTTTAACAGTGTATAAATATGTATTTATTAATTTAATTACAATGACAATACTCTCAACTCCCCATTTGAATAAAGGAGAGCATCTGATCTGTGTTCTGGGACAGCGTGCACTGTAGTGTGTGGAAATACCGATGCCCTCAGCTGTGTGGCAGGCTCAGAGGGACCTGGAGTGCAGGAGCCCCTGGGCCATTCACCTCTGGCCACAAAAGTCATTGTCCATTTACCCCCAACTGCTATAGAAATATTATTTTCAGTGGTTGTTATGATGCAAAAGAAAAGATGCAGGGAGATTTATTAAACCTTTACATATAAGATATGTTAGTAAATAAAGTCTACTTTCTTCTGGCTTAACTAAAAATCTTTACTAGTATTTATGCATTTTGGAAAATAAAGATGCCAATTTAAATATTATGAAGCAAAGCAATTGATTATTAGTTAAGACAGCCAAGTACAACTGCAGAATTGTAGCGGTTATGTGTTACATGTATAAGACTATTTCATAGCAATAATCTTTTAAGACTCTGTGAAGACACTCCACAGTGAAGCAGAAATTAGAGCAGAATTAATAATACTGTGTATGCTCTCAGTTCACCAATTTATCAAAACTAGCTTTGTAATTCAGGAGGCTGTCTGTTCTTTTGCAACTGGAAGAAAAGAAATAACATTTTATTTTTCAACTCTTTAGATTTTCTTCATTAAGAGTATTTCCAAAGCTAAGTATGGGAATTGCCAGTAGCACCAAGAGAAAAAAGCAGTCTTGAGCACCTTTTAAAAAATGGTCTTAAAATATGGAAAATGGAGCCAGGTGTGGTGGCTCACTCTTGTGATCCCAGCACTTTGGGAGCTTGAGGTGGGAGGATTGCTTGAGGCCAAAAGCTTGAGACCAGCCTGGGCAGCATAGCAAGATCCCCATCGTTACAAAAATAATATATTTTTTTAAAATTAGCTGGATGAGGTGGTGCATGCATTAGAGTCCCAGTTACTTGGGAGGCTGAGGTAGGAGGAGTTCTTGAGCCCAGCAGTTCAAGTCTGCAGTGAGCTATGATTGCACCAGTCCTCAAGCCTGGGCAACAAAGTGAGACCTTGCCTCTCTCTCTCTAAAAATATATATAAATATATATAAATAATATATATCCACATATATATAGAAAAGGGAAGGGGCCAAGAATATCAAAGACATTATTGAAGAAGAGGAAAGATTTGTGCTGGCAAATATCAGAACTTTTATAAAGCTACAGCAGTTAAGACAGTGTGGTCCTCACTGATAAACTGACTAATGAAACAGAATAGAGAGTTCCCAAACAAATCTCCACAAATTTAATCTTTGATATGTGATGTAGGTGACATGGCAGATCAGCAAGGAAAGAAAGGACTTTTCAATAAATAGAATAGAAAAATAATGGTTATTGATATAAGAAACAAAATGAAATTATATTCCTGCCTCGCTCTATATACAAACATTAAATTCCTGAGGACCAAAGACTTACATGTCAGAAACAAAACTTCAAAACTTTTAGTAGAAAATGTAAGTGAATGAGACACAAAAAGCCATTTAACCATTAAAAAAGATTAGACATTTTGACTATCACAAAATTAAGAACTTTTTACACCAAAAACTGAAAAGATAGGCTGGGCACAGTGTCTCAATCCTGTAATCCCAACAGTACATCACCTGAGGTCAGGAGTTTGAGACCAGGCTGGCCAACATGGTGAAATGCCATCTCTCCTAAAAATACAAGAAATTAGCTTGGCATTAGTGGCAGACACCTGTAATCCCGGCTACTTGGGAAGCTGAGGCACGAGAATCGTCTGAACCCAAGAGGTGGAGTGAGCCACTGCACTCCAGCCTGAATAACAGAGCTAGACTCTGTCTCAAAAAAAAAAGAAATTAAAAAATAAAAGTAAAAAAGTGAAAAGATAAACTATAAATTAGAAGATATTTGCAGTACCTAAAACCTATGAAAGATTACAATCAGATCAACTAAGTATAAGGAGCTCCTATGAATTAATTTTAAAAATAGCAACCCAACAGAAAATTCGGAAAAGACATCAATAGGGATTTCTCAAAAGATAAAGCATGCAAAATGTAAAAAAAATTCTCAACCTCATTAGTAATCAGGAAAATGCACAAGATACTACACATCTATTCTCCCCACAATTATTAAGAAATTTGACAATACCAAATGTCACATTTGCACTGCTGATGAAGACATACCTGAGACAGGGAAGAAAAAGAGACTTAATTGGATTTAGGGTTTCACATGGTTGAGGAGGACTCAGAGTTACGGCAGCGGGTGAACAGCACTTCTTACATGGCAGTGGCAAGAGAATATGAGACGGAGGCAAAAGAAGCAAAAGACAAAACCCCTAATAATCCCATCAGATCTTGTGAGATTTATCCACTATCACAAGAATAGCATGGGAAAGACCGGTCCCAAAGATTCAACTACGTCCCCCTGGTTCCCTCCCCGAACACGTAGGAATTCTGAGCAATACAATTCAAGTTGAGATGTGGGTAGGGACATAGTCAAACCATATTTTTCCACTCCTGGACCCTCCAAATCTCATGTCCTCACATTTCAAAATTTATTACGCCTTCCCAACAGTCCCCCAAAGTCTTAACTCATTTCAGCATTAACCCAAAAGTGCACTGTCCACCGGGCACAAGCATGAACACAACCGTTTGTTTCGCCGTCGCCCCATATGCCTCCGGTGACACACAATCACAGCATCTGCTCTGGGATATGCCAATACCATGCCTGGCCGCATGGTCTCCAGCTCGGATTAACCCCTGTTCCTGTTTGCTCGTGTCCTGTAAAGCACTCTCGGCTTTCTGGAGGCCCAGAGCTTTTAGAAGAAGGGCAGGCCCCTGCTCTTTCAAAGGAGGAGGGAGGCAGAGGGCTGATGGATCAGTGAATTTTCAGCTGACAACACGCCTTGAGACTCATGGGATCGACTTGTGCTGCAGCGAGGCCCTGCCTGCCTCATCAGGAGTGGTGAGCCCATCCTATCTCACTCGGAAGGGGCCAAAATCGCATCTGAAGGGGAGTCCCGAGAACACAGCAGGCGTCCTGAAGCTCCCCCTCCCTCGGTGGAAGTCCGCCCAAGGAGGTCCTGAGGACAGGACTCCTGGGAGTTTCGTGCTGGGACAGGACCCCCGCGGCCTCCTCTCAAACGCCACCCCCAACTGGACCCCGGGTCCAGCCACCACCGTGGCTGCAGGAGGACACTCGCTGCTGACGCGTAGCTGTGGACTTATTTAAAGGGGATGCAGCCTGAGTCGGCGTAGCCAATGCGCATGCGCAAGGCGCGAGCGGCTTCTCACGTCACAGTGCTTCCCGCGGTTGTCTTAGAAACCAGTCCCTGAGGCTTGGCAGAGCAGGAGCCCTCCGTGGCACTGCTTGGGTGTCGGGGCTCTGAGGCTCCGGCCTGACCTCTCCACGGGGTCGACGGGAATGTCTCCGGATGCCAGGGGTCGCAAAGGGCCGACCAGGATGTGGAAACCCCAGGCGGAGTTCGCTGGAAGCAGCATGGCATCCCAGCCTCAGGCCTGCCCGGACCGTGTTGGGGAGTCTCCCCAAAAGTCGTGCCGCCGTGGTCTCGAGGACAGGTCGGCCTGCGTGCCCCTGGGCTGCTCTCTCACCCGAGGGTCGTTCTCGTGGAGAGCAGAACCCCGCAGCCTCAGGGGTTGCCTGGGGGTGTGTGTTTCAATGCCTCTGCTGTATGACTCCGTGTGTGTGTGTGTGAGTGTGAGTGTGTGTGTGAGTGTGTGTCTCCCTTTGTCTCTTCTCTTTGTCTCTCAGTCTCTGTGTGTTTCTTTCCCTCTCTCTGTCTGTGTGTGTGTGCCCGTGTGCATGTGTGTCTTTGGCCGAATGCGCCCAGTGCACCACAGAGCGATTTTTCGCATGTCGGCCTGTCTTTGGTGAGCCTCTTTCTGCGTCTCTGCCTGGGTCGTGCATCCGGTTGTCAATCGTCTTTGCCGTCGCGGTCCCGCTTTGGGTGTGTGAAGGCCTGGCCCACGTGAGGAGATGCGTCGGTCCCGGAGCAATTGTAATCTCATCCCCTTTCTGCGCGTCCTCTTTTCTAGGATCAAGATGAACACACTGCAGCCGAGGACAAGAGACCCACAGGAGCTCTTCGTCCTGCAGGAGAGGAGAGGACCCACGTCAGTGAAGATGGTTGTATCTTTTCACGGCTCTTCTCTGAGAAATGAAGCCACACCACGATACAGTCTGCAAGAGGAAGCCGGTAATGGGAGATGGCAACAACCCCTGTCACTGGAATGCTGGCATCTCTGGACAAGCCACCCTTTTGGAACCTTCCCCTTATGCCCGTGGCAGTGGCATGGTTCTGTATCCTGCCTGGGCTCTGGGCTCTGGCCTCTGCTCTGTCTTCCCTCTTGCTGTGCCTCCCCTGTTTCTCAGGGGCCTAGATGCCTCTCGCTCTGGCCAAATGTCTTCAACGAAGATGACTTCCAAGTCCTTCAGGGAGACACTTCCGGGAGATCAGTGTCATGATTGTTTCTCTCTCCAAACGTGTTTCTGCTTGAATGGGGAAGTTTTGAAACACTCCTTTTGTTTAATCTGCTATTGGATATTTGGAGCTCTGTGAGACATTCGATGGAATCAGGAATATCTTCACATAAAAACTAGACAGAAGCATTCTCAGAAACTGCATTGTGATGTGTGCATTCAACTCACAGAATTGAACCTTTCTTTCGATAGAGCAGTTTTGAAACAGTCTTTTTGTAGAATCTGCAAGTGGGTATTTGGAGCGATTTGAGGCCTATGGTGGATAAAGAAATATCTTCCCATAAAAACTAGACAGAAGCGTTCTCACGAACTTCTTTGTGATGTGTGCATTCAGCTAACCGAGTTGAAGCTTTCTTTTGATAGAGCACTTTTGATACACTCCTTTTGTAGAATCTGATAGTGGATATTTGGAGATTTTTGAAGCCTACGTTGGAAACTGCAATATCTTCCCAGAAAAAGTAGACAGAAGCATTCTCAGAAACTTCTTTGTGATGTGTGCATTCAACTCACGGAGTTGAACCTTTCTTTGGATAGAGCAGTTTTGAAACACTCTTTTTGTAGAATCTACAATTGTTTATTTGGAGCGCTTTGAGGCCTATGGTGTAAAAGAAAATATGTTCATATAAAAACTAGATGGAAGGATTCTCAGAAACTTCTTTGTGATGTTTGCATTCAACTCACAGAGTTGAACATAGCTTTTGATAAAGCAGTTTTGAGTCAGTCTTTTTGTAGATCTGCAAGTGGATATCTGGAGCAATTTGAGACCTAGGGTGGAAAAGGAAATATCTTCACACAAAAACCAGAGAGAAGGATTCTTAGAAACTTCTTTGTGATTTGTGCATTCGACTCACAGAGTTGAACCTTTCTTTTGATAGAGCAGTTTTGAAACACTCCTTTTGTAGAATCTGCTGGTGGATATTTGGGGCTCTTTGTGGCCTTCGTTGGAAATGGGAATATCATCACATAAAAACTAGACAGAAGTATTCTCACAAACTTCTTTGTGATCTGTGCATTCAACTCACAGAGTTGAACCTTCCTTTTGATAGAGCAGTTTTGAAACATTCTTTTTGTAGAATCTGCAAGTGGATATTTAGAGCAATTTGAGGCCTATGGTGGAAAAGGAAATATCTCCACATAATACCTAGAGAGAAGCATTCTCATAAACTTCTTTGGGATGTGTGCATTTGACTCAGAGTTGAACTTTTCTTTAGATAGAGCAGTTTTGCAACACTCCTTTTGTAGAATCTGCATGTGGATATTTGGAGCTCTTTGAGGCCTTCGTTGTAAACGGGATATCATCTCATAAAAACTAGACAGAAGCATTCTCAGAAACTGCTTTGGATGTATGCATTAAACTCACGGAGTTGAACCTTCCTTTTGATAGAGCAGTTTTCAAACACTCCTTTTGTAGAATCTTCATGTGTTCATTTGGAGTGCTTTGAGGCCTATGGTGGAAAAGGAAATATCTTCAAAAAAAAACTAGACAGCAGCATTATCTGAAACTTATTTGTGATGTGTGCATTAAACTCACAGAGTTCTACCTTCTTTTTAGGAGAGCAGTTTTGAAACTCTTTTTGTAGAATCTGCAAGTGGATATTTTGAGAGATTTGAGGCCTATGGTGGGAAAGGAAACATCTTCACATAAAAACTAGACCGAAACATTTCAGAAACTTCTTTGTGATGTGCGCATTCAGCTCACAGAATTGAACCTTTCTTTTGATAGAGCAGTCTTGAAACACTCCTTTTGTAGAATCTGCTAGTGGCTATTTGGAGCTTTGAGGCCTTCAATGGAAACGGGAATATCTTCACATAAAAACCGGACAGACGCATTCTCACAAACATCTTTGTGAAGTGTGCTTTCAACTCACAGAGTTTAACCTTTCTTTTGATAGAGCAGTTTTGAAACATTCTTTTTGTAGAATCTGCAAGTAATCATTTGGAGCGCTTTGAGGCCTATGGTGAAAAAGGAAATATCTTCTCACAAAAATTAGGCAGAAGTACTCTCAGAAACTTCTTTGTGATGTGTACATCCAACTCACAGAGTTGAACCTTCCTTTTGATAGAGCAGTTTTAAAACAGTCTTTTTGTAGAATCTGCAAGTGGATATTTGTGGAGATGTGAGGCCTATGGCGGAAAAGGAAATATCTTCACATAAAAACTAGACAGAAGCATTCTAAGAAACTTCTTTGTGATGTGTGCATTCAACTCACTGAGTTGAACCTTTCTTTTGATAGAGTAGTCTTGAAACACTCCTTTTGAATAATCTGCTAGTGGATATTTGGAGCTCTTTGAGACTTTCGTTGGAAACGGGGATTTTTTCACATAAGAACCAGACAGACACATTCTCGCAAACAGCTTTGTGAAGTGGGCTTTCAACTCACAGAGTTTAACCTTTCTTTTGATAAAGCAGTTTTGAAACATTCTTTTTGTAGAATCTGAATGTGTTCATTTGGAGCGCTTTGAGGCCTATGGTGGAAAAGGAAATATCTTCACATAAAAGCTAGACAGAAGCATTCTCAGAAACTCCTTTGTGATGTCTGCATTCAAACCACAGAGTTGAGTTTTCATTTTGAGAGAGCAGTTTTGAAATAGTCTTTTGTAGAATCTGCAAATGGATATTTGGAGTGATATGTGGCCTATGGTAGAAAAGGAAATATCTTCACATAAAAACTAGATAGAAGCATTCTCAGAAACTTATTTGCGTTGTGTGCATTCAACTCACTGAGTTGAACCTTCCTCTTGATAGAGCAGTTTTGAAAGTCTTTTTGTAGAATCTCCAAGTGGATAATTGGAGAAACTTGAGGCTTATGGTGGAAAAGAAAATATCTTCACATAAAAACTAGACAGAAGAATTCTCAGAAACTTCTTTGTGATGTGTGCATTCAACTCACAGAGTTTAACTTTACTTTTCATAGAGTAGTTTTGAAACACTCCTTTTCTAGAATCTGCTAGTGGATATTTGGAGCTCTTTGAGGCCTTCTTTGGAAACGGGAATATCTTCACATAAAAAGTAGACAGAAGCATTCTCAGAAACTGCTTTGTGATGTGTGCATTCAATTCACAGAGTTGAACCTTTCTTTTGATAGAGCGGTTTTGAAACAATCTTTTTGAATAATCTGCAACTGGACATTTGGAGGGCTTTGAAGATTATGGTGAAAAAGGAAATATCTTCACATAAAAACTACACAGAAGCCTTCTCAGAAACTTCTCTGTTGTTTGCTTTAAACTCACAGAGTTGAACATTCCTTTTCATAGAACAGTTTTGAAACACTCTTTTTGTTGAATATGCAAGTGGATATTTGGACTGCTTTGAGTCCATCGTTGGAAAAGGGATAACTTCACAAAGACTAGACAGAAGTATTCTCAGAAACTTCTTTGTGATGTTTGCATTCAACTCACAGAGTTGAACCTTTCTTTTGATAGAGCAGTTTTGACACACTTTTTTGTAGAATCTGCAAGTGGACATTTGTAGCACTTTGAGGCCGATGGTGAAAAAGTAAATATCTTCACATAAAAACTAGACAAAAGCATTCTCAGAAACTTCTTTGTGATATGTGCATTCAACTCACAGAGTTGAACCTTTCTTTTGATACAGCAATTTTGAAACAATCTTTTTGTAGAATCTGCAAGTGGACATTTGGAGTGCTTTGAGGCCTGTGGTGAAAAACAAATATCTTCACATAAAAACTACACAGAAGCATTCTCAGAAACTTCTTTGTGATGTGTGCATTCAACTCTTTCTTTTGATAGAGCAGTTTTAAAACACTCTTTTTGTAGAATCTCCAACTGGACATTTGGGGCGCTTTGAGGCCCATGGTGAAAAAGGAAATATCTTCACATAACAACTACATAGAAGCATTCTCAGAACCTTCTTAGTGTTGTTTGCCTTCAACTCACAGAGTTGAACATTCCTTCTCATAGAGCAGTTTTGAGGCACTCTCTTTGTAGAATTTGCAAGTGGATATTGGACCGCTTTGAGGCCTTCACTGGAAACGGGATATCTACACAAAAACTAGACAGAAGCATTCTCAGAAATTTATTTGTGATGTGTGCATTCAACTCACAGTGTTGAATCTTTCTTTTGATAGAGCAGTTTTGAAACACTCTTTTTGTGGAATCTGCAATTGGACATTTGTAGCACTTTAAGGCCTATGGTGAAAAAAATATCTTTAAATAAAAACTAGACAGAAGCATTCAGAGAAACTTCTTTGTGATGTGTGCATTCAACTCACAGAGTTGAAGCTTTTCTTTGATAGAGCAGTTTTGAAAAACTCTTTTGTAGAATCTGCAAGTGGACATTTGGAGTGCTTTGAGGCCTGTGTTGAAAAAGGAAATATCTTCACATAAAAACTACACAGAAGCCTTCTCAGAAACTTCTTTGTGATGTTTGCTTTCAACACACAGAGTTGAATATTCCTTTTCATAGAGCAGTTTCGAAACACTCTTTTTGTAGAATCTGCAAGTGGACATTTGGAGCACTTTGAGGCCTTCTTTGGAAACGGGATATCTTCACAAAAACTATACAGAAGCATTCTCAGAAACTTCTTTGTGATATTTGTATTCAACTCACAGAGTTATACCGTTCTTTTGATAGAGCAGTTTAGACACACTCTTTTTGTATAATCTGCAAGTGGACATTTGGAGCGCTTTAGAACCTATGGTGAAAAAGGAAATAACTTCACATAAAAACTACACAGAAGCATTCTCAGAAACTTCTTTGTGATGTGTGCATTCAACTCACAGAGTTGAACCATTCTTTTGACCGAGCAGTTTTGAAACAATATTTTTCAAGAATCTGCAAGTGGACATTTGTAGCGCTTTGAGGCCTATAGTGATAAAGGAAACAACTTCAAATAAAAACTAGACAGAAGCATTCTCAGAAACTTCTTTTTGATATATGTATTCAACTCTTTTGATAGAGCTTGAATCCTTCTTTTGATAGAGCAGTTTTTAAAAAATCTTTTTGTAGAATCTGCAACTGGACATTTGGAGGGCTTTGAGGCTTATGAAAAAGGAAATATCTTCACATAAAAATTACACGGAAGCATTCTCAGAAACTTCTTTGTGTTGTTTGCTTTCAACTCACCGACTTGAACATTCCTTTTCATAGAGCATTTTTGAAACACTCTTTTTGTAGAATCTGCAATTGGATATTTCGACTGCTTTAAGGCCTTCGTTGGAAACGGGAATATCTTCGCAAAAAAACTAGACAGAAGCATTCTCAGAAACTTCTCTGTGATGTGTGCATTCAACTCATAGAGTTGAACCTTTCTTTTGATAGAGCTGTTTTGAAACACTCTTTTTATAGAATCTGCAACTGGACATTTGTAATGCTTTGAGGCCTACGGTGAAATAGGAAATATCTTCACATTAAAACTAGACAGAAGCATTCTCAGAAACTTCTTTATGATGTGTGCATTCAACTCACAGAGTTGAACCTTTCTTTATATAGAGCAGTTTTGAAAGACTCTTTTTGTAAAATCTGCAAGTGGACATTTGGAGCGCTTTGAGGCCTGTGGTGAAATAGGAAATATCTTCTCATAAAAACTACACAGAAGCATTCTCAGCAACTTCTTTGTGATGTGTGCATTCAACTCTTTCTTTTGATTGAGCAGTTTTGAAACACTGTTTTTGTAGAATCTGCAACTGGGCATTTGGAGTGCTTTGAGGCCCATGGTGAAAAAGGAAATATCTTCACATAAAAACTACACTGAAGAATGCTCAGAAACTTCTTTGTGTTGTTTGCTTTCAACTCACAGAGTTGAACATTCCCTTTCATAGAGCAGTTTTGAAACACTCTATATGTAGAATTTGCAAGTGTATATTTGTACTGCTTAGAGGCCTTCGTTGGAAATGGGATATCTTCACAAAAACTAGTCAGAAGCATTCTCAGAAACTTCTTTGTGGTGTGTGCATTCAACTCACAGAGTTGAACATTTCTTTTTCTAGCGCAGTTTTGAAACACTTCTTTGTAGAATCTGCAAGTGGACATTTGGAGCGCTTAGAAGCCTATGGTGAAAAGGGAAATATCTTCACATAAAAACTACACAGAAGCATTCTGAGAAACTTCTTTCTGATGTGGGCCTGCAACTCACAGACTTGAACGTTTATTTTAATAGAGCAGTTTTGAAACACTCTTTTTGTAGAATTTGCAAGTGGACGTTTTGACCGCTTTAAGATCTTCGTTGGAAACGGGATACCTTCACAAAAAAACTAGACAGAAGAATTCTCAGAAAGTTCTTTTTAATGTGTGCATTCAACTCACAGAGTTGAACCTTTCCTTTAATAGAGCAGTTTTGAAACACTTTTTTTTGTGGGATCTGCAAGTGGACATTTGGAGCTCTTTGAGGCCTATGGTGAAAAACGTAATATCTTCACATAAAAACTACACAGAAGCATTCTCAGAAACTTCTTTGTGATGTTTGCTTTCAACTCACAGAGTTGAACATTCTTTTTTATAGAGCAGTTTTGAAACACTCTTTTTCTAGAATCTGCAAGAGGATATATGGAACGCTTTGAGGCCTTCATTGGAAACGGCATAACTTCACATAAAAACTAGACAGAAGCATTCTCAGAAACTTCTTTGTGATGTGTGCATTCAACTCACAGAGTTGAACCTTTCTTTTTATAGAGCGGTTTTGAAACACTCTTTTTGTAGAATCTACAAGTGGACATTAGGAGCGCTTTGAGGCCTATGGTGAAAAAGGAAATATCTTCACATAAAAACTAGACAGAAGCATTCTCTGAAACTTCTTTGTGATGTGTGAATTAAACTCACAGAGGTGAAACTTTCTTTTCATAGAGCAGTTTTGAAACACTCTTTTTGTAGACTCTGCAACTGGAAATTTGGAGAGCTTTGAGGCCTATTGTGAAAAACTAAATATCTTCACATAAAAACTTGACAGAAGCATTCTCAGAAACTTCTTTGTGATGTGTGCATTCAACTCACAGAGTTGAATTTTATTTTGATAGAGCAGTTTTGAAACACTCTTTTCGTAGAATCTACAAGTGGACATTTGGAGCGCTTTGAGGTCTCTGGTGAAAAAGGAAATATCTTCTCATAAAAACTACACAGAAGCATTCTTAGAAACTTCTTTGTGATGTGTGCTTTCAACTCAGAGTGGTGAAACTTTCTTTTGATAGAGCACTTTTGAAACACTCTTTTTGTAGAATCTGCAAGTGGACATTTGGGGCGATTTGTAGCCTGTAGTGAAAAAGGAAATATCTTCACATAAAAACTACACAGAAGCATTCTCAGAAACTTCTTTGTGACGTTTGCATTCAACTCTCTGTGTTGAAGATGCCTTTTCATAGAGCAGTTTTGAAACACTCTTTTCGTAGAATCTGCAAGTGGTTCGGAAAGATCTTCATAACTACGAGCTCTGAATCTTGGAGTGCTCATCAGAGGTGAACTCTTGATAGGCACTTGAACACTCTTTGTAGATCGCAGTGACATTGGGCGATTGTAGCTGTAGGAAAAGGAATATCTTCACATAAAACTACACAGAGCATCTCAGAACTTCTTGTGACGTTGCATCAACTCTCTGTGTGAAGATGCCTTTCATAGAGCAGTTTTGAAACACTCTTTTCGTAGAATCTGCAAGTGGATATTTTGACAGCTTTGAGGCCTTCGTTGGAAATGGGAATATCTTCACATAAAAACTAGACAGAAGGATTCTCAGAAACTTCTTTGTGATGTGTGGATTCAACTAACATATTTGAACCTTTCTTTTGATACAGCAGTTTTGAAACACTTTTTTTCTAGAATCTGCAAGTGGACATTTGGAGAGCTTTGAGGACTTCGGTGGAAAAGGAAATCTCTTCACATAAAAACTAGACAGAAGCATTCTCAGAAACTTCTTGGTGATATTTGCATTAAACTCACAGAGCTGAACATACATTTTCATAGAGCAGTTTTGAAGCACTCTTCGTAGAATCTGCAAGTGGATATTTGAACTGCTTTGAGGACTTCCTTGGAAACGGGAATATCTTCACATAAAAACTAGACAGAAGCATTCTCAGAAACTTTTTTGTGATGTTTGCATTCCACTCACATAGTTGAACACACCTTTTCATAGAGCAGTTTGGAAACACTCTTTTTGTAGAATCTGCAAGCGGATATTTGGACAGCTTTGAGGCCTTCGTTGTAAACGGGAATATCTTCACATAAAAACTCGATAGAAGCATTCCAGAAACTTCTTTGGATGTGTGCTTTCAACTCACAGAGTTGAGCCTTTCTTTTGATAGAGCTGTTTTGAAAGACCATTTTTGTAGTACCTGCAATGGGACATTTGGAGAGCTTTGAGGCCTATGGTGGAAAGGAAATATCTTCACAGAAAAATTAGACTGAAACATTCTCAGAAACTTCTTTCTGAATTTTGCTTTCAACTGACAGAGTTGAACACACCTTTTCATAGAGCAGTTTTGAAACACTCTTTTCGTAGAATCTCCAAGTGGATATTTGGACTGCATTGAAGCCTTCGTTGGAAACGGGAATATCTTCACATAAAAACCGGACAGAAGCATTCTCAGAAACTTATTTCTGATGCTTGCATTCAACTCACAGAGTTGAATCTTTCTTTTGATAGGGCAGTTTTGAAACACTCTTTTTGTAGAATATGCAAGTGGACATTTGGAAACTTTGAGGCCTGTGGTGGAAAAGGAAATATGTTCACATAAAAACTAGACAGAAACACTCTCAGAAACTTTTCTGTGATGTGTGCATTCAACTCACAGAGTTGAAGCTTTCTTTTGATACAGCTGTTTTGATACACTCTTTTTGTAGAATGTACAAGTGGACATTTGGAAACTTTGAGGCCAACGGTGGAAAAGAAAATACCTTCACATAAAAACTAGACAGAAGCATCCTCAGAAACTTATTTGTGATGTTTGCATTCAACTCACAGAGTTGAAGATACCTTTTCATAGAGCAGTTTTGAAACACTATTTTCATAGAATCTGCAAGTGGATATTTGGACTGATTTGAGACCTTTGTTGCAAACAGGAATATCTTCGCATGAAAACCAGACAGAAGCATTCTCAGAAACTTCTTTGTGATGTTTGCATTCAACTGACATATTTGAACATATCTTTTCATAGAGCAGTTTTGAAACACTCTTTTCGTAGAATCTGCAAGTGGATATTTGGACTGCTTTGAGGGCTTCGTTGGAAACGGGAATATCTTCACTTAAAAACTAGACAGAGGTTTTCTGAGAAACATCTTTGATATGTGTGCATTCAACTGAAAGAGTTGAACCTTTCTTTTGATAGAGCAGTTTTGAAACACTCTTTTCGTAGAATCTGCAAGTGGATATTTGGACTGCCTTGAGGCCTTCGTTGGAAACGGGAATATCTTCACATAAAAACTAGACAGAAGCATTCTCAGAAACGTCTTTGTGATGGATGCATTCAACTCATAAAGTTGAATCTTTCTTTTGAAAGAGCAGTTTTGAAACACTCTTTTTGTAGAATCTGCAAGTGGACATTTGGAGAGCATTGAGGCCTTGTGTGGAAAAGGAAATATCTTCACATATAAACCAGACAGAGCATTCTCAGAAACTTCTTTGTGATGTTTATCTTCAACACACAGGATTTAACATATGTTTTCATAGAGCAGTTTTGAAACACTCTTTTCATAGAATCTGCAAGCGGATATTTTGATGGCATTGAGGCCTTCATTGGAAAAGGGAATATCTTCACATAAAAACTACACAGAAGCATTCTCAGAAACTTCTTTGTGATGTGAGCATTCAACTCACCGAGTTGAACATTTCTTTTGATACAGCAGTTTTGAAACACTCTTTTTGTTGTATCTGCAAGTGGATATTTGGACTACTTTGAGGCATTCGTTGGAAATGGGAATATATTCCATAAAAACTAGACAGAAGCATTTTCAGAAACTTCTTTGTGATATGTGGATTCAACTCACAGTGTTGAACCTTTCTTTTGATAGAGCAGTTTTGAAACAATCTTTTTGTAGAATATGCAAGTGGTCATTTGGAGAGCTTTGAGGACTATGGTGGAAAAAAATATATTCACATAAAAGCTAGACAGAAGCATTCTCAGAAACATCTTTGTGATGTGTGCATTCAATTCACAGAGTTGAAAATGCCTTTTCATATAGCAGATTTGAAACACTCTATTCTTAGTATCTGCAAGTCGATATTTGGACTGCTTTGAGGCCTTCGTTGGAAAAGGGAATATCTTCACATAAAAAATAGAAACACTCTCAGAAACTTCTTTTTGATGTGTGCATTCAATTCACAGAGTTGAACCTTACTTTTGGTAGAGCAGTGACAGAAGTAGTCTCAGAAACTTATTTGTGATGTGTACATTTAACTCAAAGAGTTGAACCTTCCTTTTCTTTTTTTTTATTATACTTTAAGTTTTATGGTACATGTGCACATTGTGCAGGTTAGTCACATATGTATACATATGCCAGGCTGGTGTGCTGCACCCACTAACTCGTCATCTAGCATTAGGTATATCTCCCAATGCTATCCCTCCCTCCTCCACCCACCCCACAACAGTCCCCAGAGTATGATATTCCCCTTCCTGTGTCCATGTGATCTCATTGTTCAATTCCCACCTATGAGTGAGAATATGCAGTGTTTGTTTTTTTGTTCTTATGATAGTTTACTGAGAATGATGATTTCCAATTTCATCCATGTCCCTACAAAGGACATGAACTCATCATTTTTTATGGCTGCATAGTATTCCATGGTGTATATGTGCCACATTTTCTTAATCCAGTCTATCATTGTTGGACATTTGAGTTGGTTCCAAGTCTTCGCTATTGTGAATAATGCCACAATAAACATACGTGTGCACGTGTCTTTATAGCAGCATGATTTATAGTCCTTTGGGTATATACCCAGTAATGAGATGGCTGGGTCAAATGGTATTTCTAGTTCTAGATCCCTGAGGAATCGCCACACTGACTTCCACAATGGTTGAACTAGTTTACAGTCCCACCAACAGTGTAAAAGTGTTCCTGTTTCTCCATATCCTCTCCAGCACCTGTTGTTTCCTGACTTTTTAATGATTGCCATTCTAACTGGTGTGAGGCAGTATCTCATTGTGGTTTTGATTTGCATTTCTCTGATGGCCAGTGATGATGAGTATTTTTTCATGTGTTTTTTGGCTGCATAAATGTCTTCTTTTGAGAAGTGTCTGTTCATATCCTTTGCCCACTTTTTGATGGGGTTGTTTGTTTTTTTCTTGTAAATTTGTTTGAGTTCATTGTAGATTCTGGATATTAGCCCTTTGTCAGATGACTAGGTTGTGAAAATTTTCTCCCATTTTGTAGGTTGCCTGCTCACTCTGATGTTAGTTTCTTTTGCTGTGCAGAAGCTCTTTAGTTTAATTAGATCCCATTTGTCAATTTTGGCTTTTGTTGCCATTGCTTTTGGTGTTTTAGACATGAAGTCCTTGCCCATGCCTATGCCCTGAATGGTAATGCCTAGGTTTTCTTCTAGGGTTTTTATGGTTTTCGGTCTAACGTTTAAGTCTTTAATCCATCTTGAATTGATTTTTGTATAAGGTGTAAGGAAGGGATCCAGTTTCAGCTTTCTACATATGGCTAGCCAGTTTTCCCAGCACCACTTATTAAATAAGGAATCCTTCCCCCATTGCTTGTTTTTCTCAGGTTTGTCAAAGATCAGATAGTTGTAGATATGAGGCATTATTTCTGAGGGCTCTGTTCTGTTCCATTGGTTTATATGTCTGTTTTGGTACCAGTACCATGCTGTTTTGGTAACTGTAGCCTTGTAGTGTAAATTGAAGTCAGGTAGTGTGATGCCTCCAGCTTTGTTCTGAACCTTCCTTTTCATAGAGCAGTTTTAAAACACTTTTTTTGTAGAATCTGCAAGTGGACTATTGGAGCTCTTTGAGTCCTTCGGTGGACAAGGTAATATTTTCACATAAAATCTAGATAGAACCATTCTCAGAAACTTCTTTGTGATGTGTTCATTCAACTCACAGAGTTGAACCTTCTTTTTGATAGAGCAGTTTAGAAACACTCTTTTTGTAGAATCTGAAAGTGGACGTTTGGAGCACGTTGAGGGTTATGGTGGAAAAGGAAATATCTTCACATAAAAACTAGACATAATCGTTTCAGAAACTCCTTTGTGATGTATGCATTCAACTCACAGAGGTGAATATACCATTTCATAGAGCAGTTTTGAAACACTCTTTCTGTACAATCTGCAAGTGAATACTTGGAGCACTTTGAGGCCTATGGTTGAAAAGGGAATATCTTCACATAAAAACTAGACAGAAACATTCTCACAAACTTCTTTGTGATGTGTGCATTCAACTAAAAGCAAATGTAAACCTCAAAAAGAAGTTTGTGATAATGTTTCTGTCCAGTTTTTATGTGAATTTATTTCCTTTTTTACTATAGGCCTCAAAGCTCTGCAAATATGCACTTGCAGATTTTACAAAAAGATTGTTTCAAAACTACTTTTTCCAAAGGACTGTTCAACTCACTGAGTTGAGTGCACACATCACAAAGAAGTTTCTGAGAATGCTTCTGTCTACTTTTTATGTGAAGATATACCCGTTTCCACCGTGGGACCTAAAGAGCTCCAAATATCCACTTGCAGAATCTGCAAAAAGAGTGTTTCAAAACTGCTCTTTCAAAAGAAAGTTTCACCTCTGTTTGTTGAACACATCACAAAGAAATTTCTGAGAATGCTTCTGTCTACTTTTTATGTGAACATACTTCCTTTTCCAACATAGACCTCAAAGTGCTCCAAATATACGATTCCAGATTCTACAAAAAGAGTGTTTCAAAACTGCTCTATCAAAACGATGGTTCAACTCTGTGAGTTGAATGCACACATCACAAAGAAGTTTTTGATAGTGCTTCTGTCTAGTTTTTATGTGAAGATGTTCCCGTTTGCACCGAAGGCCTCAAAGAGGTCCAAATATCCACTTGCAGATTCTACAAAAAGAGTGTTTCAAAACTGCTCTATGAATAGGAATGTTCAACTCTGTGAGTTGAATGCAAACAACACAAAGAAGTTTCTGAGAAAGCTTCTGTTTGGTTTTACTGTGAATTTATTTCCTTTTTCACCACAGGCATCAACATTCTCAAAATGTACACTTGCAGATTCTACAAAAAGAGTTTTTCAAAACTTCTCTATCCAAAGAAAGGTTCAACACTGTAGGTTAAATGCACACATCACAAAATAGTTTCTGAGAATGCTTCTGTATAGTTTTTAATACGAAGAAATTTCCTTTTTTACCTTTGGCCTAAAAGCGCTCCAAATATCCCATTGCTTATTCTACAAAAAGAGTGTTTCAAAACTGCTCTATGAAAAGCAAGGTTAAACTCTCTGAGTTGAATGCACACATCCAAATAAGTTTCTGAGACTGTTTCTCTCTAGTTTTTATGTGAAGATACTTCCTTTTCCACCGTACGCCTCAAAGCTTTCCAAAAGTCCACTTGCAAATTCAACGAAAAGAGTGTTTCAAAACTGCTCTATGAAAAGGAATGTTCAACTCTGTGAGTTGAATGGAAACATCACAAAGAAGTTTCTGAGAATGCTTCAGTCTATTTTTTATGTGAAGATATTCCCGTTTCCAATGAAGGCCTCAAAGCGCTCCAAATATCCACTTGCAGATTCTACAAAAAGTGTGTTTCAAAACTGTTCTCCTCTATCAAAAGGAAGGTCACTCTCTGAGTGAATGCACACTCACAAAGAAGTTTATGAGAATTCTTCAGTCGAGATTCTAGGTGAAGATATTCCTGTTTCCACCGAAGGCCTCAAAGCTGTACAAATATCCACCTCCAGATCTTACAAAGAGTGATGCAAAACTACTCTATCAAAAGTAATGTTCAACAATATGAGTTGAATGCGAACGTCACAAATTAGTTTCTGAGAATGCTTCTATCTAGTTTTTATATGAAGACATTTCCTCTCCTGCCATACGCCTCAAGGCACTCTAAATATCCGCTTGCACATTCTACAAAAAACTGTTTCATATTTGTTCTATGAAAAGGAAGGTTCAACTCCCTGAGTTGCATGCTCACACCACAAAGAAGTTTCTGAGAATGCTTCTGTCTAGTTTTTATGTGAAGATATTCCCCTTTCCACCATAGTCCTCAAACTTCTCCAAGTATCCACTTGCAGATCCTACAAAAAGAGTGTTTCAAAACTGATCTATGAAATGGTATGTTCACCTCTATGAGTTTAATGCACACATCACAAAGAAGTTTCTGAGAATGCTTCTCTCTTTTTTTATGTGAAGATATTCCCGTTTCCACCGCAGGCCACATAGAGCCCAAAATATCCATTGCAGATTCAACAAAAAGAATGTTTGAACACTTCTCTATCAAAAGAAAGATTTAAATGCGTTAGTTGAATGCACACATCACAGAGAAGTTTCTGAAACTGCTTCTGTCTACTTTTTATGTGAAGATAATTCCTGTTCCACCATAGGCCTCAAAGCTCCCAAAATGTTCACTTGCAGATTCTACAAAAAGAGGGTTTCAAAACTGCTCTATCAAAATAAAGTTTCAATTCTGTGAGTTGAATGCACGCATCACAAAGATGTTTCTTAGAAAGCTTCTGTCTATGTTTTATGTGACGATTTTCCCGTTTCCAAGAAGGCCTGAAAGCAGTCCAAATATCCCCTTGCAGATACTATGAAAAGAGTGTTTCAAAACTACTCCATGAAAAGTTATGTTCAACTCTGTGAGATGAATGCAAACATCAGAAAGAAGTTTCTGAGAATGCTTCTGTCTGGTTTTTATGTGAAGATATTTCCTTTTCCACCATAGGCCTCCAAGCATTCCAAATGTCCACTTGCAGATTCTACAAAAAGAGTGTTTCAAAACTGTTCTATCAAAAGAAAGGTTCAGCTCTGTGAGTTGAATTCACACATCACAAAGAAGTTTCTGAGAATGCTTCTGTCTAGTTTTTATGTGAAGATATTCCCCTTTCCAAGGAAGGCCTCAAAGCAGTCCAAATATCCACTTGCAGATTCTACGAAAAGAGAGTTTCAAAATTTCCCTATGAAAAACTAAGTTCAACTCTGTGAGTTGAATGCACACATCACAAAGAAGTTTCGAGAATGTTTCTGTCTAGTTTTTAAGTGAAGATATTCCCATTTCCAACGAAGGCCTAAAAGCGGTCCAAATATCCACTTGCAGATTCTACGAAAAGAGTAATTCAAAACTGCTCAATGGAAAGGCACGTTCAACTCTGTGAGTTGAATGCAAACATCACAAAGAAGTTTCTGAGAATGCTTCTGTCTAGTGTTTATGTGAAGATATTTCCTTTTCCACCACAGGCCTCAAAGCACTCCAAATGTCCACTTGCAGAATCTACAAAAAGAGTTTTTCAAAACTGCTCTATCAAAAGTAAGGTTTAAATCTGTGAGTTGAATGCACACATCAGAAAGAAGTTTCTCAGAATGCTTCTGTCTAGTTTTTATGTGAACATATTCCCGTTTCCAATGAAGGCCTCAAGGCAGTCCAATTATCCACCTGATGATACTATGAAAAGAGTGTTTCAAAACTGCTCTATGAAAACGTGTGTTCAGCTCTGCGAGTTGAATGCAAACATCACCAAGAAGTTTCTGAGAATGCTTCTGTATAGTTTTTATGTGAAGATATTTCCTTTTCCACCATAGGCCTCAAAGCTCTCCAAATGTCCCGTTGCAGGTCCTACAAAAATTGTGTTTCAAAACAGCTCTATCAAAAGAAAGGTTCAACTCTGAGAGTTGAATGCACACATCACAAAGAAGTTTCTGGAATGCTTCTATCTAGTTTTTATGTGAAGATATTCCTGTTTCAAACGAAGGCCTCCAAGCAGTCAAAATATTCACTTGCAGATTCAAAGAAAAGAGTGTTTCAAATCTGCTCTAAGAAAAGGTAAGTTCAACACCTTGAGTTGAATGCACACATCACAAAGAAGTTTCTGAGAATGCTTCTGTCTAGTTTTTAATGTAAAGATATTCCCGTTTCCAATGTAGGCCTCAAGGCAGTCCAAATATCCACTTGCAGATTCTACGAAAAGACTGTTTCAAAACTGCTTTATGAAAAGGAATGTTCAACTCTATGAGTTGAATGCAAACATCACAAAGAATTTTCTGAGAATGCTGCTCTCCACTTTTTATGTGAAGATATTTACTTTTCATCGAGAGGCCTCAAAGCTCTCCAAATGTCCACTTGCAGATTGTGCAAAAAGATTGTTTCAAAACTGCTCTATCAAAAGAAAGGTTCAGCTCTGTGAGTTGAATGCACACGTCACAAATAATTTTGTGAGAATGCTTCTGTCTAGTTTTTATGTAAAGATATTCCCGTTTCCAACAAAGGTCTCAAAGCAGTCTAAATATCCACTTGCAGATTCTACTTAAAGAGTGTTTCAAAACTGCTCTATGAAAAGGTATGTTCAACTCTGTGAGATGAATGCACATATCACAAAGAAGTTTCTGAGAATGCTTCTGTCTAGTTTTTTTTGTGAAGATATTCCCGTTTCCGACGAACACCTCAAAGCAGTCCAAATAACCACTTGCAGATTCTACGAAAAGAGTGTTTAAAAACTTCTCTATGAAAAAGTATGTTCAACTCTGTGAGTATAATGCACACATCACAAAGAAGTTTCAGAGAATGCTTATGTCTAGTTTTTATGTGAAGATATTCCTGTTGCCAACGAAGACCTCAAAGCAGTCAAAATAGCCACATGCAGATTTTACGAAAACAGTGTTACAAATCTGCTCTATGAAAAGGTATGTTCAACACAGTGATTTGAATGCAATCATGAAAAAGAAGTTTCTGAGAATGCTTCTGTCTAGTTTATTATTATTTATTTATTTATTTATTTATTTATTTTATTATACTTTAAGTTTTAGGGTACATGTGCACATTGTGCAGGCCAGTGACATATGTATACATGTGCCATGCTGGTGCGCTGCACCCACAGTTTTTATGTGAACATATTTCCTTTCCACTTTAGGCCTCATATCTTTCCAAATGTCCACTTGCAGATTCTGCAAAAAAGAGTGTTTCATAATTGCTCTATCAAAAGAAAGGTTCAAATCTGTGAGTTAAATGCACTCATCACAATGGAGTTTCTGAGAATCCTTCTGTCTCGTTTTTATGGGAAGACATTCTCGTTTCCAAGGAATGCCTCAAAGCAGTCCAAATATCCACTTGCAGATTCTACAAAAAGAGAGTTTCAAAACTGGTCTATGAAAAGGTATGTTTAACTCTATGAGTTTAATGCACACATCACAAAGAAGTTTCTGAGAATGCTTGTTTACAGGTTTTATGTGAAGATATTCTCGTTTCCAACAAAGGCCTCAAAGCAGTCCAAATATCCACTTGCAGATTCTAAGAAAATAGTGTTTCAAAACTGCTCTATGAAAAGTTATGTTCAACTCTGTGAGTTGAATGCATACATCACAAAGAAGTTTCGGAGAATGCTTCTGTCTAGTTTTTATGTGAAGATATTCCCGTTTCCAACGAAGGCCTCAAAGCAGTCCAAATATCCACTTGCATATTTTATGAAAAGAGTGTTTCAAAACTGCTCTATGAAAAGGTTTGTTCAACTCTTTCAATTGAATGCAAACATTACAGAGAAGTTTTTGAGAATGCTTCTGTCTAGTTTTTATGTGAAGATATTTCCTTTTCCACCAAAGGCCTCAAAGCTCTACCAATGTCCACTTGGAGATTCTACAAAAAGAGAGTTTCAAAATTGCTCTATCAAAAGAAAGGTTCAAATTCGTGAGTTTAATGCACACATCACAAAGAAGTTTCTGAGAATAGTTCTGTCTTGTTTTTATGTGAATATATTCCCGTTTCCATCGAAAGCCTCAAAGCAGTCCAAATATCCACTTGCAGATTCTACGAAAAGAGTGTTTCAAAACTGCTCTATGAAAAGACATGTTCATCTCCATGAGTTGAATGCAAACAGCACAAAGAAGTTTCTGAGAATGCTTTTGTCTGGTTTTTATGTGAATATATTCCCGTTTCCATCGAAAGCCTCAAAGCAGTCCAAATATCCACTTGCAGATTCTACGAAAAGAGTGTTTCAAAACTGCTCTCTGAAAAGGTATGTTCACCTCTGTGAGTGTAATGCAAACATCAAAAAGATGTTTCTGAGAATGCTGCTGTCTAGTTGTTATGTGAAGCTATTTCCTTTTCCACCATAGGCCTCAAAGCTCTCTAAATGTCCACTTGCAGATTCCACAAAAAGAGTTTTTCATAACTGCTCTGTCAAAAGAATGGTTCAACTCTGTGAGTTGAATGCACACATCACAATGAAGATTCTGAGAATGCTTCTGTCTAGTTTTTAAAGAAAGACATTCCCGTTTCAAAGGAAGACCTCAAAGCAGTCCAAATATCCACCTGCAGATTCTACGAGAAGAGTGTTTCATAACTACTCTATGAACAGTAAGTTCAACTCTGTGAGTTGAATGCAAACATCAAAAAGAAGTTTCTGAGAATGCTTCTGTCTAGATTTTCTGTGTAGATATTTACTTCTCCACCATAGGTCTCAAAGCTCTCCAAATGTCCACTTGCAGATTCTACAAAAAGAGTGTTTCAAAACTGCTCTATCAAAATAAAGGTTCAACTCTGTGAGTTGAATGCACACATCACAAAGAAGTTACTGTGAATACTTCCATCTTGTTTTTATGTGAAGATATTCCTGGTTCCAATGAAGGCCTCAAAGCATTCCAAATATCCACTTGCAGATTCTACGAGAAGAGTGTTTCATAACTGCTCTATGAACAGGAAAGTTCAACTCTGTGAGTTGAATGCAAACATCACAAAAAGTTTCTGAGAATGCTTCTCTCTGGATTTTCTTTGTAGATATTTACATTTCCACCGTAGACCTCAAAGCAGTCCAAATATATACTTGCAGATTCTACGAAAAGAGTGTTTCAAAACTGCTCTATGAAAAGGTATGTTGAAATCTATGAGTTGAATTTAGACATCAGAGAGGAGTTTCTGGGAATGCTTCTGTTTACTTTTTATGTCAAGATATTACCTTTTCCAACGAAGGCCTCAAAGCAGTCCAAATATTCAATTGCAGATTCTACGACGAGAGTGTTTCAAAACTGCTCTATGAAAAGAAAGGTTCAAATCTGTGAGTTGAATGCACACATCACAAAGAAGTTTCTGAGAATCCTTTTGTCTAATTTTTAAGTGAAGATATTCCCATTTCAAACGAAGGCCCCAAAGCAGTTTAAATACCCACTTTCATATTAACGAAAAGAGTGTTTCAAAACTGCTCTATGAAAAGTTATGTTCAACTCTGTGAGTTGAATGCACACATCACAAAGAAGTTTCTGAGAATGCTTCTGTCTAGTTTTTATGTGAAGATATTCCCTTTTCCAACGAAGGCCTCACAGCAGTCCAAATATCCACTTGCATATACTACGAAAAGAGTGTTTCAAAACTGCTCTATCAAAAGAAAGAAAGGTTCACCTCTGTGAGTTAAATGCACACACCACAAAGATGTTTCGGAGAATGCTTCTGTCTAGTTATTATGTGAGAATATTCCCATTTCCAGCGAAGGCCTCAAAGCAGTCCAAATATCCACTTGCATATTCTATGAAAAGAGTGTTTCAAAACTGCCTATGAAAAGGTTTGTTTAACTCTTTCAATTGAATGCAAACATTACAGAGAAGTTTTTGAGAATGCTTCTGTCTAGTTTTTATGTGAAGATATTTTGTTTTCCACCATATGCCTCAAAGCTCTCCAAATGTCCACTTGGAGATTCTACAAAAAGAGTGTTTCAAAACTGCTCTATCAAAAGAAAGGTTCAACTCTTTGAGTTGAATGCACGGATCACAAAGTAGTTTCTGAGAATGCTTCTGTCTAATTTTTATGTGAAGATATTTCCATTTCCAACGAAGGCCTCAAATCAATCCAAATATCCACCTGCAGATTCTACGAGAAGAGTGTTTCATAACTGCTCTATGAACAGTAAGTTCAACTCTGTGACTTGAATGCAAACATCAAAAAGAAGTTTCTGAGAATGCTTCTGTCTGGATTTTCTGTGTAGATACTTACTTTTCCACCAAAGGTCTCAAAGCTCTCCAAATGTCCACTTGCAGATTCTACAAAAAGAGTGTTTCAAAACTGCTCTATCAAAATAAAGGTTCAACTCTGTGAGTTGAATGCGCACATCACAAAGAAGTTACTGTGAATGCTTCCGTCTTGTTTTTATGTGAAGATATTTCCTTTTCCACAGTAGGCCTCTAAGCATTCCAAATATCCACTTGCAGATTCTACGAAAAGAGTGTTTCGTAACTGCTCTATGAACAGGTAAGTTCAACTCTGTGAGTTGAATGCAAACATCACAAAAAGTTTCTGAGAATGCTTCTCTCTGGATTTTCTTTGTAGATATTTACTTTTCCACCATAGGCCTCAAAGCAGTCAAAATATACACTTGCAGATTCTATGAAAAGAGTGTTTCAAAACTGCTCTATGAAAAGGTATGTTGAACTCTACGAGTTGAATGCCGACATCACAGAGAAGTTTCTGGGAATGCTTCTGTTTACTTTTTATGTCAAGATATTCCCTTTTCCAACGAAGGCCTCAAAGCAGTCCAAATATTCAATTGCAGATTCTACGACGAGAGTGTTTCAAAACTTCTCTACGAAAAGAAAGGTTCAAATCTGTGAGTTGAATGCACACATCACAAAGAAGTTTCTGAGAATCCTTTTGTCTAACTTTTATGTGAAGATATTCCCATTTCAAACGAAGGCCCCAAAGCAGTTTAAATATCCACTTTCATATTAACGAAAAGAGTGTTTCAAAACTTCTCTATGAAAAGCTATGTTCCACTCTGTGAGTTGAATGCACACATCACAACGAAGTTTCTGAGAATGCTTCTGTCTAGTTTTTATGTGAAGATACTCCCGTTTCCAACGAAGGCCTCAAAGCAGTCCAAATATACACTTGCATATTTTACGAAAAGAGTGTTCCAATACTGCTCTATTAAAAGGTAAGGTCAATTCTGTGAATTGAATGCACACATCACAAAGAAGTTTCTGAGAATGCTTCTGTCTAGTTTTTATGTGAAGATATTCCCGTTTCCAACGAAGGCCTGAAAGCAGTCCAAATATCCACTTGCATATACTATGAAAAGAGTGTTTCAAAACTGCCCTATGAAAAGGTATGTTCAAATTTGTGAGTCGAATGGAAACATCACAAAGAAGTCACTGAGAACGCTTCTGTCTAGTCTTTATGTGTAGATATTTCGTTTTCCACCATAGGCCTCAAAGCTCTCCAAATGTCAAATTGCAGATTCTACAAAAAGAGTGTTTCAAAACTACTCTATCAAGAAAAAGTTTCAACTCTGTGTGTTGAACGCACACATCACAAAGAAGTTTCTGAGAATGCTTCTGTCTAGTTTTTATGTGAAGACCTTCCCGTTTCCAACAAAGGCCTCAAAGCCGTGCAAATATCCACTTGCAGATTCTAAGAAAAGAATGTTTTAAAACTGCTGTACGAAAGGTATGTTCAACTCTTTGAGTTGAATGCAAACGTCACAAAGAAGTTTCTGAGAATGCTTCTGTCTAGTTTTTATGTGAAGATATTTCCTTTTCCACTATAGGCCTCTAAGCTTTCCCAATGTCCACTTGCAGATTCTACAAAAAGAGGGCTTCAAAACTGCTCTATCAAAAGAAAGAAAGGTTCAACTCTGTGAGTTAAATGCACACATCACAAAGACGTTTCGGAGAATGCTCCTGTCTAATTTTTATGTGAGGATATTCCCATTTCCAACGAAGGCCTCAAAGCAGTCCAAACATCCACTTGCAGATTCTACGAAAAGAGAGTTTCAATACAGCTCTATGTAAAGGTATGTTTATCTCTATGAGTTGAATGCACACATCACAAAGTAGTTTCTGAGAATGCTTGTGTCCTCTTTCTATGTGAAGATGTTCCTGTTTCCAATGAAGGCCTCAAAGCAGTCCAAATATCCACTTGCAGATTCTATGAAAAGAGTTTTTCAATACTGCTCTATGAAAAGTTATGTTCAACCCTGTGAGTTTAATGCAAACATCACAAAGAAGTTTCTGAGAATGCTTCTGTCTTGTTTATATGTGAAGGAGAAATAAAATACTTTTCTGACAAGCAAATGCTGAGAGATTTTGACACCACCAGGCCTGCCCTAAAAGAGCTCCTGAAGGAAGCACTAAACATGGAAAGGAATAGCTGGTACCAGCCACTGCAAAATCATGCCAAAATGTAAAGACCATCGAGACTAGGAAAAAACTGCATCAACTAACGAGCAAAATAACCAGCTAACATCATAATGGCAGGTTCAAATTCACACATAACTGTATTAACTTTAAATATAAATGGACTAAATGCTCCAATTAAAAGACACAGACTGGTAAATTGGAGAAAGAGTCAAGACTCATCAGTGTGCTGTATTCAGGAAACCCATCTCATGTGCAGAGACACACATAGGCTCAAAATAAATGGATGGAGGAAGATCTACCAAGCAAATGGAAAACAAAAAAGGCAGAGGTTGCAATCCTAGTCTGATAAAACAGACCTTAAACTAACAAAGATCAAAAGAGACAAAGAAGGCCATTACATAATGGTAAAGGGATCAATTCAACAAGAAGAGCTAACTATCCTAAATATATATGCACCCAATACAGGAGCACCCAGATTCATAAAGCAAGTCCTGAGTGACCTACAAAGAGACGTTGACTCCCACACATTATTAATGGGAGATTTTAACACCCCACTGTCAACATTAGACAGATCGAGACAGAAAGTCAACAAGGATACCCAGGAATTGAACTCAGCTCTGCACCAAGCGGACCTAATAGACATCTACAGAACTCTTTACCCCTTATCAACAGAATATACATTTTTTCAGCACCACACCACACTTATTCCAAAATTGACCACAGAGTTGGAAGTAAAGCTCTCCTCAGCAAATGTAAAAGAACAGAAATTATAACAAACTATCTCTCAGACCACAGTGCAATCAAACTAGAACTCAGGATTAAGAATCTCACTCAAAACCGCTCTACTACATGGAAACTGAACAACCAGCTCCTGAATGACTACTGGGTACATAATGAAATGAAGGCAGAAATAAAGATGTTCTTTGAAACAAATGAGAACAAAGACACAACATACCAGAATCTCTGGGATGCATTCAAAGCAGTGTGTAGAGGGAAATTTATAGCACTAAATGCCCACAAGAGAAAGTGGGAAAGATCCAAAATTGACACCCTAACATCACAACTAAAAGAACTAGAAAAGCAAGAGAAAACACATTCAAAAGCTAGCAGAAGGCAAGAAATAACTAAAATCAGAGCAGAACGGAAGGAAATAGAGACACAAAAAACCCTTCAAAAAATTAATGAATCCAGGAGCTGTTTTTTTAAAAGATCAACAAAATTGATAGACCACTAGCAAGACTAATAAAGAAAAAAAGAGAGAAGAATCAAATAGATGCAATAAAAAATGATAAAGGGGATATCACCACCAATCCCACAGAAATACAAACTACCATCAGAGAATACTACAAACACTTCTATGCAAATAAACTATAAAATCTAGAAGAAATGGATAAATTCCTCAACACATACACTCTCCCAAGACAAAACCAAAAAGAATTTGAATCTCTGAATAGACCAATAACAAGATCTGAAATTGTGGCAATAATCAATAGCTTATCAACCAAAAAGAGTCCATGACCAGATGGATTCACAGCCGAATTCTACCAGAGGTACAAGGAGGAACTGGTACCATTCTTTCTGAATCTATTCCAATCAATAGAAAAAGAGAGAATCCTCCCTAACTCATTTTATGTGGCCAGCATCATCCTGATACCAAAGCCGGGCAGAGACACAACCAAAAAAGAGAAATTTAGACCAATATCATTGATGAACATTGAGGCAAAAATCCTCAATAAAATACTGGCAAACTGAATGCAGCAGCACATCAAAAAGCTTATCCACCATGATCAATGGGCTTCATCCATGGGATGCAAGGCTGGTTCCATATAGGCAAATCAATAAATGTAATCCAGCATATAAACAGAACCAAAGGTCAAAACCACATGATTATCTCAATAGATGCAGAAAAGGCCTTTGACAAAATTCAACAACACTTCACGCTAAAAACTCTCAATAAATTAGGTATTGATGGGCCGTATTTCAAAATAATAAGAGCTATCTATAACAAACCCACAGCCAATATCATACTGAATGGGCAAAAACTGGAAGCATTCCCTTTGAAAACTGGCACAAGACAGGGATGCACTCTCTCACCACTCCTATTCAACATAGTGTTGGAAGCTCTGGCCAGGGCAATTAGGCAGGAGAAGGAAATAAAGCGTATTCAATTAGGAAAAAAGGAAGTCAAATTGTCCCTGTTTGCAGACGACATGATTGTATATCTAGAAAACCCCATTGTTTCAGCCCAAAATCTCCTTAAGCTGATAAGCAACTTCAGCAAATCTCAGGGTACAAAATCAATGTACAATAATCACAAGCATTCTTATACACCAATAACAGACAAACAGAGAGCCAAATCATGAGTGAACTCTCATTCACAATTGCTTCAAAGAGAATAAAATACCTAGGAATCCAACTTACAAGAGATGCGAAGGACCTCTTCAAAGAGAACTACAAACCTCTGCTCAAGGAAATAAAAGAGGATACAAACAAATGGAAGAACATTCCATGCTCATGGATAGGAAGAATCAATATCATGAAAATGGCCATACAGCCCAAAGTAATTTACAGATTCAATGCCATCCCCATCAAGCTACCAATCACTTTCTTCACAGAATTGGAAAAAACTACTTTAAAGTTCACAGGGAACCAAAAAAGAGCCCTCATTGCCAAGTCAATCCTAAGCCAAAAGAACAAAGCTGGAGGCGTCACACTACCTGACTTCAAACTATACTACAAGGCTACAGTAACCAAATCAGCATGGTACTGGTACCAAAACAGAGATATAGATCAATGGAACAGAACAGAGCCCTCAGAAATAATGCCACTTATCTCTAACTATCTGATTTTGGACAAACCTGAGAAAAACAAGCAATGGGGAAAGGATTCCCTATTTAATAAATGCTGCTGGAGAAACTAGCTGGCCATATGTAGAAAGCTGAAACTGGATCCCTTCCTTACACCTTATACAAAAGTCAATTCAAGATGGATTAAAGACTTAAATGTTATAACTAAAACCATAAAAACCCTAGAAGAAAACCTAGGCATTACCATGCAGGACATAGGCATGGGCAAGGACTTCATGTCTAAAACACCAAAAGCAATGGCAACAAAAGACAAAATTGACAAATGGGATCTAATTAAACTAAAGAGCTTGTGCACAGCAAAGGAAACTACCATCAGAGTGAACAGGCAACCTACAAAATGGGAGAAAATTTTCACAACCTACTCATCTGACAAAGGGCTGATATCCAGAATCTACAATGAACTCAAACAAATTTACAAGAAAAAAACAAACAACCCCATCAAAAAGTGGGCGAAGGACATGAACAGACACTTCTCAAAAGAAGACATTTAAGCAGCCAAAAAACAGATGAAAAAATGCTCACCATCACGGGCCATCAGAGAAATGCAAATGAAAACCACAATGAGATACCATGTCACACCAGTTAGAATGGCAATCATTAAAAAGTCAGGAAACAACAGGTGCTGGAGAGGATGTGGAGAAATAGGAACACTTTTACACTGTTGGTGGGACTGTAAACTAGTTCAACAATTGTGGAAGTCAGTGTGGCAATTCCTCAGGGATCTAGAACTAGAAATACCATTTGACCCAGCCATCCCATTACTGGGTATATACCCAAAGGAATATAAATCATGCTGCTATAAAGACACACGCACATGTATGTTTTTTGCGGCATTATTCACAATAGCAAAGATTTGGAACCAACCCAAATGTCCAACAATGATAGACTGGATTAAGAAAATGTGGCACATATACACCATGGAATACTATGCAGCCATAAAAAATGATGAGTTCACGTACTTTGTAGGGATATGGATGAAACTGGAAATCATCATTCTCAGTAAACTATCGCAAGAACAAAAAGCCAAACACCACATATTCTCACTCATAGGTGGGAATTGAACAATGATAACACATGGACACAGGAAGGGGAACATCACACACTGGGGCCTGTTGTGGGTTGTGGGGAGGGGGGAGGGATAGCATTGGGAGATATACCTAATGTTAGATGACGAGTTAGTGGGTGCAGCGCACCAGCATGGCACATGTATACATATGCAACTAACCTGCACATTGTGCACATGTATCCTAAAACTTAAAGTACAATAATAATAAATAAATAAAAATTAAAAAAAGAGTGTTTCAAAACTACTCTATCAACAGAAAATTTCAACTCTGTGAGTTGAATGCACACAGTACAAAAAAGTTTCTGAGAATGCTCCTGTCTAGTTTTTATGTGAGGATATTTCCTTTTCCACCATAGGCCTCAAAGCACTCCAAATATCCACATTCAGATTCTAGAAAAAGGGTGTCGCGAAACTGTTCTATCAAAAAAAAAAAAAAAAAGTTCACCTCTGTGAGTTCAATGCATACATCACAAATAAGTTTCTGAGAATGCTTCTGTTGAGTTTTAATGTGAAAATATTTCCTTTTCCACTATAGGCCTCAAAACGCTCCAAATATCCACGTTCAGATTCTAGAAAAAGAGTGTTTCAGTGAAGATATTTCCTTTTCCACCATAGGCCTCAAAACGCTAAAAATATCCACTTTCAGTTTCTACAAAAAGAGTGTTTCAAAACTCGTATTTCAAAGAAATGTTCAACACTGTGAGTAGAACGCACTCATCGAAAGAAGTTTCTGGGAATGCTTCTGTCTAATTTTTATGTGAGGATATTTCCTTTCCCACCATAGACCTCAAAGCTCTCCAAATATCCAGTTGCAGATTCCACAAAAAGAGAGTTTCAAAACTGCTCTAACAAAACAAAGGTTCAACTTTGTGAGATGAATGAACACATCAGAAATAAGTTTCTGAGAATGTTTCTGATCTAGTTTTTATATGAAGGTGTTTCCCTTTCCACCATAGGCCTCAAAGCACTCCAAATATTCACTTGCAGATTCTACAAAAGGAGTGTTTCAAAACTGCTCAATCAAAGGAAAATTTCAACTCTGTGAGTTGAATACACACAACACAAAGAAGTTTCTGAGAATGCTTCTGTCTAGTTTTCATTTGATGATATTTCCTTTTCCACCATAGGCCTCAGAGCACTCCAAATATCCACTTGCAGATCCTACAAAAAGAGTGTTTCAAAACTGCTCTATCAAGAGAAAGGTTCAGCTCTGTGAGTTGAATTCACTCATCACAAAGAAGTTTCGGAGAATGCTTTTCTCTAGTTTTTATGTGAAGATATTTCCTTTACCACCATAGGCCTCAAAGCGCTCCAAATATGCACTTGCAGATTCTATAAAAAGAGTGTTTTAAAACTGCTCTATCATAAGGAAGGTTCAACTCTCTGAGGTGAATGGACTCATCACCAAGAAGTTTCTGAGAATGCATCTGTCCAGTTTTTATGTGAAGATATTTCCTTTTCCGCCAAAGGCCTCAAACCCTCCAAATATCCACTTGCAGATACTACAAAAATAGTGTTTCAAAACTGCTCAATCAAACGAAATATTCAACTCGGTGAGTTGAATGCACACAACACAAAGATGTTTCTGAGAATGCTTCAGTCAAGTTTTAATGTGAGGATATTTACTTTTCCAACATAGGCCTCAAATCGCTCCAGAATCCATTTTCAGAATCTACGAAAAGAGTGTTTCAAAATTGCTCCATAAAAAGAAACTTTCAACTTTTTGAATAGAATGCACTCATCACAAAGTAGTTTCTGAGAATGTTTCTGTCAACTTTTTATGTGAAGATATTTTGTTTTCCTCCATAGGCCACAAAGCGATCCAAATATCCACTTGCATATTCTAAAAAAAAAGTGTTTCAAAACTGCTATTCAAAACAAAGGTTTAACACTGCGAGTTGAATGCACACATTACAAGAAAGATTCTGAGAATGCTTCTGTCTAGTTTTTATGTGAAGATAGTTCCTATTACACCATAGGCATCAAAGCGCTTCAAATATCCACTGGCAGATTCTACAAAAAGAGTGTTTCAAAACTGCTCAATCAAAGGAATGGTTCAACTCCGTGCGTTGAATTTACACAACACAAACAAGTCTCTGAGAATGCTTCTGTCGAGTTTTTATATGAGGATATTTGTTTTTCCACCATAGGCCTCAAAGCGCTGCAAATATCCACTTGCAGATTCTACAAAAAGTGTGTTTCAAAACTGATCTATCTAAAGAAAGTTTGAACAGTGTGAGTTGAATGCACACATCACAAAGGAGTTTCTAAGAATGCTTCTGCTCCAGTCTTTTTGTGAAGGTGTTTCCTTTTCCACCATAGGCCTCAAAGTGCTCCAAATATCCACTTGCAGATTCTACAAAAAGAGTGTTTCAAAACTGCTCAATCAAAGGAAAAATACAACTCTGTGAGTTGAATGCACACAACACAAATTAGTTACTGACAATGCATCTGCCTAGTTTCTATGTGAAGATATTTCCTTTTCCACCATAGGCCTCAAAGCACTCCAAATATCCACTTTCAGATTCTAGAAAAAGAGTGTTTTAAAACTGCTCTATCAAAAGAAAGGCTCAACTCTGTGAGTTGAATGCACTTATCACAAAGAAGTTTCTGAGAATGCTTCCATCTAGTTTTTATGTGAAGATATTTCCTTTTCCTCCATAGGCCTAAAAGCGCTCCAAATATCCAATTTCAGATTCTAGAAAAAGAGTGTTTTAAAACTGCTCTATCAAAAGAAAGGCTCAACTCTGTGGGTTGAATGCACTTATCACAAAGAAGTTTCTGAGAATGCTTCTGTCTAGTTTTTATGTGAAGATATTTCCTTTTCTACTATAAGCCTCAAAGCGCTCCAAATATCTACTTGCAGATTCTATAAAAAGAGTGTTTCAAAACTGCTCTATGAAAGAAAGGTTCAACTCTGTGAGTTGAATTCACACATCGCAAAGAACTTTCTGAGAATACTTCTGTCTAGTCTTTATGTGAAGATATTTCCTTTTACACCATAGGCCTTAAACCGCTCCAAATGTCCACTTGCAGATTCTACAAAAAGACTTTTTCAAAACTGCTCAATCAAAGGAAAGGTCAACTCTGTGAGTTGAATGCACACAACACAAACAAGTTTCTGAGCATGCTGTGTCTAGTTTTTATGTGTGGATATTTCCTTTTCCACCGTAGGCATCAAAGCCCTCCAAATATCCAATTGCAGATTCTACAAAAATAGTGTTTCAAAACTGCTCTATCAAAAAACTCAAAGAGTTGAATGCACACATCACAAAGAAGTTTCTGAGAATTCTTCTGCTATAGTTTTTTTGTAAAGGTGTTTCCTTTTCCACTATAGGCCTCAAAGCGCTCCAAATATCCACTTTCAGATTCCAGAAAAAGAGTGTTTTAAAACTGCTCTATCAACAGAAAGGTTCAAATCTGTGAGTTGAATGCACACATCACAAAGAAGTTTCTGAGAATGCTTCTTTCTAGTTTTTATGTGAAGATATTTCCTTTTCCACCATAAGCCTCAAAGCGCTCCAAATATCTACTTGCAGATTCTACAAAAAGAGTGTTTCAAAACTGCTCTACGAAAGAAAGGTTCAACTCTGTGAGTTGATTTCACACATCACAAAGAAGTTTCTGAGAATGCTTCTGTATAGTTTTTATGTGAAGATATTTCCTTTTACACCATAGGCCTCAAACTGCTCCAAATATCCACTTGTGGATTATACAAAAAGACTTTCTCAAAACTGCTCAATCAAAGGAAAGGTTCAACTCTGTGAGTTGAATGCACACAACACAAACAAGTTTCTGAGAATGCTGCTGTCTAGATTTTATGTGCGGATATTTCGTTTTCCACCATAGGCATCAAAGCCCTCCAAATATCCAACTGCAGATTGTACAAAAATAGTGTTTCAAAACTGCTCTATCAAAAAAAAGGTTCAAATCTGTGAGTTGAATGCACACATCACAAAGAAGTTTCTGAGAATGCTTCTGCTCTAGTTTTTTTTGTGAAGGTGTTTCCTTTTCCACCATAGGCCTCAAAGCGCTCCAAATATCCACTTTCAGATTCCTGAAAAAGAGTGTTTCAAAACTCCTCTATCAACATAAATGTTCAACTCTGTGAGTTGAATGCACTCATCACAAAGATAGTTCTGAGAATGCTTCCGCCTAGTTTTTATGTGTAGGTATTTCCTTTTCCACCATAGGCCTCAGAGCACTCCAAATATCCACTTTCAGATTCTAGAAAAAGAGTGATTTAAAACTGCTCTATCAACAGAAAGGTTCGACTCTGTGAGTTGAATGCACTTATCACAAAGAAGTTTCTGAGAATGCTTCTGTCTAGTTTTTATGTGAAGATATTTCCTTTTCCACCATAAGCCTCAAAGCGCTCCAAATATCTACTTACAGATTCTACAAAAAGAGTTTCAAAACTGCTCTACAAAAGAAAGGTTCAACTCTATGAGTTGAATTCACACATCACAAAGAAGTTTCAGAGAATGCTTCTGTCTAGTTTTTATGTGAAGATATTTCCTTTTACACCATAGGCCTCAAACCGCTCCAAATATCCACTTGCAGATTCTGCAAAAAGACTTTTTCAAAACTGCTCAATCAAAGGAAAGCTCAACTCTGTGAGTTGAATGCACACAACACAAACAAGTTTCTGAGAATGCTGCTGTCTAGTTTTTATGTGCGGATATTTCCTTTTCCACCATAGGCATCAAAGCGCTCCAAATATCCAACTGCAGATTCTACAAAAAGAGTGTTTCAAAACTGCTCTATCAAAGAAAGGTTCAACTCTGTGAGTTGAATGCACACATCACAAAGACGTTTCTGAGAATGCTTCTGCTCTAGTTTTTTTGTGAAGGTGTTTCCTTTTCCACCATAGGCCTCAAAGCGCTCCAAATATCCACTTGCAGATTCTTCAGAAAGAGTGTTTCAAAACTGCTCAATCATAGGAAAAGTTCAACTCTGTGAGTTGAATGCACACAACACAAAGAAGTTTCTGAGAATGCTTCTGTCTGGTTTTTATGTGAAGATATTTCCTTTTACACCATAGGCCTCAAACTGCTCCAAATATCCACTTGTGGATTCTACAAAAAGACTTTTTCGAAACTGCTCAATCAAAGGAAAGGTTCAACTCTGTGAGTTGAATGCACACAACACAAACAAGTTTCTGAGAATGCTGCTGTCTAGATTTTATGTGCGGATATTTCGTTTTCCACCATAGGCATCAAAGCGCTCCAAATATCCAACCGCAGATTGTACAAAAATAGTGTTTCAAAACTGCTCTATCAAAAAAAAAGCTTCAACTCTGTGAGTTGAATGCACACATCACAAAGAAGTTCCTGAGAATGCTTCTGCTCTAGTTTTTTTTGTGAAGGTGTTTCCTTTTCCACTATAGGCCTCAAAGCGCTCCAAATATCCACTTTCAGATTCCTGAAAAAGAGTGTTTTAAAACTCCTCTATCAACATAAATGTTCAACTCTGTGAGTTGAATGCACTCATCACAAAGATATTTCTGAGAATGCTTCCGCCTAGTTTTTATGTGTAGGTATTTCCTTTTCCACCATAGGCCTCAGAGCACTCCAAATATCCACTTTCAGATTCTAGAAAAAGAGTGATTTAAAACTGCTCTATCAACAGAAAGGTTCGACTCTGTGAGTTGAATGCACTTATCACAAAGAAGTTTCTGAGAATGCTTCTGTCTAGTTTTTATGTGAAGATATTTCCTTTTCCACCATAAGCCTCAAAGCGCTCCAAATATCTACTTACAGATTCTACAAAAAGAGTTTCAAAACTGCTCTACAAAAGAAAGGTTCAACTCTGTGAGTTGAATTCACACATCACAAAGAAGTTTCAGAGAATGCTTCTGTCTAGTTTTTATGTGAAGATATTTCCTTTTACACCATAGGCCTCAACGCTCCAATATCCACTGCAGTTCTGCAAAAGACTTTTCAAACTGCTCATCNAAGAAAGTCACTCTGTGAGTCACTCTGGAGTGAATCACCATCACNAAGAGTTCAGAGATGCTTCTGTCAGTTTTTATGTGAAGATATTTCCTTTTACACCATAGGCCTCAAACCGCTCCAAATATCCACTTGCAGATTCTGCAAAAAGACTTTTTCAAAACTGCTCAATCAAAGGAAAGGTCAACTCTGTGAGTTGAATGCACACAACACAAACAAGTTTCTGAGAATGCTGCTGTCTAGTTTTTATGTGCGGATATTTCCTTTTCCACCATAGGCATCAAAGCGCTCGAAATATCCAACTGCAGATTCTACAAAAAGAGTGTTTCAAAACTGCTCTATCAAAGAAAGGTTCAACTCTGTGAGTTGAATGCACACATCACAAAGACGTTTCTGAGAATGCTTCTGCTCTAGTTTTTTTGTGAAGGTGTTTCCTTTTCCACCATAGGCCTCAAAGCGCTCCAAATATCCACTTGCAGATTCTTCAGAAAGAGTGTTTCAAAACTGCTCAATCATAGGAAAAGTTCAACTCTGTGAGTTGAATGCACACAACACAAAGAAGTTTCTGAGAATGCTTCTGTCTAGTTTTTATGTGAAGATATTTCCTTTTACACCATAGGCCTCAAACTGCTCCAAATATCCACTTGTGGATTCTACAAAAAGACTTTTTCAAAACTGCTCAATCAAAGGAAAGGTTCAACTCTGTGAGTTGAATGCACACAACACAAACAAGTTTCTGAGAATGCTGCTGTCTAGATTTTATGTGCGGATATTTCGTTTTCCACCATAGGCATCAAAGCGCTCCAAATATCCAACCGCAGATTGTACAAAAATAGTGTTTCAAAACTGCTCTATCCAAAAAAAAGTTCAACTCTGTGAGTTGAATGCACACATCACAAAGAAGTTCCTGAGAATGCTTCTGCTCTAGTTTTTTTTGTGAAGGTGTTTCCTTTTCCACCATAGGCCTCAAAGCGCTCCAAATATCCACTTTCAGATTCCTGAAAAAGAGTGTTTTAAAACTCCTCTATCAACATAAATGTTCAACTCTGTGAGTTGAATGCACTCATCACAAAGATATTTCTGAGAATGCTTCCGCCTAGTTTTTATGTGTAGGTATTTCCTTTTCCACCATAGGCCTCAGAGCACTCCAAATATCCACTTTCAGATTCTAGAAAAAGAGTGATTTAAAACTGCTCTATCAACAGAAAGGTTCGACTCTGTGAGTTGAATGCACTTATCACAAAGAAGTTTCTGAGAATGCTTCTGTCTAGTTTTTATGTGAAGATATTTCCTTTTCCACCATAAGCCTCAAAGCGCTCCAAATATCTACTTACAGATTCTACAAAAAGAGTTTCAAAACTGCTCTACAAAAGAAAGGTTCAACTCTGTGAGTTGAATTCACACATCACAAAGAAGTTTCAGAGAATGCTTCTGTCTAGTTTTTATGTGAAGATATTTCCTTTTACACCATAGGCCTCAAACCGCTCCAAATATCCACTTGCAGATTCTGCAAAAAGACTTTTTCAAAACTGCTCAATCAAAGGAAAGGTCAACTCTGTGAGTTGAATGCACACAACACAAACAAGTTTCTGAGATTGCTGCTGTCTAGTTTTTATGTGAGGATATTTCCTTTTCCACCATAGGCATCAAAGCGCTCCAAATATCCAACTGCAGATTCTACAAAAAGAGTGTTTCAAAACTGCTCTATCAAAGAAAGGTTCAACTATGTGAGTTGAATTCAGACATCACAAAGACGTTTCTGAGAATGCTTCTGCTCTAGTTTTTTTGTGAAGGTGTTTCCTTTTCCACCATAGGCCTCAAAGCGCTCCAAATATCCACTTGCAGATTCTTCAGAAAGAGTGTTTCAAAACTGCTCAATCATAGGAAAAGTTCAACTCTGTGAGTTGAATGCACACAACACAAAGAAGTTTCTGAGAATGCTTCTGTCTAGTTTTTATGTGAAGATATTTCCTTTTACACCATAGGCCTCAAACTGCTCCAAATATCCACTTGTGGATTCTACAAAAAGTCTTTTTCAAAACTGCTCAATCAAAGGAAAGGTTCAACTCTGTGAGTTGAATGCACACAACACAAACAAGTTTCTGAGAATGCTGCTGTCTAGATTTTATGTGCGGATATTTCGTTTTCCACCATAGGCATCAAAGCGCTCCAAACATCCAACTGCAGATTGTACAAAAATAGTGTTTCAAAACTGCTCTATCAAAAAAAAAGGTTCAACTCTGTGAGTTGAATGCACACATCACAAAGAAGTTCCTGAGAATGCTTCTGCTCTAGTTTTTTTTGTGAAGGTGTTTCCTTTTCCACCATAGGCCTCAAAGCGCTCCAAATATCCCCTTCAGATTCCTGAAAAAGAGTGTTTTAAAACTCCTCTATCAACATAAATGTTCAACTCTGTGAGTTGAATGCACTCATCACAAAGATATTTCTGAGAATGCTTCCGCCTAGTTTTTATGTGTAGGTATTTCCTTTTCCACCATAGGCCTCAGAGCACTCCAAATATCCACTTTCAGATTCTAGAAAAAGAGTGATTTAAAACTGCTCTATCAACAGAAAGGTTCGACTCTGTGAGTTGAATGCACTTATCACAAAGAAGTTTCTGAGAATGCTTCTGTCTAGTTTTTATGTGAAGATATTTCCTTTTCCACCATAAGCCTCAAAGCGCTCCAAATATCTACTTACAGATTCTACAAAAAGAGTTTCAAAACTGCTCTACAAAAGAAAGGTTCAACTCTGTGAGTTGAATTCACACATCACAAAGAAGTTTCAGAGAATGCTTCTGTCTAGTTTTTATGTGAAGATATTTCCTTTTACACCATAGGCCTCAAACCGCTCCAAATATCCACTTGCAGATTCTGCAAAAAGACTTTTTCAAAACTGCTCAATCAAAGGAAAGCTCAACTCTGTGAGTTGAATGCACACAACACAAACAAGTTTCTGAGAATGCTGCTGTCTAGTTTTTATGTGCGGATATTTCCTTTTCCACCATAGGCATCAAAGCGCTCCAAATATCCAACTGCAGATTCTACAAAAAGAGTGTTTCAAAACTGCTCTATCAAAGAAAGGTTCAACTCTGTGAGTTGAATGCACACATCACAAAGACGTTTCTGAGAATGCTTCTGCTCTAGTTTTTTTGTGAAGGTGTTTCCTTTTCCACCATAGGCCTCAAAGCGCTCCAAATATCCACTTGCAGATTCTTCAGAAAGAGTGTTTCAAAACTGCTCAATCATAGGAAAAGTTCAACTCTGTGAGTTGAATGCACACAACACAAAGAAGTTTCTGAGAATGCTTCTGTCTAGTTTTCATGTGAAGATATTTCCTTTTACACCAGAGGCCTCAAACTGCTCCAAATATCCACTTGTGGATTCTACAAAAAGACTTTTTCAAAACTGCTCAATCAAAGGAAAGGTTCAACTCTGTGAGTTGAATTCACACAACACAAACAAGTTTCTGAGAATGCTGCTGTCTAGATTTTATGTGCGGATATTTCGTTTTCCACCATAGGCATCAAAGCGCTCCAAATATCCAACCGCAGATTGTACAAAAATAGTGTTTCAAAACTGCTCTATCCAAAAAAAAGTTTCAACTCTGTGAGTTGAATGCACACATCACAAAGAATCTTCTGAGAATGCTTCTGCTCTAGTTTTTTTTGTGAAGGTGTTTCCTTTTCCACCAAAGTCCTCAAAGCGCTCCAAATATCCACTTTCAGATTCCTGAAAAAGAGTGTTTTAAAACTCCTCTATCAACATAAATGTTCAACTCTGTGAGTTGAATGCACTCATCACAAAGATATTTCTGAGAATGCTTCCGCCTAGTTTTTATGTGTAGGTATTTCCTTTTCCACCATAGGCCTCAGAGCACTCCAAATATCCACTTTCAGATTCTAGAAAAAGAGTGATTTAAAACTGCTCTATCAACAGAAAGGTTCGACTCTGTGAGTTGAATGCACTTATCACAAAGAAGTTTCTGAGAATGCTTCTGTCTAGTTTTTATGTGAAGATATTTCCTTTTCCACCATAAGCCTCAAAGCGCTACAAATATCTACTTACAGATTCTACAAAAAGAGTTTCAAAACTGCTCTACAAAAGAAAGGTTCAACTCTGTGAGTTGAATTCACACATCACAAAGAAGTTTCAGAGAATGCTTCTGTCTAGTTTTTATGTGAAGATATTTCCTTTTACACCATAGGCCTCAAACCGCTCCAAATATCCACTTGCAGATTCTGCAAAAAGACTTTTCAAAACTGCTCAATCAAAGGAAAGCTCACTCTGTGAGTTGATGCACACACACAAACAGTTCTGAGATGCGCTGTCTAGTTTTTATGTGCGACATAGCATCAAGCGCTCNAATATCCACTGCAGATCTACAAAAGAGTGTTCAAACTGCTCTTCNAAGAAGGTCACTCTGTGAGTGAATGCACCATCACANGACGTTCTGAGATGCTCTGCTCTAGTTTTTTGGAAGGTGTTCCTTTCCACCATAGCCTCAAAGCGCTCCANATATCCACTGCAGATTCTTCAGAAAGAGTGTTTCAAAACTGCTCAATCATAGGAAAAGTTCAACTCTGTGAGTTGAATGCACACAACACAAAGAAGTTTCTGAGAATGCTTCTGTCTAGTTTTTATGTGAAGATATTTCCTTTTACACCATAGGCCTCAAACTGCTCCAAATATCCACTTGTGGATTCTACAAAAAGACTTTTTCAAAACTGCTCAATCAAAGGAAAGGTTCAACTCTGTGACTTGAATGCACACAACACAAACAAGTTTCTGAGAATGCTGCTGTCTAGATTTTATGTGCGGATATTTCGTTTTCCACCATAGGCATCAAAGCGCTCCAAACATCCAACCGCAGATTGTACAAAAATAGTGTTTCAAAACTGCTCTATCAAAAAAAAAGGTTCAACTCTGTGAGTTGAATGCACACATCACAAAGAAGTTCCTGAGAATGCTTCTGCTCTAGTTTTCTTTGAGTAGGTGTTTCCTTTTCCACCATAGGCCTCAAAGCGCTCCAAATATCCACTTTCAGATTCCTGAAAAAGAGTGTTTTAAAACTCCTCTATCAACATATATGTTCAACTCTGTGAGTTGAATGCACTCATCACAAAGATATTTCTGAGAATGCTTCCGCCTAGTTTTTATGTGTAGGTATTTCCTTTTCCACCATAGGCCTCAGAGCACTCCAAATATCCACTTTCAGATTCTAGAAAAAGAGTGATTTAAAACTGCTCTATCAACAGAAAGGTTCGACTCTGTGAGTTGAATGCACTTATCACAAAGAAGTTTCTGAGAATGCTTCTGTCTAGTTTTTATGTGAAGATATTTCCTTTTCCACCATAAGCCTCAAAGCGCTCCAAATATCTACTTACAGATTCTACAAAGGAGTTTCAAAACTGCTCTGCAAAAGAAAGGTTCAACTCTGTGAGTTGAATTCACACATCACAAAGAAGTTTCAGAGAATGCTTCTGTCTAGTTTTTATGTGAAGATATTTCCTTTTCCACCATAAGACTCAAAGCGCTCCAAATATCTACTTACAGATTCTACAAAAAGAGTTTCAAAACTGCTTTACAAAAGAAAGGTTCAACTCTGTGAGTTGAATGCACACATCACAAAGAAGTTTCTGAGAATGCTTCTGTCTGGTTTTTATGTGAAGATATTTCCTTTTACACCATAGGCCTCAAACCGCTCCAAATATCCACTTGCGGATTCTACAAAAAGACTTTTTCAAAACTGCTCAATCAAAGGAAAGGTTCAACTCTGTGAGTTGAATGCACACAACACAAACAAGTTTCTGAGAATGCTGCTGTCTAGATTTTATGTGCGGATATTTCGTTTTCCACCATAGGCATCAAAGCGCTGCAAATATCCAACCGCAGATTGTACAAAAATAGTGTTTCAAAACTGCTCTATCAAAAAAAAAGGTTCAACTCTGTGAGTTGAATGCACACATCACAAAGAAGATTCTGAGAATGCTTCTGCTCTAGTTTTTTTGTGAAGGTGTTTCCTTTTCCACCATAGGCCTCAAAGCGCTCCAAATATCCACTTGCAGATTCTTCAGAAAGAGTGTTTCAAAACTGCTCAATCATAGGAAAAGTTCAACTCTGTGAGTTGAATGCACACAACACAAAGAAGTTTCTGAGAATGCTTCTGTCTGGTTTTTATGTGAAGATATTTCCTTTTACACCATAGGCCTCAAACTGCTCCAAATATCCACTTGTGGATTCTACAAAAAGACTTTTTCAAAGCTGCTCAATGAAAGGAAAGGTTCAACTCTGTGAGTTGAATGCACACAACACAAACAAGTTTCTGAGAATGCTGCTGTCTAGATTTTATGTGCGGATATTTCGTTTTCCACCATAGGCATCAAAGCGCTCCAAATATCCAACCGCAGATTGTACAAAAATAGTGTTTCAAAACTGCTCTATCAAAAAAAAAGGTTCAACTCTGTGAGTTGAATGCACACATCACAAAGAAGATTCTGAGAATGCTTCTGCTCTAGTTTTTTTGTGAAGGTGTTTCCTTTTCCACCATAGGCCTCAAAGCACTCCAAATATCCACTTGCAGATTCTTCAGAAAGAGTGTTTCAAAACTGCTCAATCATAGGAAAAGTTCAACTCTGTGAGTTGAATGCACACAACACAAAGAAGTTTCTGAGAATGCTTCTGTCTAGTTTTTATGTGAAAATATTTCCTCTTACACCATAGGCCTCAAACTGCTCCAAATATCCACTTGTGGATTCTATAAAAAGACTTTTTCAAAACTGCTCAATCAAAGGAAAGGTTCAACTCTGTGAGTTGAATGCACACAACACAAACAAGTTTCTGAGAATGCTGCTGTCTAGATTTTATGTGCGGAGATTTCGTTTTCCACCATAGGCATCAAAGCGCTCCAAACATCCAACCGCAGATTGTACAAAAATAGTGGAGTTCAAGACCAGCCTGGCTAACATGGTGAAACCCCGTCTCTATGGAAAAATACAAAAATTAGCTGGGCATGGTTATGGGCACCTGTAATTCCAGCTACTCGGGAGGCTGAGGTAGGAGAATCACTTGAACCCAGGAGGAAGAGGTTGCAGTGAGCCAAGATCACAACACTGCACTCCCACCTGGGTACAGAGCAAGACTCCAAGGTGTTTCCTTTTCCCCATAGGCCTCAAAGCGCTCCAAATATCCACTTTCAGATTCCTGAAAAAGAGTGTTTTAAAACTCCTCTATCAACATATATGTTCAACTCTGTGAGTTGAATGCACTCATCACAAAGATATTTCTGAGAATGCTTCCGCCTAGTTTTTATGTGTAGGTATTTCCTTTTCCACCATAGGCCTCAGAGCACTCCAAATATCCACTTTCAGATTCTAGAAAAAGAGTGATTTAAAACTGCTCTATCAACAGAAAGGTTCGACTCTGTGAGTTGAATGCACTTATCACAAAGAAGTTTCTGAGAATGCTTCTGTCTAGTTTTTATGTGAAGATATTTCCTTTTCCACCATAAGCCTCAAAGCGCTCCAAATATCTACTTACAGATTCTACAAAAAGAGTTTCAAAACTGCTCTACAAAAGAAAGGTTCAACTCTGTGAGTTGAATTCACACATCACAAAGAAGTTTCAGAGAATGCTTCTGTCTAGTTTTTATGTGAAGATATTTCCTTTTACACCATAGGCCTCAAACCGCTCCAAATATCCACTTGCAGATTCTGCAAAAAGACTTTTTCAAAACTGCTCAATCAAAGGAAAGGTCAACTCTGTGAGTTGAATGCACACAACACAAACAAGTTTCTGAGAATGCTGTTGCCTAGTTTTTATGTGCGGATATTTCCTTTTCCACCATAGGCATCAAAGCGCTCCAAATATCCAACTGCAGATTCTACAAAAAGAGTGTTTCAAAACTGCTCTATCAAAGAAAGGTTCAACTCTGTGAGTTGAATGCACACATCACAAAGACGTTTCTGAGAATGCTTCTGCTCTAGTTTTTTTGTGAAGGTGTTTCCTTTTCCACCATAGGCCTCAAAGCGCTCCAAATATCCACTTGCAGAATCTTCAGAAAGAGTGTTTCAAAACTGCTCAATCATAGGAAAAGTTCAACTCTGCGAGTTGAATGCACACAACACAAAGAAGTTTCTGAGAATGCTTCTGTCTGGTTTTTATGTGAAGATATTTCCTTTTACACCATAGGCCTCAAACTGCTCCAAATATCCACTTGTGGATTCTACAAAAAGACTTTTTCAAAACTGCTCAATCAAAGGAAAGGTTCAACTCTGTGAGTTGAATGCACACAACACAAACAAGTTTCTGAGAGTGCTGCTGTCTAGATTTTATGTGCGGATATTTCGTTTTCCACCATAGGCATCAAAGCGCTCCAAACATCCAACCGCAGATTGTACAAAAATAGTGTTTCAAAACTGCTCTATCAAAAAAAAAGGTTCAACTCTGTGAGTTGAATGCACACAGCACAAAGAAGTTTCTGAGAATGCTTCTGCTCTAGTTTTTTTTGTGAAGGTGTTTCCTTTTCCACCATAGGCCTCAAAGCGCTCCAAATATCCACTTTCAGATTTCTGAAAAAGAGTGTTTTAAAACTCCTCTATCAACATAAATATTCAACTCTGTGAGTTGAATGCACTCATCACAAAGATATTTCTGAGAATGCTTCCGCCTAGTTTTTATGTGTAGGTATTTCCTTTTCCACCATAGGCCTCAGAGCACTCCAAATATCCACTTTCAGATTCTAGAAAAAGAGTGATTTAAAACTGCTCTATCAACAGAAAGGTTCGACTCTGTGAGTTGAATGCACTTACCACAAAGAAGTTTCTGAGAATGCTTCTGTCTAGTTTTTATGTGAAGTTATTTCCTTTTCCACCATAAGCCTCAAAGCGCTCCAAATATCTACTTACAGATTCTACAAAAAGAGTTTCAAAACTGCTTTACAAAAGAAAGGTTCAACTCTGTGAGTTGAATTCACACATCACAAAGAAGTTTCAGAGAATGCTTCTGTCTAGTTTTTATGTGAAGTTATTTCCTTTTACACCATAGGCCTCAAACCGCTCCAAATATCCACTTGCAGATTCTGCAAAAAGACTTTTTCAAAACTGCTCAATCAAAGGAAAGGTCAACTCTGTGAGTTGAATGCACACAACACAAACAAGTTTCTGAGAATGCTGCTGCCTAGTTTTTATGTGCGGATATTTCCTTTTCCACCATAGGCATCAAAGCGCTCCAAATATCCAACTGCAGATTCTACAAAAAGAGTGTTTCAAAACTGCTCTATCAAAGAAAGGTTCAACTCTGTGAGTTGAATGCACACATCACAAAGACGTTTCTGAGAATGCTTCTGCTCTAGTTTTTTGTGAAGGTGTTTCCTTATCACCATAGGCCTCAAAGCGCTCCAAATATCCACTTGCAGAATCTTCAGAAAGAGTGTTTCAAAACTGCTCAATCATAGGAAAAGTTCAACTCTGCGAGTTGAATGCACACAACACAAAGAAGTTTCTGAGAATGCTTCTGTCTGGTTTTTATGTGAAGATATTTCCTTTTACACCATAGGCCTCAAACTGCTCCAAATATCCACTTGTGGATTCTACAAAAAGTCTTTTTCAAAACTGCTCAATCAAAGGAAAGGTTCAACTCTGTGAGTTGAATGCACACAACACAAACAAGTTTCTGAGAGTGCTGCTGTCCAGATTTTATGTGCGGATATTTCGTTTTCCACCATAGGCATCAAAGCGCTCCAAACATCCAACCGCAGATTGTACAAAAATAGTGTTTCAAAACTGCTCTATCAAAAAAAAAGTTTCAACTCTGTGAGTTGAATGCACACAGCACAAAGAAGTTTCTGAGAATGCTTCTGCTCTAGTTTTTTTTGTGAAGGTGTTTCCTTTTCCACCATAGGCCTCAAAGCGCTCCAAATATCCACTTTCAGATTTCTGAAAAAGAGTGTTTTAAAACTCCTCTATCAACATAAATATTCAACTCTGTGAGTTGAATGCACTCATCACAAAGATATTTCTGAGAATGCTTCCGCCTAGTTTTTATGTGTAGGTATTTCCTTTTCCACCATAGGCCTCAGAGCACTCCAAATATCCACTTTCAGATTCTAGAAAAAGAGTGATTTAAAACTGCTCTATCAACAGAAAGGTTCGACTCTGTGAGTTGAATGCACTTATCACAAAGAAGTTTCTGAGAATGCTTCTGTCTAGTTTTTATGTGAAGATATTTCCTTTTCCACCATAAGCCTCAAAGCGCTCCAAATATCTACTTACAGATTCTACAAAAAGAGTTTCAAAACTGCTTTACAAAAGAAAGGTTCAACTCTGTGAGTTGAATTCGCACATCACAAAGAAGTTTCAGAGAATGCTTCTGTCTAGTTTTTATGTGAAGATATTTCCTTTTACACCATAGGCCTCAAACCGCTCCAAATATCCACTTGCAGATTCTGCAAAAAGACTTTTTCAAAACTGCTCAATCAAAGGAAAGGTCAACTCTGTGAGTTGAATGCACACAACACAAACAAGTTTCTGAGAATGCTGCTGTCTAGTTTTTATGTGCGGATATTTCCTTTTCCACCATAGGCATCAAAGCGCTCCAAATATCCAACTGCAGATTCTACAAAAAGAGTGTTTCAAAACTGCTCTATCAAAGAAAGGTTCAACTCTGTGAGTTGAATGCACACATCACAAAGACGTTTCTGAGAATGCTTCTGCTCTAGTTTTTTTGTGAAGGTGTTTCCTTTTCCACCATAGGCCTCAAAGCGCTCCAAATATCCACTTGCAGAATCTTCAGAAAGAGTGTTTCAAAACTGCTCAATCATAGGAAAAGTTCAACTCTGCGAGTTGAATGCACACAACACAAAGAAGTTTCTGAGAATGCTTCTGTCTGGTTTTTATGTGAAGATATTTCCTTTTACACCATAGGCCTCAAACTGCTCCAAATATCCACTTGTGGATTCTACAAAAAGACTTTTTCAAAACTGCTCAATCAAAGGAAAGGTTCAACTCTGTGAGTTGAATGCACACAACACAAACAAGTTTCTGAGAATGCTGCTGTCTAGATTTTATGTGCGGATATTTCGTTTTCCACCATAGACATCAAAGCGCTCCAAATATCCAACTGCAGATTGTACAAAAATAGTGTTTCAAAACTGCTCTATCAAAAAAAAAGATTCAACTCTGTGAGTTGAATGCACACATCACAAAGAAGTTCCTGAGAATGCTTCTGCTCTAGTTTTCTTTGTGAAGGTGTTTCCTTTTCCACCATAGGCCTCAAAGCGCTCCAAATATCCACTTTCAGATTCCTGAAAAAGAGTGTTTTAAAACTCCTCTATCAACATATATGTTCAACTCTGTGAGTTGAATGCACTCATCACAAAGATATTTCTGAGAATGCTTCCGCCTAGTTTTTATGTGTAGGTATTTCCTTTTCCACCATAGGCCTCAGAGCACTCCAAATATCCACTTTCAGATTCTAGAAAAAGAGTGATTTAAAACTGCTCTATCAACAGAAAGGTTCGACTCTGTGAGTTGAATGCACTTATCACAAAGAAGTTTCTGAGAATGCTTCTGTCTAGTTTTATGTGAAGTTATTCCCTCGTCCACCATAAGCCTCAAAGCGCTCCAAATATCTACTTACAGATTCTACAAAAAGAGTTTCAAAACTGCTTTACAAAAGAAAGGTTCAACTCTGTGAGTTGAATTCACACATCACAAAGAAGTTTCAGAGAATGCTTCTGTCTAGTTTTTATGTGAAGATATTTCCTTTTACACCATAGGCCTCAAACCGCTCCAAATATCCACTTGCAGATTCTGCAAAAAGACTTTTTCAAAACTGCTCAATCAAAGGAAAGGTCAACTCTGTGAGTTGAATGCACACAACACAAACAAGTTTCTGAGAATGCTGCTGCCTAGTTTTTATGTGCGGATATTTCCTTTTCCACCATAGGCATCAAAGCGCTCCAAATATCCAACTGCAGATTCTACAAAAAGAGTGTTTCAAAACTGCTCTATCAAAGAAAGGTTCAACTCTGTGAGTTGAATGCACACATCACAAAGACGTTTCTGAGAATGCTTCTGCTCTAGTTTTTTTGTGAAGGTGTTTCCTTTTCCACCATAGGCCTCAAAGCGCTCCAAATATCCACTTGCAGAATCTTCAGAAAGAGTGTTTCAAAACTGCTCAATCATAGGAAAAGTTCAACTCTGCGAGTTGAATGCACACAACACAAAGAAGTTTCTGAGAATGCTTCTGTCTGGTTTTTATGTGAAGATATTTCCTTTTACACCATAGGCCTCAAACTGCTCCAAATATCCACTTGTGGATTCTACAAAAAGACTTTTTCAAAACTGCTCAATCAAAGGAAAGGTTGAACTCTGTGAGTTGAATGCACACAACACAAACAAGTTTCTGAGAATGCTGCTGTCTAGATTTTATGTGCGGATATTTCGTTTTCCACCATAGGCATCAAAGCGCTCCAAATATCTAACCGCAGATTGTACAAAAATAGTGTTTCAAAACTGCTCTATCAAAAAAAAAGGTTCAACTCTGTGAGTTCAATGCACACATCACAAAGAAGTTCCTGAGAATGCTTCTGCTCTAGTTTTTTTTGTGAAGGTGTTTCCTTTTCCACCATAGGCCTCAAAGCGCTCCAAATATCCACTTTCAGATTCCTGAAAAAGAGTGTTTTAAAACTCCTCTATCAACATAAATGTTCAACTCTGTGAGTTGAATGCACTCATCACAAAGATATTTCTGAGAATGCTTCCGCCTAGTTTTTATGTGTAGGTATTTCCTTTTCCACCATAGGCCTCAGAGCACTCCAAATATCCACTTTCAGATTCTAGAAAAAGAGTGATTTAAAACTGCTCTATCAACAGAAAGGTTCGACTCTGTGAGTTGAATGCACTTATCACAAAGAAGTTTCTGAGAATGCTTCTGTCTAGTTTTTATGTGAAGATATTTCCTTTTCCACCATAAGCCTCAAAGCGCTCCAAATATCTACTTACAGATTCTACAAAAAGAGTTTCAAAACTGCTCTACAAAAGAAAGGTTCAACTCTGTGAGTTGAATTCACACATCACAAAGAAGTTTCAGAGAATGCTTCTGTCTAGTTTTTATGTGAAGATATTTCCTTTTACACCATAGGCCTCAAACCGCTCCAAATATCCACTTGCAGATTCTGCAAAAAGACTTTTTCAAAACTGCTCAATCAAAGGAAAGCTCAACTCTGTGAGTTGAATGCACACAACACAAACAAGTTTCTGAGAATGCTGCTGTCTAGTTTTTATGTGCGGATATTTCCTTTTCCACCATAGGCATCAAAGCGCTCCAAATATCCAACTGCAGATTCTACAAAAAGAGTGTTTCAAAACTGCTCTATCAAAGAAAGGTTCAACTCTGTGAGTTGAATGCACACATCACAAAGACGTTTCTGAGAATGCTTCTGCTCTAGTTTTTTTGTGAAGGTGTTTCCTTTTCCACCATAGGCCTCAAAGCGCTCCAAATATCCACTTGCAGATTCTTCAGAAAGAGTGTTTCAAAACTGCTCAATCATAGGAAAAGTTCAACTCTGTGAGTTGAATGCACACAACACAAAGAAGTTTCTGAGAATGCTTCTGTCTAGTTTTTATGTGAAGATATTTCCTTTTACACCATAGGCCTCAAACTGCTCCAAATATCCACTTGTGGATTCTACAAAAAGACTTTTTCAAAACTGCTCAATCAAAGGAAAGGTTCAACTCTGTGAGTTGAATGCACACAACACAAACAAGTTTCTGAGAATGCTGCTGTCTAGATTTTATGTGCGGATATTTCGTTTTCCACCATAGGCATCAAAGCGCTCCAAATATCCAACCGCAGATTGTACAAAAATAGTGTTTCAAAACTGCTCTATCCAAAAAAAAAGGTTCAACTCTGTGAGTTGAATGCACACATCACAAAGAAGTTCCTGAGAATGCTTCTGCTCTAGTTTTTTTTGTGAAGGTGTTTCCTTTTCCACCATAGGCCTCAAAGCGCTCCAAATATCCACTTTCAGATTCCTGAAAAAGAGTGTTTTAAAACTCCTCTATCAACATAAATGTTCAACTCTGTGAGTTGAATGCACTCATCACAAAGATATTTCTGAGAATGCTTCCGCCTAGTTTTTATGTGTAGGTATTTCCTTTTCCACCATAGGCCTCAGAGCACTCCAAATATCCACATTCAGATTATAGAAAAAGAGTGATTTAAAACTGCTCTATCAAAGAAAGGTTCAACTCTGTGAGTTGAATGCACACATCACAAAGACGTTTCTGAGAATGCTTCTGCTCTAGTTTTTTTGTGAAGGTGTTTCCTTTTCCACCATAGGCCTCAAAGCGCTCCAAATATCCACTTGCAGATTCTTCAGAAAGAGTGTTTCAAAACTGCTCAATCATAGGAAAAGTTCAACTCTGTGAGTTGAATGCACACAACACAAAGAAGTTTCTGAGAATGCTTCTGTCTAGTTTTTATGTGAAGATATTTCCTTTTACACCATAGGCCTCAAACTGCTCCAAATATCCACTTGTGGATTCTACAAAAAGACTTTTTCAAAACTGCTCAATCAAAGGAAAGGTTCAACTCTGTGAGTTGAATGCACACAACACAAAGAAGTTTCTGAGAATGCTGCTGTCTAGATTTTATGTGCGGATATTTCGTTTTCCACCATAGGCATCAAAGCGCTCCAAATATCCAACCGCAGATTGTACAAAAATAGTGTTTCAAAACTGCTCTATCAAAAAAAAAGGTTCAACTCTGTGAGTTGAATGCACACATCACAAAGAAGTTCTGAGAATGCTTCTGCTCTAGTTTTTTTTGTGAAGGTGTTTCCTTTTCCACCAAAGTCCTCAAAGCGCTCCAAATATCCACTTTCAGATTCCTGAAAAGAGTGTTTTAAAACTCCTCTATCAACATAAATGTTCAACTCTGTGAGTTCAATGCACTCATCACAAAGATATTCTGAGAATGCTCCGCTAGTTCAAGCGCTCCAATATCCACCGCAGATTGTACAAAAATAGTGTTTCAAAACTGCTCTATCCAAAAAAAAGGTTCAACTCTGTGAGTTGAATGGACACATCACAAAGAAGTTCCTGAGAATGCTTCTGCTCTAGTTTTTTTTGTGAAGGTGTTTCCTTTTCCACCAGAGGCCTCAAAGCGCTGCAAATATCCACTTTCAGATTCCTGAAAAAGAGTGTTTTAAAACTCCTCTATCAACATAAATGTTCAACTCTGTGAGTTGAATGCACTCATCACAAAGATATTTCTGAGAATGCTTCCGCCTAGTTTTTATGTGTAGGTATTTCCTTTTCCACCATAGGCCTCAGAGCACTCCAAATATCCACTTTCAGATTCTAGAAAAAGAGTGATTTAAAACTGCTCTATCAACAGAAAGGTTCGACTCTGTGAGTTGAATGCACTTATCACAAAGAAGTTTCTGAGAATGCTTCTGTCTAGTTTTTATGTGAAGATATTTCCTTTTCCACCATAAGCCTCAAAGCGCTCCAAATATCTACTTACAGATTCTACAAAAAGAGTTTCAAAACTGCTCTACAAAAGAAAGGTTCAACTCTGTGAGTTGAATTCACACATCACAAAGAAGTTTCAGAGAATGCTTCTGTCTAGTTTTTATGTGAAGATATTTCCTTTTACACCATAGGCCTCAAACCGCTCCAAATATCCACTTGCAGATTCTGCAAAAAGACTTTTTCAAAACTGCTCAATCAAAGGAAAGCTCAACTCTGTGAGTTGAATGCACACAACACAAACAAGTTTCTGAGAATGCTGCTGTCTAGTTTTTATGTGCGGATATTTCCTTTTCCACCATAGGCATCAAAGCGCTCCAAATATCCAACTGCAGATTCTACAAAAAGAGTGTGTGAAAACTGCTCTATCAAAGAAAGGTTCAACTCTGTGAGTTGAATGCACACATCACAAAGACGTTTCTGAGAATGCTTCTGCTCTAGTTTTTTTGTGAAGGTGTTTCCTTTTCCACCATAGGCCTCAAAGCGCTCCAAATATCCACTTGCAGATTCTTCAGAAAGAGTGTTTCAAAACTGCTCAATCATAGGAAAAGTTCAACTCTGTGAGTTGAATGCACACAACACAAAGAAGTTTCTGAGAATGCTTCTGTCTAGTTTTTATGTGAAGATATTTCCTTTTACACCATAGGCCTCAAACTGCTCCAAATATCCACTTGTGGATTCTACAAAAAGACTTTTTCAAAACTGCTCAATCAAAGGAAAGGTTCAACTCTGTGAGTTGAATGCACACAACACAAACAAGTTTCTGAGAATGCTGCTGTCTAGATTTTATGTGCGGATATTTCGTTTTCCACCATAGGCATCAAAGCGCTCCAAACATCCAACCGCAGATTGTACAAAAATAGTGTTTCAAAACTGCTCTATCAAAAAAAAAGGTTCAACTCTGTGAGTTGAATGCACACATCAGAAAGAAGTTCCTGAGAATGCTTCTGCTCTAGTTTTTTTTGTGAAGGTGTTTCCTTTTCCACCATAGGCCTCAAAGCGCTCCAAATATCCACTTTCAGATTCCTGAAAAAGAGTGTTTTAAAACTCCTCTATCAACATAAATGTTCAACTCTGTGAGTTGAATGCACTCATCACAAAGATATTTCTGAGAATGCTTCCGCCTAGTTTTTATGTGTAGGTATTTCCTTTTCCACCATAGGCCTCAGAGCACTCCAAATATCCACATTCAGATTCTAGAAAAAGAGTGATTTAAAACTGCTCTATCAACAGAAAGGTTCGACTCTGTGAGTTGAATGCACTTATCACAAAGAAGTTTCTGAGAATGCTTCTGTCTAGTTTTTATGTGAAGATATTTCCTTTTCCACCATAAGCCTCAAAGCGCTCCAAATATCTACTTACAGATTCTACAAAAAGAGTTTCAAAACTGCTCTACAAAAGAAAGGTTCAACTCTGTGAGTTGAATTCACACATCACAAAGAAGTTTCAGAGAATGCTTCTGTCTAGTTTTTATGTGAAGATATTTCCTTTTACACCATAGGCCTCAAACCGCTCCAAATATCCACTTGCAGATTCTGCAAAAAGACTTTTTCAAAACTGCTCAATCAAAGGAAAGCTCAACTCTGTGAGTTGAATGCACACAACACAAACAAGTTTCTGAGAATGCTGCTGTCTAGTTTTTATGTGCGGATATTTCCTTTTCCACCATAGGCATCAAAGCGCTCCAAATATCCAACTGCAGATTCTACAAAAAGAGTGTTTCAAAACTGCTCTATCAAAGAAAGGTTCAACTCTGTGAGTTGAATGCACACATCACAAAGACGTTTCTGAGAATGCTTCTGCTCTAGTTTTTTTGTGAAGGTGTTTCCTTTTCCACCATAGGCCTCAAAGCGCTCCAAATATCCACTTGCAGATTCTTCAGAAAGAGTGTTTCAAAACTGTTCAATCATAGGAAAAGTTCAACTCTGTGAGTTGAATGCACACAACACAAAGAAGTTTCTGAGAATGCTTCTGTCTAGTTTTCATGTGAAGATATTTCCTTTTACACCACAGGCCTCAAACTGCTCCAAATATCCACTTGTGGATTCTACAAAAAGACTTTTTCAAAACTGCTCAATCAAAGGAAAGGTTCAACTCTGTGAGTTGAATGCACACAACACAAACAAGTTTCTGAGAATGCTGCTGTCTAGATTTTATGTGCGGATATTTCGTTTTCCACCATAGGCATCAAAGCGCTCCAAATATCCAACCGCAGATTGTACAAAAATAGTGTTTCAAAACTGCTCTATCAAAAAAAAAGTTTCAACTCTGTGAGTTGAATGCACACATCACAAAGAATCTTCTGAGAATGCTTCTGCTCTAGTTTTTTTTGTGAAGGTGTTTCCTTTTCCACCAAAGTCCTCAAAGCGCTCCAAATATCCACTTTCAGATTCCTGAAAAAGAGTGTTTTAAAACTCCTCTATCAACATAAATGTTCAACTCTGTGAGTTCAATGCACTCATCACAAAGATATTTCTGAGAATGCTTCCGCCTAGTTTTTATGTGTAGGTATTTCCTTTTCCACCATAGGCCTCAGAGCACTCCAAATATCCACTTTCAGATTCTAGAAAAAGAGTGATTTAAAACTGCTCTATCAACAGAAAGGTTCGACTCTGTGAGTTGAATGCACTGATCACAAAGAAGTTTCTGAGAATGCTTCTGTCTAGTTTTTATGTGAAGATATTTCCTTTTCCACCATAAGCCTCAAAGCGCTCCAAATATCTACTTACAGATTCTACAAAAAGAGGTTCAAAACTGCTCTACAAAAGAAAGGTTCAACTCTGTGAGTTGAATTCACACATCACAAAGAAGTTTCAGAGAATGCTTCTGTCTAGTTTTTATGTGAAGATATTTCCTTTTACACCATAGGCCTCAAACCGCTCCAAATATCCACTTGCAGATTCTGCAAAAAGACTTTTTCAAAACTGCTCAATCAAAGGAAAGCTCAACTCTGTGAGTTGAATGCACACAACACAAACAAGTTTCTGAGAATGCTGCTGTCTAGTTTTTATGTGCGGATATTTCCTTTTCCACCATAGGCATCAAAGCGCTCCAAATATCCAACTGCAGATTCTACAAAAAGAGTGTTTCAAAACTGCTCTATCAAAGAAAGGTTCAACTATGTGAGTTGAATGCAGACATCACAAAGACGTTTCTGAGAATGCTTCTGCTCTAGTTTTTTTGTGAAGGTGTTTCCTTTTCCACCATAGGCCTCAAAGCGCTCCAAATATCCACTTGCAGATTCTTCAGAAAGAGTGTTTCAAAACTGCTAAATCATAGGAAAAGTTCAACTCTGTGAGTTGAATGCACACAACACAAAGAAGTTTCTGAGAATGCTTCTGTCTAGTTTTTATGTGAAGATATTTCCTTTTACACCATAGGCCTCAAACTGCTCCAAATATCCACTTGTGGATTCTACAAAAAGACTTTTTCAAAACTGCTCAATCAAAGGAAAGGTTCAACTCTGTGAGTTGAATGCACACAACACAAACAAGTTTCTGAGAATGCTGCTGTCTAGATTTTATGTGCGGATATTTCGTTTTCCACCATAGGCATCAAAGCGCTCCAAATATCCAACCGCAGATTGTACAATCAAATATCACTTCAGATCTAGAAAGAGTGATTAAAACTGCTCTATCACAGAAGGTTCGACTCTGTGAGTGAATGCACTATCACAAGAAGTTTCTGAGATGCTTCTGTCTAGTTTTATGTGAAGATATTCCTNNTCCACCATAAGCCTCAAAGCGCTCCAAATATCTACTTACACATTCTACAAAAAGAGTTTCAAAACTGCTCTACAAAAGAAAGGTTCAACTCTGTGAGTTGAATTCACACATCACAAAGAAGTTTCAGAGAATGCTCCTGTCTAGTTTTTATGTGAAGATATTTCCTTTTACACCATAGGCCTCAAACCGCTCCAAATATCCACTTGCAGATTCTGCAAAAAGACTTTTTCAAAACTGCTCAATCAAAGGAAAGCTCAACTCTGTGAGTTGAATGCACACAACACAGACAAGTTTCTGAGAATGCTGCTGTCTAGTTTTTATGTGCGGATATTTCCTTTTCCACCATAGGCATCAAAGTGCTCCAAATATCCAACTGCAGATTCTACAAAAAGAGTGTTTCAAAACTGCTCTATCAAAGAAAGGTTCAACTCTGTGAGTTGAATGCACACATCACAAAGACGTTTCTGAGAATGCTTCTGCTCTAGTTTTTTTGTGAAGGTGTTTCCTTTTCCACCATAGGCCTCAAAGGGCTCCAAATATCCACTTGCAGATTCTTCAGAAAGAGTGTTTCAAAACTGCTCAATCATAGGAAAAGTTCAACTCTGTGAGTTGAATGCACACAACACAAAGAAGTTTCTGAGAATGCTTCTGTCTAGTTTTTATGTGAAGATATTTCCTTTTACACCATAGGCCTCAAACTGCTCCAAATATCCACTTGTGGATTCTACAAAAAGACTTTTTCAAAACTGCTCAATCAAAGGAAAGGTTCAACTCTGTGAGTTGAATGCACACAACACAAACAAGTTTCTGAGAATGCTGCTGTCTAGATTTTATGTGCGGATATTTCGTTTTCCACCATAGGCATCAAAGCCCTCCAAATATCCAACCGCAGATTGTACAAAAATAGTGTTTCAAAACTGCTCTATCAAAAAAAAAGGTTCAACTCTGTGAGTTGAATGCACACATCACAAAGAAGTTTCTGAGAATGCTTCTGCTCTAGTTTTTTTTGTGAAGGTGTTTCCTTTTCCACCATAGGCCTCAAAGCGCTCCAAATATCCACTTTCAGATTCCTGAAAAAGAGTCTTTTAAAAGTCCTCTATCAACATAAATGTTCAACTCTGTGAGTTGAATGCACTCATCACAAAGATATTTCTGAGAATGCTTCCGCCTAGTTTTTATGTGTAGGTATTTCCTTTTCCACCATAGGCCTCAAAGCACTCCAAATATCCACTTTCAGATTCTAGAAAAAGAGTGATTTAAAACTGCTCTATCAACAGAAAGGTTCGACTGTGTGAGTTGAATGCACTTATCACAAAGAAGTTTCTGAGAATGCTTCTGTCTAGTTTTTATGTGAAGATATTTCCTTTTCCACCATAAGCCTCAAAGCGCTCCAAATATCTACTTACACATTCTACAAAAAGAGTTTCAAAACTGCTCTACAAAAGAAAGGTTCAACTCTGTGAGTTGAATTCACACATCACAAAGAAGTTTCAGAGAATGCTTCTGTCTAGTTTTTATGTGAAGATATTTCCTTTTACACCATAGGCCTCAAACCGCTCCAAATATCCACTTGCAGATTCTGCAAAAAGACTTTTTCAAAACTGCTCAATCAAAGGAAAGCTCAACTCTGTGAGTTGAATGCACACAACACAAACAAGTTTCTGAGAATGCTGCTGTCTAGTTTTTATGTGCGGATATTTCCTTTTCCACCATAGGCATCAAAGCGCTCCAAATATCCAACTGCAGATTCTACAAAAAGAGTGTTTCAAAACTGCTCTATCAAAGAAAGGTTCAACTCTGTGAGTTGAATGCACACATCACAAAGACGTTTCTGAGAATGCTTCTGCTCTAGTTTTTTTGTGAAGGTATTTCCTTTTCCACCATAGGCCTCAGAGCACTCCAAATATCCACTTTCAGATTCTAGAAGAAGAGTGATTTAAATCTGCTCTATCAACAGAAAGGTTCGACTCTGTGAGTTGAATGCACTTATCACAAAGAAGTTTCTGAGAATGCTTCTGTCTAGTTTTTATGTGAAGATATTTCCTTTTCCACCATAAGCCTCAAAGCGCTCCAAATATCTACTTACAGATTCTACAAAAGAGAGTTTCAAAACTGCTCTACAAAAGAAAGGTTCAACTCTGTGAGTTGAATTCACACCTCAGAAAGAAGTTTCAGAGAATGCTTCTGTCTAGTTTTTATGTGAAGATATTTCCTTTTACACCATAGGCCTCAAACCGCTCCAAATATCCACTTGCAGATTCTGCAAAAAGACTTTTTCAAAACTGCTCAATCAAAGGAAAGTTCAACTCTGTGAGTTGAATGCACACAACACAAACAAGTTTCTGAGAATGCTGCTGTCTAGTTNTTATGTGCGGATATTTCCTTTTCCACCATAGGCATCAAAGCGCTCCAAATATCCAACTGCAGATTCTACAAAAAGAGTGTTTCAAAACTGCTCTATCAAAGAAAGGTTCAACTCTGTGAGTTGAATGCACACATCACAAAGACGTTTCTGAGAATGCTTCTGCTCTAGCTTTTTTTGTGAAGGTGTTTCCTTTTCCACCATAGGCCTCAAAGCGCTCCAAATATCCACTTGCAGATTCTTCAGAAAGAGTGTTTCAAAACTGCTCAATCATAGGAAAAGTTCAACTCTGTGAGTTGAATGCACACAACACAAAGAAGTTTCTGAGAATGCTTCTGTCTAGTTTTCATGTGAAGATATTTCCTTTTACACCACAGGCCTCAAACTGCTCCAAATATCCACTTGTGGATTCTACAAAAAGACTTTTTCAAAACTGCTCAATCAAAGGAAAGGTTCAACTCTGTGAGTTGAATGCACACAACACAAACAAGTTTCTGAGAATGCTGCTGTCTAGATTTTATGTGCGGATATTTCGTTTTCCACCATAGGCATCAAAGCGCTCCAAATATCCAACCGCAGATTGTACAAAAATAGTGTTTCAAAACTGCTCTATCAAAAAAAAAGTTTCAACTCTGTGAGTTGAATGCACACATCACAAAGAATCTTCTGAGAATGCTTCTGCTCTAGTTTTTTTTGTGAAGGTGTTTCCTTTTCCACCAAAGTCCTCAAAGCGCTCCAAATATCCACTTTCAGATTCCTGCAAAAGAGTGTTTTAAAACTCCTCTAACAACATAAATGTTCAACTCTGTGAGTTGAATGCACTCATCACAAAGATATTTCTGAGAATGCTTCCGCCTAGTTTTTATGTGTAGGTATTTCCTTTTCCACCATAGGCCTCAGAGCACTCCAAATATCCACTTTCAGATTCTAGAAAAAGAGTGATTTAAAACTGCTCTATCAACAGAAAGGTTCGACTCTGTGAGTTGAATGCACTTATCACAAAGAAGTTTCTGAGAATGCTTCTGTCTAGTTTTTATGTGAAGATATTTCCTTTTCCACCATAAGCCTCAAAGCGCTCCAAATATCTACTTACAGATTCTACAAAAAGAGTTTCAAAACTGCTCTACAAAAGAAAGGTTCAACTCTGTGAGTTGAATTCACACATCACAAAGAAGTTTCAGAGAATGCTTCTGTCTAGTTTTTATGTGAAGATATTTCCTTTTACACCATAGGCCTCAAACCGCTCCAAATATCCACTTGCAGATTCTGCAAAAAGACTTTTTCAAAACTGCTCAATCAAAGGAAAGCTCAACTCTGTGAGTTGAATGCACACAACACAAACAAGTTTCTGAGAATGCTGCTGTCTAGTTTTTATGTGCGGATATTTCCTTTTCCACCATAGGCATCAAAGCGCTCCAAATATCCAACTGCAGATTCTACAAAAAGAGTGTGTGAAAACTGCTCTATCAAAGAAAGGTTCAACTCTGTGAGTTGAATGCACACATCACAAAGACGTTTCTGAGAATGCTTCTGCTCTAGTTTTTTTGTGAAGGTGTTTCCTTTTCCACCATAGGCCTCAAAGCGCTCCAAATATCCACTTGCAGATTCTTCAGAAAGAGTGTTTCAAAACTGCTCAATCATAGGAAAAGTTCAACTCTGTGAGTTGAATGCACACAACACAAAGAAGTTTCTGAGAATGCTTCTGTCTAGTTTTTATGTGAAGATATTTCCTTTTACACCATAGGCCTCAAACTGCTCCAAATATCCACTTGTGGATTCTACAAAAAGACTTTTTCAAAACTGCTCAATCAAAGGAAAGGTTCAACTCTGTGAGTTGAATGCACACAACACAAACAAGTTTCTGAGAATGCTGCTGTCTAGATTTTATGTGCGGATATTTCGTTTTCCACCATAGGTATCAAAGCGCTCCAAATATCCAACCGCAGATTGTAGAAAAATAGTGTTTCAAAACTGCTCTATCCAAAAAAAAGTTTCAACTCTGTGAGTTGAATGCACACATCACAAAGAAGTTCCTGAGAATGCTTCTGCTCTAGTTTTTTTTGTGAAGGTGTTTCCTTTTCCACCATAGGCCTCAAAGCGCTCCAAACATCCACTTTCAGATTCCTGAAAAAGAGTGTTTTAAAACTCCTCTATCAACATAAATGTTCAACTCTGTGAGTTGAATGCACTCATCACAAAGATATTTCTGAGAATGCTTCCGCCTAGTTTTTATGTGTAGGTATTTCCTTTTCCACCATAGGCCTCAGAGCACTCCAAATATCCACTTTCAGATTCTAGAANAAGAGTGATTTAAACTGCTCTATCACAGAAAGGTCGACTCTGTGAGTTGATGCACTATCACAAGAAGTTCTGAGATGCTCTGTCTAGTTTTATGTGAGATATTTCCAAATATCCACTTGCAGATTCTGCAAAAAGACTTTTTCAAAACTGCTCAATCAAAGGAAAGCTCAACTCTGTGAGTTGAATGCACACAACACAAACAAGTTTCTGAGAATGCTGCTGTCTAGTTTTTATGTGCGGATATTTCCTTTTCCACCATAGGCATCAAAGCGCTCCAAATATCCAACTGCAGATTCTACAAAAAGAGTGTTTCAAAACTGCTCTATCAAAGAAAGGTTCAACTCTGTGAGTTGAATGCACACATCACAAAGACGTTTCTGAGAATGCTTCTGCTCTAGTTTTTTTGTGAAGGTGTTTCCTTTTCCACCATAGGCCTCAAAGCGCTCCAAATATCCACTTGCAGATTCTTCAGAAAGAGTGTTTCAAAACTGCTCAATCATAGGAAAAGTTCAACTCTGTGAGTTGAATGCACACAACACAAAGAAGTTTCTGAGAATGCTTCTGTCTAGTTTTTATGTGAAGATATTTCCTTTTACACCATAGGCCTCAAACTGCTCCAAATATCCACTTGTGGATTCTACAAAAAGACTTTTTCAAAACTGCTCAATCAAAGGAAAGGTTCAACTCTGTGAGTTGAATGCACACAACACAAACAAGTTTCTGAGAATGTTGCTGTCTAGATTTTATGTGCGTATATTTCGTTTTCCACCATAGGCATCAAAGCGCTCCGAATATCCAACTGCAGATTGTACAAAAATAGTGTTTCAAAACTGCTCTATCAAAAAAAAAGATTCAACTCTGTGAGTTGAATGCACACATCACAAAGAACTTTCTGAGAATGCTTCTGCTCTAGTTTTTTTTGTGAAGGTGTTTCCTTTTCCACCATAGGCCTCAAAGCGCTCCAAATATCCACTTTCAGATTCCCGAAAAAGAGTGTTTTAAAACTCCTCTATCAACATAAATGTTCAACTCTGTGAGTTGAATGCACTCATCACAAAGATATTTCTGAGAATGCTTCCGCCTAGTTTTTATGTGTAGGTATTTCCTTTTCCACCATAGGCCTCAGAGCACTCCAAATATCCACTTTCAGATTCTAGAAAAAGAGTGATTTAAAACTGCTCTATCAACAGAAAGGTTCGACTCTGTGAGTTGAATGCACTTATCACAAAGAAGTTTCTGAGAATGCTTCTGTCTAGTTTTTATGTGAAGATATTTCCTTTTCCACCATAAGCCTCAAAGCGCTCCAAATATCTACTTACACATTCTACAAAAAGAGTTTCAAAACTGCTCTACAAAAGAAAGGTTCAACTCTGTGAGTTGAATTCACACATCACAAAGAAGTTTCAGAGAATGCTCCTGTCTAGTTTTTATGTGAAGATATTTCCTTTTACACCATAGGCCTCAAACCGCTCCAAATATCCACTTGCAGATTCTGCAAAAAGACTTTTTCAAAACTGCTCAATCAAAGGAAAGCTCAACTCTGTGAGTTGAATGCACACAACACAGACAAGTTTCTGAGAATGCTGCTGTCTAGTTTTTATGTGCGGATATTTCCTTTTCCACCATAGGCATCAAAGCGCTCCAAATATCCAACTGCAGATTCTACAAAAAGAGTGTTTCAAAACTGCTCTATCAAAGAAAGGTTCAACTCTGTGAGTTGAATGCACACATCACAAAGACGTTTCTGAGAATGCTTCTGCTCTAGTTTTTTTGTGAAGGTGTTTCCTTTTCCACCATAGGCCTCAAAGGGCTCCAAATATCCACTTGCAGATTCTTCAGAAAGAGTGTTTCAAAACTGCTCAATCATAGGAAAAGTTCAACTCTGTGAGTTGAATGCACACAACACAAAGAAGTTTCTGAGAATGCTTCTGTCTAGTTTTTATGTGAAGATATTTCCTTTTACACCATAAGCCTCAAAGCGCTCCAAATATCCACTTGTGGATTCTACAAAAAGAGTTTTTCAAAAGCGCTCCATCAGAGGAAAGGTTCACCTCGGTGAGTTGAACGCACCACCACAAACAACTTATAAGAAGCTGCTGCTAGACATCACAAAGACGTTTCTGAGAATGCTTCTGCTCTAGTTTTTTTGTGAAGGTGTTTCCTTTTCCACCATAGGCCTCAAAGGGCTCCAAATATCCACTTGCAGATTCTTCAGAAAGAGTGTTTCAAAACTGCTCAATCATAGGAAAAGTTCAACTCTGTGAGTTGAATGCACACAACACAAAGAAGTTTCTGAGAATGCTTCTGTCTAGTTTTTATGTGAAGATATTTCCTTTTCCACCATAAGCCTCAAAGCGCTCCAAATATCTACTTACAGATTCTACAAAAAGAGTTTCAAAACTGCTCTACAAAAGAAAGGTTCAACTCTGTGAGTTGAATTCACACATCACAAAGAAGTTTCAGAGAATGCTTCTGCTCTAGTTTTTTTTGTGAAGGTGTTTCCTTTTCCACCAAAGTCCTCAAAGCGCTCCAAATATCCACTTGCAGATTCTGCAAAAAGACTTTTTCAAAACTGCTCAATCAAAGGAAAGGTCAACTCTGTGAGTTGAATGCACACAACACAAACAAGTTTCTGAGAATGCTGCTGTCTAGTTTTTATGTGCGGATATTTCCTTTTCCACCATAGGCATCAAAGCGCTCCAAATATCCAACTGCAGATTCTACAAAAAGAGTGTTTCAAAACTGCTCTATCAAAGAAAGGTTCAACTCTGTGAGTTGAATGCACACATCACAAAGACGTTTCTGAGAATGCTTCTGCTCTAGTTTTTTTGTGAAGGTGTTTCCTTTTCCACCATAGGCCTCAAAGCGCTCCAAATATCCACTTGCAGATTCTTCAGAAAGAGTGTTTCAAAACTGCTCAATCATAGGAAAAGTTCAACTCTGTGAGTTGAATGCACACAACACAAAGAAGTTTCTGAGAATGCTTCTGTCTAGTTTTCATGTGAAGATATTTCCTTTTACACCACAGGCCTCAAACTGCTCCAAATATCCACTTGTGGATTCTACAAAAAGACTTTTTCAAAACTGCTCAATCAAAGGAAAGGTTCAACTCTGTGAGTTGAATGCACACAACACAAACAAGTTTCTGAGAATGCTGCTGTCTAGATTTTATGTGCGGATATTTCGTTTTCCACCATAGGCATCAAAGCGCTCCAAATATCCAACCGCAGATTGTACAAAAATAGTGTTTCAAAACTGCTCTATCCAAAAAAAAGTTTCAACTCTGTGAGTTGAATGCACACATCACAAAGAATCTTCTGAGAATGCTTCTGCTCTAGTTTTTTTTGTGAAGGTGTTTCCTTTTCCACCAAAGTCCTCAAAGCGCTCCAAATATCCACTTTCAGATTCCTGAAAAAGAGTGTTTTAAAACTCCTCTATCAACATAAATGTTCAACTCTGTGAGTTGAATGCACTCATCACAAAGATATTTCTGAGAATGCTTCCGCCTAGTTTTTATGTGTAGGTATTTCCTTTTCCACCATAGGCCTCAGAGCACTCCAAATATCCACGTTCAGATTCTAGAAAAAGAGTGATTTAAAACTGCTCCATCAACAGAAAGGTTCGACTCTGTGAGTTGAATGCACTGATCACAAAGAAGTTTCTGAGAATGCTTCTGTCTAGTTTTTATGTGAAGATATTTCCTTTTCCACCATAAGCCTCAAAGCGCTCCAAATATCTACTTACAGATTCTACAAAAAGAGGTTCAAAACTGCTCTACAAAAGAAAGGTTCAACTCCGTGAGTTGAATTCACACATCACAAAGAAGTTTCAGAGAATGCTTCTGTCTAGTTTTTATGTGAAGATATTTCCTTTTACACCATAGGCCTCAAACCGCTCCAAATATCCACTTGCAGATTCTGCAAAAAGACTTTTTCAAAACTGCTCAATCAAAGGAAAGGTCAACTCTGTGAGTTGAATGCACACAACACAAACAAGTTTCTGAGAATGCTGCTGTCTAGTTTTTATGTGCGGATATTTCCTTTTCCAACATAGGCATCAAAGCGCTCCAAATATCCAACTGCAGATTCTACAAAAAGAGTGTTTCAAAACTGCTCTATCAAAGAAAGGTTCAACTCTGTGAGTTGAATGCACACATCACAAAGACGTTTCTGAGAATGCTTCTGCTCTAGTTTTTTTGTGAAGGTGTTTCCTTTTCCACCATAGGCCTCAAAGCGCTCCAAATATCCACTTGCAGATTCTTCAGAAAGAGTGTTTCAAAACTGCTCAATCATAGGAAAAGTTCAACTCTGTGAGTTGAATGCACACAACACAAAGAAGTTTCTGAGAATGCTTCTGTCTGGTTTTTATGTGAAGATATTTCCTTTTACACCATAGGCCTCAAACTGCTCCAAATATCCACTTGTGGATTCTACAAAAAGACTTTTTCGAAACTGCTCAATCAAAGGAAAGGTTCAACTCTGTGAGTTGAATGCACACAACACAAACAAGTTTCTGAGAATGCTGCTGTCTAGATTTTATGTGCGGATATTTCGTTTTCCACCATAGGCATCAAAGCGCTCCAAACATCCAACCGCAGATTGTACAAAAATAGTGTTTCAAAACTGCTCTATCAAAAAAAAAGGTTCAACTCTGTGAGTTGAATGCACACATCACAAAGAAGTTCCTGAGAATGCTTCTGCTCTAGTTTTTTTTGTGAAGGTGTTTCCTTTTCCACCATAGGCCTCAAAGCGCTCCAAATATCCACTTTTAGATTCCTGAAAAAGAGTGTTTTAAAACTCCTCTATCAACATAAATGTTCAACTCTGTGAGTTGAATGCACTCATCACAAAGATATTTCTGAGAATGATTCCGCCTAGTTTTTATGTGTAGGTATTTCCTTTTCCACCATAGGCCTCAGAGCACTCCAAATATCCACTTTCAGATTCTAGAAAAAGAGTGATTTAAAACTGCTCTATCAACAGAAAGGTTCGACTCTGTGAGTTGAATGCACTTATCACAAAGAAGTTTCTGAGAATGCTTCTGTCTACTTTTTATGTGAAGATATTTCCTTTTCCACCATAAGCCTCAAAGCGCTCCAAATATCTACTTACAGATTCTACAAAAAGAGTTTCAAAACTGCTCTACAAAAGAAAGGTTCAACTCCGTGAGTTGAATTCACACATCACAAAGAAGTTTCAGAGAATGCTTCTGTCTAGTTTTTATGTGAAGATATTTCCTTTTACACCATAGGCCTCAAACCGCTCCAAATATCCACTTGCAGATTCTGCAAAAAGACTTTTTCAAAACTGCTCAATCAAAGGAAAGGTCAACTCTGTGAGTTGAATGCACACAACACAAACAAGTTTCTGAGAATGCTGCTGTCTAGTTTTTATGTGCGGATATTTCCTTTTCCACCATAGGCATCAAAGCGCTCCAAATATCCAACTGCCGATTCTACAAAAAGAGTGTTTCAAAACTGCTCTATCAAAGAAAGGTTCAACTCTGTGAGTTGAATGCACACATCACAAAGACGTTTCTGAGAATGCTTCTGCTCTAGTTTTTTTGTGAAGGTGTTTCCTTTTCCACCATAGGCCTCAAAGCGCTCCAAATATCCACTTGCAGATTCTTCAGAAAGAGTGTTTCAAAACTGCTCAATCATAGGAAAAGTTCAACTCTGTGAGTTGAATGCACACAACACAAAGAAGTTTCTGAGAATGCTTCTGTCTAGTTTTCATGTGAAGATATTTCCTTTTCCACCATAAGCCTCAAAGCGCTCCAAATATCTACTTACAGATTCTACAAAAAGAGTTTCAAAACTGCTCTACAAAAGAAAGGTTCAACTCCGTGAGTTGAATTCACACATCACAAAGAAGTTTCAGAGAATGCTTCTGTCTAGTTTTTATGTGAAGATATTCCTTTTACACATAGGCCTCAACCGCTCCAATATCCACTGCAGATTCTGCAAAAGACTTTTTCAAAACTGCTCAATCAAAGGAAAGGTCAACTCTGTGAGTTGAATGCACACAACACAAACAAGTTTCTGAGAATGCTGCTGTCTAGTTTTTATGTGCGGATATTTCCTTTTCCACCATAGGCATCAAAGCGCTCCAAATATCCAACTGCAGATTCTACAAAAAGAGTGTTTCAAAACTGCTCTATCAAAGAAAGGTTCAACTCTGTGAGTTGAATGCACACATCACAAAGACGTTTCTGAGAATGCTTCTGCTCTAGTTTTTTTGTGAAGGTGTTTCCTTTTCCACCATAGGCCTCAAAGCGCTCCAAATATCCACTTGCAGATTCTTCAGAAAGAGTGTTTCAAAACTGCTCAATCATAGGAAAAGTTCAACTCTGTGAGTTGAATGCACACAACACAAAGAAGTTTCTGAGAATGCTTCTGTCTAGTTTTTATGTGAAGATATTTCCTTTTACACCATAGGCCTCAAACTGCTCCAAATATCCACTTGTGGATTCTACAAAAAGACTTTTTCAAAACTGCTCAATCAAAGGAAAGTTTCAACTCTGTGAGTTGAATGCACACAACACAAACAAGTTTCTGAGAATGCTGCTGTCTAGATTTTATGTGCGGATATTTCGTTTTCCACCATAGGCATCAAAGCGCTCCAAATATCCAACCGCAGATTGTACAAAAATAGTGTTTCAAAACTGCTCTATCAAAAAAAAAGGTTCAACTCTGTGAGTTGAATGCACACATCACAAAGAAGTTCCTGAGAATGCTTCTGCTCTAGTTTTTTTTGTGAAGGTGTTTCCTTTTCCACCATAGGCCTCAAAGCGCTCCAAATATCCACTTTCAGATTCCTGAAAAAGAGTGTTTTAAAACTCCTCTATCAACATAAATGTTCAACTCTGTGAGTTGAATGCACTCATCACAAAGATATTTCTGAGAATGCTTCGGCCTAGTTTTTATGTGTAGGTATTTCCTTTTCCACCATAGGCCTCAGAGCACTCCAAATATCCACTTTCAGATTCTAGAAAAAGAGTGATTTAAAACTGCTCTATCAACAGAAAGGTTCGACTCTGTGAGTTGAATGCACTTATCACAAAGAAGTTTCTGAGAATGCTTCTGTCTAGTTTTTATGTGAAGATATTTCCTTTTCCACCATAAGCCTCAAAGCGCTCCAAATATCTACTTACAGATTCTACAAAAAGAGTTTCAAAACTGCTCTACAAAAGAAAGGTTCAACTCTGTGAGTTGAATTCACACATCACAAAGAAGTTTCAGAGAATGCTTCTGTCTAGTTTTTATGTGAAGATATTTCCTTTTACACCATAGGCCTCAAACCGCTCCAAATATCCACTTGCAGATTCTGCAAAAAGACTTTTTCAAAACTGCTCAATCAAAGGAAAGCTCAACTCTGTGAGTTGAATGCACACAACACAAACAAGTTTCTGAGAATGCTGCTGTCTAGTTTTTATGTGCGGATATTTCCTTTTCCACCATAGGCATCAAAGCGCTCCAAATATCCAACTGCAGATTCTACAAAAAGAGTGTTTCAAAACTGCTCTATCAAAGAAAGGTTCAACTCTGTGAGTTGAATGCACACATCACAAAGACGTTTCTGAGAATGCTTCTGCTCTAGTTTTTTTGTGAAGGTGTTTCCTTTTCCACCATAGGCCTCAAAGCGCTCCAAATATCCACTTGCAGATTCTTCAGAAAGAGTGTTTCAAAACTGCTCAATCATAGGAAAAGTTCAACTCTGTGAGTTGAATGCACACAACACAAAGAAGTTTCTGAGAATGCTTCTGTCTAGTTTTCATGTGAAGATATTTCCTTTTACACCACAGGCCTCAAACTGCTCCAAATATCCACTTGTGGATTCTACAAAAAGACTTTTTCAAAACTGCTCAATCAAAGGAAAGGTTCAACTCTGTGAGTTGAATGCACACAACACAAACAAGTTTCTGAGAATGCTGCTGTCTAGATTTTATGTGCGGATATTTCGTTTTCCACCATAGGCATCAAAGCGCTCCAAATATCCAACCGCAGATTGTACAAAAATAGTGTTTCAAAACTGCTCTATCAAAAAAAAAGTTTCAACTCTGTGAGTTGAATGCACACATCACAAAGAAGTTTCTGAGAATGCTTCTGCTCTAGTTTTTTTGGGGAAGTGTTTCCTTTTCCACAAAGGCCTCAAGCGCTCCAATATCCCCTGCAGGATCCTGAAAAGAATGTTCAAAACCACATAGCATCAAGCGCTCCAATATCCACTGCAGATCTACAAAAAGAGTGTTCAAAACTGCTCTATCAAAGAAAGTTCAACTCTGTGAGTGAATNGCACACATCACAAAGACGTTTCTGAGAATGCTTCTGCTCTAGTTTTTTTGTGAAGGTGTTTCCTTTTCCACCATAGGCCTCAAAGCGCTCCAAATATCCACTTGCAGATTCTTCAGAAAGAGTGTTTCAAAACTGCTCAATCATAGGAAAAGTTCAACTCTGTGAGTTGAATGCACACAACACAAAGAAGTTTCTGAGAATGCTTCTGTCTAGTTTTCATGTGAAGATATTTCCTTTTACACCACAGGCCTCAAACTGCTCCAAATATCCACTTGTGGATTCTACAAAAAGACTTTTTCAAAACTGCTCAATCAAAGGAAAGGTTCAACTCTGTGAGTTGAATGCACACAACACAAACAAGTTTCTGAGAATGCTGCTGTCTAGATTTTATGTGCGGATATTTCGTTTTCCACCATAGGCATCAAAGCGATCCAAATATCAAACGGCAGATTGTACAAAAATAGTGTTTCAAAACTGCTCTATCAAAAAAAAAGTTTCAACTCTGTGAGTTGAATGCACACATCACAAAGAAGTTTCTGAGAATGCTTCTGCTCTAGTTTTTTTGTGAAGGTGTTTCCTTTTCCACCATAGGCCTCAAAGCGCTCCAAATATCCACTTGCAGATTCTTCAGAAAGAGTGTTTCAAAACTGCTCAATCATAGGAAAAGTTCAACTCTGTGAGTTGAATGCACACAACACAAAGAAGTTTCTGAGAATGCTTCTGTCTAGTTTTTATGTGAAGATATTTCCTTTTACACCATAGGCCTCAAACTGCTCCAAATATCCACTTGTGGATTCTACAAAAAGACTTTTTCAAAACTGCTCAATCAAAGGAAAGTTTCAACTCTGTGAGTTGAATGCACACAACACAAACAAGTTTCTGAGAATGCTGCTGTCTAGATTTTATGTGCGGATATTTCGTTTTCCACCATAGGCATCAAAGCGCTCCAAATATCCAACCGCAGATTGTACAAAAATAGTGTTTCAAAACTGCTCTATCAAAAAAAAAGGTTCAACTCTGTGAGTTGAATGCACACATCACAAAGAAGATTCTGAGAATGCTTCTGCTCTAGTTTTTTTGTGAAGGTGTTTCCTTTTCCACCATAGGCCTCAAAGCACTCCAAATATCCACTTGCAGATTCTTCAGAAAGAGTGTTTCAAAACTGCTCAATCATAGGAAAAGTTCAACTCTGTGAGTTGAATGCACACAACACAAAGAAGTTTCTGAGAATGCTTCTGTCTAGTTTTTATGTGAAAATATTTCCTCTTACACCATAGGCCTCAAACTGCTCCAAATATCCACTTGTGGATTCTATAAAAAGACTTTTTCAAAACTGCTCAATCAAAGGAAAGGTTCAACTCTGTGAGTTGAATGCACACAACACAAACAAGTTTCTGAGAATGCTGCTGTCTAGATTTTATGTGCGGAGATTTCGTTTTCCACCATAGGCATCAAAGCGCTCCAAACATCCAACCGCAGATTGTACAAAAATAGTGTTTCAAAACTGCTCTATCAAAAAAAAGGTTCAACTCTGTGAGTTGAATGCACACATCACAAAGTAGTTTCTGAGAATGCTTCTGCTCTAGTTTTTTTTGTGAAGGTGTTTCCTTTTCCACCATAGGCCTCAAAGCGCTCCAAATATCCACTTTCAGATTCCTGAAAAAGAGTGTTTTAAAACTCCTCTATCAACATAAATGTTCAACTCTGTGAGTTGAATGCACTCATCACAAAGATATTTCTGAGAATGCTTCCGCCTAGTTTTTATGTGTAGGTATTTCCTTTTCCACCATAAGCCTCAGAGCACTCCAAATATCCACTTTCAGATTCTAGAAGAACAGTGATTTAAAACTTCTCTATCAACAGAAAGGTTCGACTCTGTGAGTTGAATGCACTTATCACAAAGAAGTTTCTGAGAATGCTTCTGTCTAGTTTTTATGTGAAGATATTTCCTTTTACACCATAGGCCTCAAACCGCTCCAAATATCCATTTGCAGATTCTGCAAAAAGACTTTTTCAAAACTGCTCAATCAAAGGAAAGGTCAACTCTGTGAGTTGAATGCACACAACACAAACAAGTTTCTGAGAATGCTGCTGTCTAGTTTTTATGTGCGGATATTTCCTTTTCCACCACAGGCATCAAAGCGCTCCAAATATCCAACTGCAGATTCTACAAAAAGAGTGTTTCAAAACTGCTCTATCAAAGAAAGGTTCAACTCTGTGAGTTGAATGCACACATCACAAAGACGTTTCTGAGAATGCTTCTGCTCTAGTTTTTTTTGTGAAGGTGTTTCCTTTTCCACCATAGGCCTCAAAGCGCTCCAAATATCCACTTGCAGATTCTTCAGAAAGAGTGTTTCAAAACTGCTCAATCATAGGAAAAGTTCAACTCTGTGAGTTGAATGCACACAACACAAAGAAGTTTCTGAGAATGCTTCTGTCTAGTTTTTATATGAAGTTATTTCCTTTTACACCATAGGCCTCAAACTGCTCCAAATATCCACTTGTGGATTCTACAAAAAGACTTTTTCAAAACTGCTCAATGAAAGGAAAGGTTCAACTCTGTGAGTTGAATGCACACAACACAAACAAGTTTCTGAGAATGCTGCTGTCTAGATTTTATGTGCGGATATTTCGTTTTCCACCATAGGCATCAAAGCGCTCCAAACATCCAACCGCAGATTGTACAAAAATAGTGTTTCAAAACTGCTCTATCAAAAAAAAGGTTCAACTCTGTGAGTTGAATGCACACATCACAAAGAAGTTTCTGAGAATGCTTCTGCTCTAGTTTTTTTTGTGAAGGTGTTTCCTTTTCCACCATAGGCCTCAAAGCGCTCCAAATATCCACTTTCAGATTCCTGAAAAAGAGTGTTTTAAAACTCCTCAATCAACATAAACGTTTAACACTGTGAGTTGAATGCACTCATCACAAACATATTTCTGAGAATGCTTCCGCCTAGTTTTTATGTGTAGGTATTTCCTTTTCCACCATAGGCCTCAGAGCACTCCAAATATCCACTTTCAGATTCTAGAAGAAGAGTGATTTAAATCTGCTCTATCAACAGAAAGGTTCGACTCTGTGAGTTGAATGCACTTATCACAAAGAAGTTTCTGAGAATGCTTCTGTCTAGTTTTTATGTGAAGATATTTCCTTTTCCACCATAAGCCTCAAAGCGCTCCAAATATCTACTTACAGATTCTACAAAAAGAGTTTCAAAACTGCTCTACAAAAGAAAGGTTCAACTCTGTGAGTTGAATTCACACCTCAGAAAGAAGTTTCAGAGAATGCTTCTGTCTAGTTTTTATGTGAAGATATTTCCTTTTACACCATAGGCCTCAAACCGCTCCAAATATCCACTTGCAGATTCTGCAAAAAGACTTTTTCAAAACTGCTCAATCAAAGGAAAGTTCAACTCTGTGAGTTGAATGCACACAACACAAACAAGTTTCTGAGAATGCTGCTGTCTAGTTTTTATGTGCGGATATTTCCTTTTCCACCATAGGCATCAAAGCGCTCCAAATATCCAACTGCAGATTCTACAAAAAGAGTGTTTCAAAACTGCTCTATCAAAGAAAGGTGCAACTCTGTGAGTTGAATGCACACATCACAAAGACGTTTCTGAGAATGCTTCTGCTCTAGTTTTTTTTGTGAAGGTGTTTCCTTTTCCACCATAGGCCTCAAAGCGCTCCAAATATCCACTTGCAGATTCTTCAGAAAGAGTGTTTCAAAACTGCTCAATCATAGGAAAAGTTCAACTCTGTGAGTTGAATGCACACAACACAAAGAAGTTTCTGAGAATGCTTCTGTCTAGTTTTTATGTGAAGTTATTTCCTTTTACACCATAGGCCTCAAACTGCTCCAAATATCCACTTGTGGATTCTACAAAAAGACTTTTTCAAAACTGCTCAATCAAAGGAAAGGTTCAACTCTGTGAGTTGAATGCACACAACACAAACATGTTTCTGAGAATGCTGCTGTCTAGATTTTATGTGCGGATATTTCGTTTTCCACCATAGGCATCAAAGCGCTCCAAACATCCAACCGCAGATTGTACAAAAATAGTGTTTCAAAACTGCTCTATCAAAAAAAAAGGTTCAACTCTCTGAGTTGAATGCACACATCACAAAGAAGTTTCTGAGAATGCTTCTGCTCTAGTTTTTTTTGTGAAGGTGTTTCCTTTTCCACCATAGGCCTCAAAGCGCTCCAAATATCCACTTTCAGATTCCTGAAAAAGAGTGTTTTAAAACTCCTCTATCAACATAAATGTTCAACTCTGTGAGTTGAATGCACTCATCACAAAGATATTTCTCAGAATGCTTCCGCCTAGTTTTTATGTGTAGGTATTTCCTTTTCCACCATAGGCCTCAGAGCACTCCAAATATCCACTTTCAGATTCTAGAAAAAGAGTGATTTAAAACTGCTCTATCAACAGAAAGGTTCGACTCTGTGAGTTGAATGCACTTATAGCATCAGCGCTCCAATATCCACCGCAGATGTACAAAATAGTGTTCAAGACTGCTCTATCAAAAAAAAGTTCGACTCTGTGAGTGAATGCACACATCACAAGAATCTTCTGAGATGCTTCTGCTCTAGTTTTTTTTGTGAAGGTGTTCCCTTTTCCACCAAAGTCCTCAAAGCGCTCCAAATATCCACTTTCAGATTCCTGAAAAAGAGTGTTTTAAAACTCCTCTATCAACATAAATGTTCAACTCTGTGAGTTGAATGCACTCATCACAAAGATATTTCTGAGAATGCTTCCGCCTAGTTTTTATGTGTAGGTATTTCCTTTTCCACCATAGGCCTCAGAGCACTCCAAATATCCACTTTCAGATTCTAGAAAAAGAGTGATTTAAAACTGCTCTATCAACAGAAAGGTTCGACTCTGTGAGTTGAATGCACTTATCACAAAGAAGTTTCTGAGAATGCTTCTGTCTAGTTTTTATGTGAAGATATTTCCTTTTCCACCATAAGCCTCAAAGCGCTCCAAATATCTACTTACAGATTCTACAAAAAGAGGTTCAAAACTGCTCTACAAAAGAAAGGTTCAACTCTGTGAGTTGAATTCACACATCACAAAGAAGTTTCAGAGAATGCTTCTGTCTAGTTTTTATGTGAAGATATTTCCTTTTACACCATAGGCCTCAAACCGCTCCAAATATCCACTTGCAGATTCTGCAAAAAGACTTTTTCAAAACTGCTCAATCAAAGGAAAGCTCAACTCTGTGAGTTGAATGCACACAACACAAACAAGTTTCTGAGAATGCTGCTGTCTAGTTTTTATGTGCGGATATTTCCTTTTCCACCATAGGCATCAAAGCGCTCCAAATATCCAACTGCAGATTCTACAAAAAGAGTGTTTCAAAACTGCTCTATCAAAGAAAGGTTCAACTCTGTGAGTTGAATGCACACATCACAAAGACGTTTCTGAGAATGCTTCTGCTCTAGTTTTTTTGTGAAGGTGTTTCCTTTTCCACCATAGGCCTCAAAGCGCTCCAAATATCCACTTGCAGATTCTTCAGAAAGAGTGTTTCAAAACTGCTCAATCATAGGAAAAGTTCAACTCTGTGAGTTGAATGCACACAACACAAAGAAGTTTCTGAGAATGCTTCTGTCTAGTTTTTATGTGAAGATATTTCCTTTTACACCATAGGCCTCAAACTGCTCCAAATATCCACTTGTGGATTCTACAAAAAGACTTTTTCAAAACTGCTCAATCAAAGGAAAGGTTCAACTCTGTGAGTTGAATGCACACAACACAAACAAGTTTCTGAGAATGCTGCTGTCTAGATTTTATGTGCGGATATTTCGTTTTCCACCATAGGCATCAAAGCGCTCCAAATATCCAACCGCAGATTGTACAAAAATAGTGTTTCAAAACTGCTCTATCCAAAAAAAAGGTTCAACTCTGTGAGTCGAATGCACACATCACAAAGAAGTTCCTGAGAATGCTTCTGCTCTAGTTTTTTTTGTGAAGGTGTTTCCTTTTCCACCATAGGCCTCAAAGCGCTCCAAATATCCACTTTCAGATTCCTGAAAAAGAGTGTTTTAAAACTCCTCTATCAACATAAATGTTCAACTCTGTGAGTTGAATGCACTCATCACAAAGATATTTCTGAGAATGCTTCCGCCTAGTTTTTATGTGTAGGTATTTCCTTTTCCACCATAGGCCTCAGAGCACTCCAAATATCCACTTTCAGATTCTAGAAAAAGAGTGATTTAAAACTGCTCTATCAACAGAAAGGTTCGACTCTGTGAGTTGAATGCACTTATCACAAAGAAGTTTCTGAGAATGCTTCTGTCTAGTTTTTATGTGAAGATATTTCCTTTTCCACCATAAGCCTCAAAGCGCTCCAAATATCTACTTACAGATTCTACAAAAAGAGTTTCAAAACTGCTCTACAAAAGAAAGGTTCAACTCTGTGAGTTGAATTCACACATCACAAAGAAGTTTCAGAGAATGCTTCTGTCTAGTTTTTATGTGAAGATATTTCCTTTTACACCATAGGCCTCAAACCGCTCCAAATATCCACTTGCAGATTCTGCAAAAAGACTTTTTCAAAACTGCTCAATCAAAGGAAAGGTCAACTCTGTGAGTTGAATGCACACAACACAAACAAGTTTCTGAGAATGCTGCTGTCTAGTTTTTATGTGCGGATATTTCCTTTTCCACCATAGGCATCAAAGCGCTCCAAATATCCAACTGCAGATTCTACAAAAAGAGTGTTTCAAAACTGCTCTATCAAAGAAAGGTTCAACTCTGTGAGTTGAATGCACACATCACAAAGACGTTTCTGAGAATGCTTCTGCTCTAGTTTTTTTGTGAAGGTGTTTCCTTTTCCACCATAGGCCTCAAAGCGCTCCAAATATCCACTTGCAGATTCTTCAGAAAGAGTGTTTCAAAACTGCTCAATCATAGGAAAAGTTCAACTCTGTGAGTTGAATGCACACAACACAAAGAAGTTTCTGAGAATGCTTCTGTCTAGTTTTTATGTGAAGATATTTCCTTTTACACCATAGGCCTCAAACTGCTCCAAATATCCACTTGTGGATTCTACAAAAAGACTTTTTCAAAACTGCTCATCAAAGGAAAGGGGTCACTCTGTGAGTTGATGCACACACACAAACAGTTCTGAGATGCGCTGCTAGATTTAGTGCGGAATTCGTTTGAATGCACACATCACAAAGAAGTTTCTGAGAACGCTCCTGCTCTAGTTTTTTTTCTGAAGGTGTTTCCTTTTCCACCATAGGCCTCAAAGCGCTCCAAATATCCACTTTCAGATTCCTGAAAAAGAGTGTTTTAAAACTCCTCTATCAACATAAATGTTCAACTCTGTGAGTTGAATGCACTCATCACAAAGATATTTCTGAGAATGCTTCCGCCTAGTTTTTATGTGTAGGTATTTCCTTTTCCACCATAGGCCTCAGAGCACTCCAAATATCCACTTTCAGATTCTAGAAAAAGAGTGATTTAAAACTGCTCTATCAACAGAAAGGTTCGACTCTGTGAGTTGAATGCACTTATCACAAAGAAGTTTCTGAGAATGCTTCTCTCTAGTTTTTATGTGAAGATACTTCCTTTTCCACCATAAGCCTCAAAGCGCTCCAAATATCTACTTACAGATTGTACAAAAAGAGTTTCAAATCTGCTCTACAAAAGAAAGGTTCAACTCTTTGAGTTGAATTCACACATCACAAAGAAGTTTCAGAGAATGCTTCTGTCTAGTTTTTATGTGAAGGTATTTCCTTTTACACCATAGGTCTCAAACCGCTCCAAATATCCACTTGCAGATTCTGCAAAAAGACTTTTTCAAAACTGCTCAATCAAAGGAAAGGTCAACTCTGTGAGTTGAATGCACACAACACAAACAAGTTTCTGAGAATGCTGCTGTCTAGTTTTTATGTGCGGATATTTCCTTTTCCAACATAGGCATCAAAGCGCTCCAAATATCCAACTGCTGATTCTACAAAAAGAGTGTTTCAAAACTGCTCTATCAAAGAAAGGTTCAACTCTGTGAGTTGAATGCACACATCATAAAGACGTTTCTGAGAATGCTTCTGCTCTAGTTTTTTTTGTGAAGTTGTTTCCTTTTCCACCATAGGCCTCAAAGCGCTCCAAATATCCACTTGCAGATTCCTCAGAAAGAGTGTTTCAAAACTGCTAAATCATAGGAAAAGTTCAACTCTGTGAGTTGAATGCACACAACACAAAGAAGTTTCTGAGAATGCTTCTGTCTAGTTTTTATGTGAAGATATTTCCTTTTACACCATAGGCCTCAAACTGCTCCAAATATCCACCTGTGGATTCTACAAAAAGACTTTTTCAAAACTGCTCAATCAAAGGAAAGGTTCAACTCTGTGAGTTGAATGCACACAATACAAACAAGTTTCTGAGAATGCTGCTGTCTAGATTTTATGTGCGGATATTCCGTTTTCCACCATAGGCATCAAAGCGCTCCAAACATCCAACCGCAGATTGTACAAAAATAGTGTTTCAAAACTGCTCTATCAAAAAAAAAGGTTCAACTCTGTGAGTTGAATGCACACATCACAAAGAAGTTTCTGAGAATGCTTCTGCTCTAGTTTTTTTTGTGAAGGTGTTTCCTTTTCCACCATAGGCCTCAAAGCGCTCCAAATATCCACTTTCAGATTCCTGAAAAAGAGTGTTTTAAAACTCCTCTATGAACATAAATGTTCAACTCTGTGAGTTGAATGCACTCATCACAAAGATATTTCTGAGAATGCTTCCGCCTAGTTTTTATGTGTAGGTATTTCCTTTTCCACCATAGGCCTCAGAGCACTCCAAATATCCACTTTCAGATTCTAGAAAAAGAGTGATTTAAAACTGCTCTATCAACAGAAAGGTTCGACTCTGTGTGTTGAATTCACACATCACAAAGAAGTTTCAGAGAATGCTTCTGTCTAGTTTTTATGTGAAGATATTTCCTTTTACACCATAGGCCTCAAACTGCTCCAAATATCCACTTGCAGATTCTGCAAAAAGACTTTTTCAAAACTGCTCAATCAATGGAAAGGTCAACTCTGTGAGTTGAATGCACACAACACAAACAAGTTTCTGAGAATGCTGCTGTCTAGATTTTACGTGCGGATATTCCGTTTTCCACCATAGGCATCAAAGCGCTCCAAACATCCAACCGCAGATTGTACAAAAATAGTGTTTCAAAACTGCTCTATCAAAAAAAAAGTTTCAACTCTGTGAGTTGAATGCACACATCACAAAGAAGTTTCTGAGAATGCTTCTGCTCTAGTTTTTTTTGTGAAGGTGTTTCCTTTTCCACCATAGGCCTCAAAGCGCTCCAAATATCCACTTTCAGATTCCTGAAAAAGAGTGTTTTAAAACTCCTCTATCAACATAAATGTTCAACTCTGTGAGTTGAATGCACTCATCACAAAGATATTTCTGAGAATGCTTCCGCCTAGTTTTTATCTGTAGGTATTTCCTTTTCCACCATAGGCCTCAGAGCACTCCAAATATCCACTTTCAGATTCTAGAAAAAGAGTGATTTAAAACTGCTCTATCAACAGAAAGGTTCGACTCTGTGTGTTGAATTCACACATCACAAAGAAGTTTCAGAGAATGCTTCTGTCTAGTTTTTATGTGAAGATATTTCCTTTTACACCATAGGCCTCAAACCGCTCCAAATATCCACTTGCAGATTCTGCAAAAAGACTTTTTCAAAACTGCTCAATCAAAGGAAAGGTCAACTCTGTGAGTTGAATGCACACAACACAAACAAGTTTCTGAGAATGCTGCTGTCTAGTTTTTATGTGCGGATATTTCCTTTTCCACCATAGGCATCAAAGCGCTCCAAATATCCAACTGCAGATTCTACAAAAAGAGTGTTTCAAAACTGCTCTATCAAAGAAAGGTTCAACTCTGTGAGTTGAATGCACACATCACAAAGACGTTTCTGAGAATGCTTCTGCTCTAGTTTTTTTTTGTGAAGGTGTTTCCTTTTCCACCATAGGCCTCAAAGCGCTCCAAATATCCACTTTCAGATTCCTGAAAAAGAGTGTTTTAAAACTCCTCTATCAACATAAATGTTCAACTCTGTGAGTTGAATGCACTCATCACAAAGATATTTCTCAGAATGCTTCCGCCTAGTTTTTATGTGTAGGTATTTCCTTTTCCACCATAGGCCTCAGAGCACTCCAAATATCCACTTTCAGATTCTAGAAAAAGAGTGATTTAAAACTGCTCTATCAACAGAAAGGTTCGACTCTGTGAGTTGAATGCACTTATCACAAAGAAGTTTCTGAGAATGCTTCTGTCTAGTTTTTATGTGAAGATATTTCCTTTTCCACAATAACCCTCAAAGCGCTCCAAATATCTACTTACAGATTTTACAAAAACAGTTTCAAAACTGCTCTACAAAAGAAAGGTTCAACTCTGTGAGTTGAATTAACACATCACAAAGAAGTTTTAGAGAATGCTTCTGTCTAGTTTTTATGTGAAGATATTTCCTTTTACACCATAGGCCTCAAACTGCTCCAAATATCCACTTGTGGATTCTACAAAAAGACTTTTTCAAAACTGCTCAATCAAAGGAAAGGTTCAACTCTGTGAGTTGAATGCACACAACACAAACAAGTTTCTGAGAATGCTGCTGTCTAGATTTTATGTGCGGATATTTCGTTTTCCACCATAGGCATCAAAGCGCTCCAAATATCCAACCGCAGATTGTACAAAAATAGTGTTTCAAAACTGCTCTATCCAAAAAAAAAGGTTCAACTCTGTGAGTTGAATGGACACATCACAAAGAAGTTCCTGAGAATGCTTCTGCTCTAGTTTTTTTTGTGAAGGTGTTTCCTTTTCCACCATAGGCCTCAAAGCGCTCCAAATATCCACTTTCAGATTCCTGAAAAAGAGTGTTTTAAAACTCCTCTATCAACATAAATGTTCAACTCTGTGAGTTGAATGCACTCATCACAAAGATATTTCTGAGAATGCTTCCGCCTAGTTTTTATGTGTAGGTATTTCCTTTTCCACCATAGGCCTCAGAGCACTCCAAATATCCACTTTCAGATTCTAGAAAAAGAGTGATTTAAAACTGCTCTATCAACAGAAAGGTTCGACTCTGTGAGTTGAATGCACTTATCACAAAGAAGTTTCTGAGAATGCTTCTGTCTAGTTTTTATGTGAAGATATTTACTTTTCCAACGTAAGCCTCAAAGCGCTCCAAATATCTACTTACAGATTCTACAAAAAGAGTTTCAAAACTGCTCTACAAAAGAAAGGTTCAACTCTGTGAGTTGAATTCACACATCACAAAGAAGTTTCAGAGAATGCTTCTGTCTAGTTTTTATGTGAAGATATTTCCTTTTACACCATAGGCCTCAAACCGCTCCAAATATCCACTTGCAGATTCTGCAAAAAGACTTTTTCAAAACTGCTCAATCAAAGGAAAGGTCAACTCTGTGAGTTGAATGCACACAACACAAACAAGTTTCTGAGAATGCTGCTGTCTAGTTTTTATGTGCGGATATTTCCTTTTCCACCATAGGCATCAAAGCGCTCCAAATATCCAACTGCAGATTCTACAAAAAGAGTGTTTCAAAACTGCTCTATCAAAGAAAGGTTCAACTCTGTGAGTTGAATGCACACATCACAAAGACGTTTCTGAGAATGCTTCTGCTCTAGTTTTTTTGTGAAGGTGTTTCCTTTTCCACCATAGGCCTCAAAGCGCTCCAATTATCCACTTGCAGATTCTTCAGAAAGAGTGTTTCAAAACTGCTCAATCATAGGAAAATTTCAACTCTGTGAGTTGAATGCACACAACACAAAGAAGTTTCTGAGAATGATTCTGTCTAGTTTTTATGTGAAGATATTTCCTTTTACACCATAGGCCTCAAACTGCTCCAAATATCCACTTGTGGATTCTACAAAAAGACTTTTTCAAAACTGCTCAATCAAAGGAAAGGTTCAACTCTGTGAGTTGAATGCACACAACACAAACAAGTTTCTGAGAATGCTGCTGTCTAGATTTTATGTGCGGATATTTCGTTTTCCACCATAGGCATCAAAGCGCTCCAAATATCCAACCGCAGATTGTACAAAAATAGTGTTTCAAAACTGCTCTATCCAAAAAAAAGGTTCAACTCTGTGAGTTGAATGCACACATCACAAAGAAGTTTCTGAGAATGCTTCTGCTCTAGTTTTTTTTGTGAAGGTGTTTCCTTTTCCACCAAAGGCCTCAAAGCGCTCCAAATATCCACTTTCAGATTCCTGAAAAAGAGTGTTTTAAAACTCCTCTATCAACATAAATGTTCAACTCTGTGAGTTGAATGCACTCATCACAAAGATATTTCTGAGAATGCTTCCGCCTAGTTTTTATCTGTAGGTATTTCCTTTTCCACCATAGGCCTCAGAGCACTCCAAATATCTACTTTCAGATTCTCGAAAAAGAGTGATTTAAAACTGCTGTATCAACAGAAAGGTTCGACTCTGTGAGTTGAATTCACACATCACAAAGAAGTTTCAGAGAATGCTTCTGTCTAGTTTTTATGTGAAGATATTTCCTTTTACAACATAGGCCTCAAACCGCTCCAAATATCCACTTGCAGATTCTGCAAAAAGACTTTTTCAAAACTGCTCAATCAAAGGAAAGGTCAACTCTGTGAGTTGAATGCACACAACACAAACAAGTTTCTGAGAATGCTGCTGTCTAGTTTTTATGTGCGGATATTTCCTTTTCCACCATAGGCATCAAAGCGCTCCAAATATCCAACTGCAGATTCTACAAAAAGAGTGTTTCAAAACTGCTCTATCAAAGAAAAGTTCAACTCTGTGAGTTGAATGCACACATCACAAAGACGTTTCTGAGAATGCTTCTGCTCTAGTTTTTTTTTGTGAAGGTGTTTCCTTTTCCACCATAGGCCTCAAAGCGCTCCAAATATCCACTTTCAGATTCCTGAAAAAGAGTGTTTTAAAACTCCTCTATCAACATAAATGTTCAACTCTGTGAGTTGAATGCACTCATCACAAAGATATTTCTGAGAATGCTTCCGCCTAGTTTTTATCTGTAGGTATTTCCTTTTCCACCATAGGCCTCAGAGCACTCCAAATATCTACTTTCAGATTCTAGAAAAAGAGTGATTTAAAACTGCTGTATCAACAGAAAGGTTCGACTCTGTGAGTTGAATTCACACATCACAAAGAAGTTTCAGAGAATGCTTCTGTCTAGTTTTTATGTGAAGATATTTCCTTTTACACCATAGGCCTCAAACCGCTCCAAATATCCACTTGCAGATTCTGCAAAAAGACTTTTTCAAAACTGCTCAATCAAAGGAAAGGTCAACTCTGTGAGTTGAATGCACACAACACAAACAAGTTTCTGAGAATGCTGCTGTCTAGTTTTTATGTGCGGATATTTCCTTTTCCACCATAGGCATCAAAGCGCTCCAAATATCCAACTGCAGATTCTACAAAAAGAGTGTTTCAAAACTGCTCTATCAAAGAAAAGTTCAACTCTGTGAGTTGAATGCACACATCACTAAGACGTTTCTGAGAATGCTTCTGCTCTAGTTTTTTTTGTGAAGGTGTTTCCTTTTCCACCATAGGCCTCAAGGCACTCCAAATATCCACTTGCAGATTCTTCAGAAAGAGTGTTTCAAAACTGCTCAATCATAGGAAAAGTTCAACTCTGTGAGTTGAATGCACACAACACAAAGAAGTTTCTGAGAATGCTTCTGTCTAGTTTTTATGTGAAGATATTTCCTTTTACACCATAGGCCTCAAATTGCTCCAAATATCCACTTGTGGATTCTACAAAAAGACTTTTTCAAAACTGCTCAATCAAAGGAAAGGTTCAACTCTGTGAGTTGAATGCACACAACACAAACAAGTTTCTGAGAATGCTGCTGTCTAGATTTTATGTGCGGATATTTCGTTTTCCACCATAGGCATCAAAGCGCTCCAAACATCCAACCGCAGATTGTACAAAAATAGTGTTTCAAAACTGCTCTATCAAAAAAAAGGTTCAACTCTGTGAGTTGAATGCACACATCACAAAGAAGTTTCTGAGAACGCTCCTGCTCTAGTTTTTTTTCTGAAGGTGTTTCCTTTTCCACCATAGGCCTCAAAGCGCTCCAAATATCCACTTTCAGATTCCTGAAAAAGAGTGTTTTAAAACTCCTCTATCAACATAAATGTTCAACTCTGTGAGTTGAATGCACTCATCACAAAGATATTTCTGAGAATGCTTCCGCCTAGTTTTTATGTGTAGGTATTTCCTTTTCCACCATAGGCCTCAGAGCACTCCAAATATCCACTTTCAGATTCTAGAAAAAGAGTGATTTAAAACTGCTCTATCAACAGAAAGGTTCGACTCTGTGAGTTGAATGCACTTATCACAAAGAAGTTTCTGAGAATGCTTCTCTCTAGTTTTTATGTGAAGATACTTCCTTTTCCACCATAAGCCTCAAAGCGCTCCAAATATCTACTTACAGATTGTACAAAAAGAGTTTCAAATCTGCTCTACAAAAGAAAGGTTCAACTCTTTGAGTTGAATTC